>NC_000004.12:98618350-98921381 GCF_000001405.40 Homo sapiens | reverse complement strand
AATATTGTAACTAATTTTGATATATATGTCTACATATATATGTCAACATATTAGTATTGCCGTGAAACTTCTTATGGGGCAGTAAGCCTATGTTGGCACAAAATCTGGTCAGAAGTATTAACTAAGGCAAGAAAGTTTGATATTTTAATTGATATGTGAAATGTATATTTTTTCTTATAGTTCTTTTTCTGATGAATAAATGAATACTTTATAGGTGAGGAATTCATATTTCAAGTGATTTTTAACTTTCTACCACGGTCACATAGTTCCTTAAGTGTTACATACAAAGTTTTGGTGCCGCAAAAGGAATAGCACTTGAATATAAAATTTTTTTTTAATTTTTAGCAAGGCAAGTTATTTTTATAGAACTCATAATTAACATAAGTGAGAGAGAACTCAAACCTGAGTGTCAAGCTTTATTACTATCTTGTGTAAAAAGAGGAACAAATTCAACCAAAACTAAAGTCCATCCTTCAGTAAAACTTGTATGTTAGGGTTGATACTGATGCGTAGGTACACAAATAAGTGTAAAATTCTAACTGAAAGAATATGCCAGATGGTTTATGGATGGTGGGATTAGGAGGGTTAAATTTTTTTCATTTGAACTTGTATACTTTGTTACCATGTTGTGGATTGTAAAATCTGTTTTGGATGTTGGTTTATACATCATGGTATTTAGCTTTTCTTTATTTTTTGTTTTTTTTCTTTGACTTAGTTACATACTCATGGTCCAAAATAGCAATTTGGTAAAGCCTATAGCCCCTATCTTAGAGTGTTTTAAAATGCAGGCCAGGCACAGTGGTTCATGCTTGTAATCCCAGCACTTTGGGAGGCTGAGATGGGCGAATCACCTGAGATCAGGAGTTCGAGACCAGCCTGGCCAAAATGGTGAAACCTTATCTTTACTAAAAATACAAAAATTAGCCGAGCGTGTTCATGGGTGCCTGTAGTCCCAGCTAAGGCTGAGGCAAGAGAATTGCTTGAACCTGGGAGGTGGAGGTTGCAGTGAGCCGAGATGGTGCCATTGCATCCAGCCTGGGCAACAAGAGTGAAACTCCGTCTCAAAAAAAAAAAAGAAAAAAGAATGTTTTAACATGTATTACATAAAATGCATAGGTTTACAAAGGAAACCAATTTATACTGAAGTACAACAAGGATTGAATTAGCATGAGTCATATTAAGGACATTATCTGGCACAGGCTAAGTTCTGTCTAATGTGGAAAACCTATCTCCTGCCTATCTTCCCCAACCACCTCATTCCCCTTTCCAAATTGCCCAATTACAATTTTTTGAGGATTCTACTAGAAAAAGTCTGTCCAGGAGAACTTTCTGAGATAATGGAAAGGGTATTTTTTACTGTCCAATACAGTAGCCACTGGCTGTACATGGTAATTGAGCATTTGGATATTGTGGCTTGTGCAACCAAGGAAATAAATTTTAAACTTTATTTAATATTAATAATTAACCACATGTAGGTAATGGCTACCTAATTGTGCAGTATGGCCTCAGAAGCTAGAAATTCTGGCCGGGCATGGTGGCTCACGCCTGTAATCCCAGCACTTGGGGAGGCTGTGGCAGGTGGAGCACTTGAGGTCAGGAGTTGGAGACCAGCCTGGCCAACATGGTGAAACCCCATCTCTACTAAAAATACAAAAATTAGCTGGGTGTGGTGGCACGTGCCTGTAGTCCCAGCTACTCGGGAGGCTGAGACAGGAGAATCACTTGAACCTGGGAGGCGGAGGTTGCAGTGAGCCAAGACTGCACCACTGCACGCCAGCCTGGGTGATAGAGCAAGACTCCATCTCAAAAAAAAAAAAAAAAAAGAAAAAGAATCTAGAAATTCTGGTGTGTGCAAATGTATGTATACATATTGTATTTAGTTCAACTTTATAAGGTATAACTGGATATGTCCAGTTTGGTTAGATACATGATTCTATCCTAGAAAAGCTTGTCGCTCTGTATTTTAAACTTTGAAAGATAGTTATTTACTCTTGTATAGAATTAGAATTTTTCTGTGGGTTAATGTTTTTTTTTGTTTTTTTTTTTTTTGCTAGTCTTTTTGTTTCTGTTTTTGTTTTGAGATGGTGTCTCACTCTGTTGTCAGGCTGGAGTGCAGTGGCACGATCTCGGGTCACTGCAACATCCACCTCCCGGGTTCAGGTGACTCCTGCCTCAGCCTCCTGAGTAGCTGGGACTACAGGTGTGCGCCACCACTGCCAACTAATTTTTGTGTTTTTAGTAGAGACAGCATTTCACCACGTTGGCTAGGATGGTCTTGATCTCTTGACCTCATGATCTGCCTGCCTCAGCCTCCCAAAGTGCTGGGATTACAGGCATGAGCCACCACACCCAGGCTTTTTACTAGTTTTTTAAATGTGTGTGTAAATAGACAGTACTTTACAGTGTTCAAAACTCAAGTTTTATGCAAAAGTACACAGTCTCCTGAAGCTGATCCCTATCCAGGCAGATGACCTAGAGGCAACCAGCATTGTCAGTTGTTTAACTTTTAATAGAGATTTGTGCATATACAGCAAATATGTATATTTATAAAAAGTAAATAGTAGCCAGCTATGTGCACTTTTCTGGCACATTGTGTTTTTTCACTTAATATGTCTTGTAGAGCATTACATATCAACACATAAAGTTTTCACTTCTTTTTTCTGATGGTATATGTTACACTATTTGGTTTTAACATAATTATTTCTATATTAATATTTAGGTCATTTCCAACCATTTGCTATTTCAAACATTACTGGGATAAATAAACTTTTCCCTGTATCATTCCATACACGAGATAATATATCTATAAAGTAGATGTTTTGACAACGGATTGAAAAATTTTAAACCCTGTTGGTCAGATAAAACACTTTTTCAAATATAGTTGGTTTTCAGGCTGCAATTTTTTTTTTAGTGCTCCTCCCTTTTTCAAAATAAATGTTTATATGTAAAAACAAAGTATAAAATAGGTATGTACGTTTTCTTTTATCTTTAATTTTTTTTTCTTTCTTTTTTTTTTTTTTTCCAAGACGGAGCTTTGCTCTTGCCTAGGCTGGAGTGCAGTGACAATCTCGGCTCACTGCAACCTCCGCCTCTTGGGTTCAAGCAATTCTCCTGCCTCAGCCTCCCGACCAGCTGGATTACAGGCGTCCACCACCACATCCAGCTAATTGTTTGTGTTTTTAGTAGAGACAGGGTTTCATCATGTTGGCCAGGCTGGTCTCAAACTCCTGATCTTAGGTAATCCACCCACTTTGGCCTCCCAAAGTGCTGGGATTACAGGCGTGAGCCACCACACCTGGCAAAAAAAAATTTTTTTGAGACAGGGTCTCACTGTTGCCCAGACTGGAGTGCAGTCTCTGCTCACTGCAACCTCCGCCTCCCACGTTCAAGCGATCATCCTGCCTCAACCTCCCAAGTAGCTAGGAATACAGGTGTGCGCCACCACGCCCGGCTAATTTTTGTATTTTTAGTAAAAACGGAGTTTCATTATGTTGGCCAGGCTGGTCTCAAACTCCTGGGCTCAAGCAGTCCTACTGCCTTGGCCTCCCAAAGTGCTGTGATTACAGGTGTGAGCCATCACGCCTGGCCAGGTTTTAGAGTAGTAAACTGAAGACACATGTACCATGACCTAGGACACCACAGCAGCATTTCAGCTTTTTTAATACTCCCGTGATCACATTCTTGTATCTTTGGCCCCTCCTCCATCTTCTTTTCTGACTTTTGAGTCAAGCATTCCCTTGCTTTTTGTTTTTTCTACATTAACCTCCCATGTATGTATCTTTCAGCTATGTGTTGTTTAGTTTTGAAAAAACTAAAAAGCTAGATGTTTAAGGGAAAGATGGTATTGCCACTATTGGATGAAGGCTCATAAAAATGATAATCTGAACACAGTTTTTGGTTTATAGTTTGGCTTCAGCTTCCTAGAATTTCTACTAGAGCCCTTTTTCGGGAAACCAGTGGGCATGATCATGGACATGTCCTGGGAAACATAGGATTTATAGTTGTTATCTGGTGAGGCTGTTTTGTGGGCCAGGCAAAGAATCTTCAGTAAGAGAGTGGTCTTTGGGAATATGCTGCTCTGTATCTTGTTTTAAGATTGGATTAAAGCTGAACTCTTCTGGTGTAAAGTTACCTAATACAGTTAGCAGGGCATAAAGGAGAGAAGAGGAACTTCATGAACACATGGTCAAGCAGAATTAAGTAGAGATAAAAGTCTGGGCTGGACACTTGAGCATTTGGGTTTTTTTTGTGTGTGTGTGTGTGTGTGTGTGTGTGTGTGTGTGTGTGTGTGTGTGTGTTTAGAAAAGGTAGAATAATAAAAATAGGCATTTTAATCATAGCAGCCATTAAATCACATTGCTCCAGTCACATTCACCTGAATCACATTGCTCCAATCTGGACTGCTGCCCTTTATATATGGTAAACATTTGTCTTCCCTGGATCTCCTTTTACCATGTTCCTGATTCTTTCATTTGACTTTTGTGTTCCACCCTTCCATTTGCTGTGCCCTTTATCTTCCTGTTATTTGGTTTCTTATCTCACGTTGGTGGGCCAGATCTCCAGCAGTTTTTTGAGAAAAAGTACATAGTAAAAAAATTTTTGAGGCCTTGAATATTAAGTGTCATACCTGTAGTTTGGCTGGACATAGAATTCTTCAGGATTCTGAAGTCAAGTTTCATGGTGGACTTCTGTTGTAGCTGCTGATGAGTCTGAAATTATTCTGGTAGCTAAAAATTATTTTTTAGTGTGACCTGTTGCTCTCTCACCCTCACTCCCTATAATTTGTAGATTCTTTTTCTTGTCCTTATTTCACAATAATATACCTTAGTATAAGTCTGTTTTCATCCATTGTACTGTGTACTCATTGGGCATTTTTAATATGGCCACTCATGTCCATCACTTCTCATAGGTTTATTGGTAATTCTCCTCTTTTTTCTCTTTGAAACAGTTACTCAGATATTAGATCTCTTGGACTAGTTCTCTGGGAAATTTCATTTATTTTTCAACCTTCATTTTAAGTTTCCATTCATTTTGAATTTCCAGGTATTTATTTTCTCCCTCCCATCCTCCTTCTCTTCCTTTTTTTTTTTTTTTTGTCCTCTGAATGTTCATTTTTATAGCTTCCTGTAATTGTTATATACATGCAAAATCTTAACTTATTCCTTTGAGGAAGTACGTAGACTTTTTTTTTGAGACAGAGCCTCACTCTGTTGCCCAGGCTGGAGTGCAGTGGCACCATCTTGGCTCACTGCAACCTCTGTCTCTTAGGTTCAAGTGATTATCCCACCTCAGCCTCTCGAGTAGCTGGGATTACAGGTGCCCACCACCATGCCCAGCTAATTTTTATATTTTTAGTAGAGACGAGTTTTCACCATGTTGGCCAGGCTGGTCTCGAACTCCTGACCTCAAGTGATCCGCCCGCCTCGGCCTCCCAAAGTGCTGGGATTACAGGCATGAGCAGAAGCAAAGTTTTAAGAAGGAAGAGCAAAGGTGACTGGGGAACTTACTGTACCATGAAGAAAAGTATTATTAAAGATAACGGCCAGGCGCAGTGGCTCACGTCTGTAATCCTAGCACTTTGGGAGGCTGAGGCAGGTGGATCACCTGAGTTCAGGAGTTCGAGATCAGCCTGGCCAACATGGCGAAACCCCATCTCTACTAAAAATACAAAAAATTAGCTGGGCATGGTGGCGGGTACCTATAATCCCAGCTACTTGGGAGGTTGAGGCAGGAGAATTGCTTGAACCTGGGAAGTGGAGGTTGCAGTGAGCCAAGATCACGCCATTGCACTTCAGCCTGGGTGACAGAGCAAGACTCTGTCTCAAAAAAAAAAAAAGTAATTTACAAAAATATGATATTGGCTGTTGGCCCATGAGGGGATGGGCAGATTATTGGAATACACTGAGCAGTCCAGGAGTAGTTTCAGATGTTTATTTGGGCTTTAATATAACTTTGTTATAATACATTTTGAACATTTAGATCATTGTGAAAAAATAATCTGTAATCTCAACAACTAGGTGTTCTCTGGTAATATTTTGGTTCACTTGTTTGTGAACTTCTCTTTTTTTTTTTAACCATATCCTTCTTCGTACCTTTTCTTTTTCCCTTTTAAATACTTAATTTTCGGCCGGGTTTGTGTGCGTAGCTCATGCCTGAAACCTGAAGCACTTTGGGAGGCTGAGGCAGGTGAATTGCTTAAGCCCAGGAGTTCAAGACCAGCCTAGGCAACATGATGAAACCCTGTCTCTACTAAAAATATTAATACAAAAAACTAGCTGGGTGTGGTGGCATGTGCCTGTAGTCCCAGCTACTCAGAAGGCTGAGGCGGGAGGATTGATTGAGCCCTGGAGGTCGAGACTTCAGTGAGCTGTGATTGTGCCACTGCACTCCAGCCTGGGCATCAGAGCGGGACCCTGTCTCAAAAACTAACTACTTAATTTTCTTAGAGCAGTTTTAGGTTCGGAGCAAAACTGAGCAGAAAAGACAGTTCCCGTAACTTACTCCTTGCCCCGGTGCAGGTACAGCTTTCCCAGTGTCAACATCCTACAACAGAATGGCACATTTGTTAGAATTGATGAACCTAAATTGACGTTATTGTCACCCAAAGTTCATACTTTACATTAGGGTTCACTCCTGATGTTGTACAGTCTGTGGGTTTTGTCAAATGTAAAATGACATGTATCTGCGGTTATAATATCGTGCAGAATAATTTTACTAAGCCCTAAAAATCCTCTGTTCTGCTTGTTTATACCCTCCCCACCAACCACTGATCTTTTTGTCTTTTCCAGAGTGTCACAGAGTTAGAATCATACAGTATGTAGCCTTTTCAGCTTAGCTTCTTTCACTTAGTAATATACATTTAAGTTCCTTCTACGTCTTTTTATGGCTTGATAACTCATTTTATTTTAGCATTCAGCAATGTTTCATTTTCTGGATGCACTACAGTTTATTTAGGACTTCTTAAAATAGGTCAAAAGCAAAAAAAAAAAGTGCTTTTTTTTTTTTTTTTTTTTTTTTTTTGAGACGGAGTCTGGCTCTGTTGCCAGGCTGGAGTGCAGTGGCACGGTCTCAGGTCACTGCAACCTGCAACCTCCTCCTCCTGGGTTCAAGTGATTCTCCTGCCTCAGCCTCCCAAGTAGCTGGGATTACAGGCATGCGCCACCACGCCTGGCTAATTTTTGTATTTTTAGTAGAGACGAGGTTTCACCATGTTGGCCAGGCTGGTCTTAAACTCCTGACCTCGTGATCCGCCCACCTCGGCCTCAAAGTGCTGGGATTACAGGTGTGAGCCACCGTGCCTGGCCTTTTTTTTTTTTTAAGTGCTCATTTTTATATGGTTCTGTAATCTGCTTTTCTCCACATTTGTATTAGTTTTAAAGTAATTTTTACAAACATGTTTAGTGCTTACATCATAAACGCCGTGGTTTGTTTATCTGTTACCTTTTGGTTATATCTGTTGATAGATGTGTTGTCTCTTAGAAGTCTAATTACTAGGTTAAAGAATGTAGATGTTTTTATTTTAATTTTATTATTTTTCTATTTTCCCATTTAGTTTTGGCTTGGAACTCAGTAGATCCTTTTACGTTTGGAAGCTTGATAGTTTAACTTAAATTAAGTAAAACTTAAACTAAGTAAATAGAAGGTTGTATTCCACTCTGTAATCCTGGGAACATATGAAACTGATGACTATACCTGGTTTTGTAAATTTTTTTAAGGTATATATTTCTTCAAAATATTTTCTTTTGAAAGGTGATTTTAAAACCTTGGTACATAAAAAGGCAGGTGTGGTGGCTCATGCCTGTAATCCTAGCAACTTCGAAGGCTGAGGCAGGAGGATCACTTGAGGCCAAGAGTTTGAGACCAGGCTGAGCAATATAGTGAGACCTGTCTCTAAAAATTAGCTGGGCATGGTGGCTCATGCCTGTAGTCCCAGCTATTCAGTATCGTCTCTTGAGCCTAGGAGTTTGAGGCTGCAGTGAGCTGTGATTGCACCCCTGCACTCCAGCCTAAGTAATAGTGATACCCTCCTCTGAAGGCAAGAAAAGAAGAAAAAAAAAATTTGTTGGATAAGAAGTTGTTACAGAAAACAAAATGACCTTATTAAAGCTACAGTTTACATTGAAATTATAACCTTTAACTTTTGAAAATGAACACATAGAATTTTTTTTTTTTTTGAGATGGAGTCTTGCTCTGTTGCCCAGGCTGGAATGCAGTGACACTACCTTGGCTCACTGCAACCTCTGCCTCCCAGGTTCAAGCAATTCTCCTGCCTCAGCCTCCCACGTAGCTGGGATTACAGGCGCGTGCCACTACACCTGGCTAATTTTTGTATTTTTAGTAGAGACGCGGTTTCACCATGTTGGACCAGGCTGGTCTCGAACACCTGACCTCAGGTGATCCGCCTGCCTCGGCCTCCCAAAATGCTGGGATTACAGGCGTGAGCCACCACACCCGGCAAAACACATAGAATTTTAACAGTAACTGCTCATTTGTTTGAACTGTGACATGTAAAGATTGATTTTTTTAAAAAACTAGAATTTAGTATCATGAAATTTTAGTTATGTTTTCTAAGTTTTAAAATGTATAAACGTTTAAATAGCAGTTAAATTCTTTAAAAGATTTGCCTTTCAAATACTTCTTATAAAGCTTTAAGGAATAATTGAAATGGAAATTATCATGTTACTGCAGTCAACAGTTTTGTGCACTGGTTGTAATGCCATTTTAGTGTTGATATATTTTGAATCATTTTTTTACTTTTGCATAATGTTCAACGTATGTAAATTTTTCTTTTCTTTGTGGTTTTTTTTTTGAGATGGAGTCTTGCTTTCGCTATGCTGGAGTGCAGTGGTGCGATCTCAGCTCACTGCAATCTCTGATTCCCTGGTTCAAGCGATTCTCCTGCCTCAGCCTCCTTCGTAGCTGGGATTACAGGCATGCACCACCACGCCCAGCTAATTTTTGTATTTTTTAGTAGCGGCTGGGTTTCACTATGTTGGCCAGGATGGTCTCAATTTCCTGACCTCATGATCCACCCGTGTTGGCCTCCCAAAGTGTTGGGATTACAGGCATGAGCCACCGTGCCTGGCCGTATGTAAATTTTTCTTTTTCTTTTTCTTCTTTTTTTTTTTCGAGACGGAGTTTTGCTCTTGTTATCTAGGCTGGAGTGCAGTGGCGCGATCTTGGCTCACTGCAGTTTCCCTCTCCCGGGTTCAAGTGATTCTCCTGCTTCAGCCTCCCAAGTAACTGGGATTACAGGCATGCGCCACCATGCCCAGCTAATTTTGTGTTTTTGGTAGAGATGGGGTTTCACCATGTTAGTCATGTGGGTCTTGAACTCCTGACCTCGTGATCCGCCCGCCTCGACCTCCCAAAGTGCTGGGATTATATGCGTGAGCCACTGTGCCCGGCCTGTAAATTTTTCTAGTTATTTTAAATTATGAATCTTCTGGTAGCCTTTGGTTTAAATAGTAGTGACATTTAAATTTTATCATTAGCCTTGTCATCCTAGATCACACATCTGTTATTTCTTGTGTCTGTGTTATCACCTCCCCAAACCCAGACTGAATTTGTGATGTTGGCTTAAGCTATATAATATGTGCAAAGTAATTTGATCAGTAGGTACATGTTAGTGCTCCCTTAAGAATGTTCTTTAAAAAAATTTATTTTAAAATGTTAAAAGGTGACCACAAGTCTTCTTTTTTTTTTTTTTTTTTTTTTTTTGAGACAGAGTTTCGCTCTTGTTGCCCAGGCTGGAGTGCAGTGGCTTGATCTCAGCTCACTGCAACCTCTGCCTCCCGGGTTCAAGCGATTCTCCTGCCTCAGCTTCCCGAGTAGCTGGGATTACAGGCGTATGTGCCACCACGCCCTGCTAATTTTGTATTTTTAGTAGAGATGGGATTTCTCCATGTTGGTCAGGCTGGTCTCAAACTCCCAACCTCAGATGCTCCACCCGCCTCGGCCTCCCAAAGTGCTGGGATTACAGGTGTGAGCCAGTGTTCCCAGCCTCCTACAACTCTTTCTAGTAGTTAAGAATGTGCTGGGCGCGGTGGCTCACACCTGTAATCCCAGCACTTTGGGAGGCCGAGGCGGGTGAATCACGAGGTCAGGAGTTCAAGACCAGTCTGGCCAAGATGGTGAAACCCCTGTCTGTACTAAAAATACAAAAATTAGCCGGGCGTGGTGGCAGGCGCCTGTAATCCCAGCTACTTGGGAGGCTGAGGTAGAGAACTGCTTGAACCCAGGAGATGGAAGTTGCAGTGAGCCGAGATCGCGCCACTGCAATCCAGCCTGGGCAACAGGGCAAGACTCTGTCTCAAAGGGAAAAAAAAAAGGATTCATCCAAGTTTTAGGCCTGGTGCGGTGGCTCATGCCTGTAATTCCAGCACTTTAGGAGGCCAAGGTGGGCGGATCACTTGAGGTCAGGAGGAGTTCAAGACCAGCTGGGCCAAAGTGGTGAAACCTCGTCTCTACTTAAAATACAAATAATTAGCCAGGTGTGGTGGTGCATGCCTGTAGTCCCAGCTACTCGTGAAGCTGAGGCAAGAGAACTGCTTGAACCCAGGAGGTGGAGGTTGCAGTGAGCCGAGATCATGCCACTGCACTCCAGCCTGTGTGGCAGAGTGAGAATCTGTCTCAAAAAAAAAAAAAGAATCCATCCAAGTTTTAAAACTGTTTATTTGAAGATCAGAAATGCAAGTGTAGACTGTTGGGATTTTTTTTAATTAATAAAATGTGTTCAAGTATAGCTTGCTGAGTATCCAGAAATGTAAATATTTAGCTATAGCCCAACAAACTTAATCAGCTCTATTCACTCATGAGTTAGTGCTACTTATTTTGATCAAGTATTTAGGTTATTATTTAAATAAACAGCTATTGAATTTTTGTAGTATTTTTGGACACTGCACAATTTGTACACATCATCACAACTCTTTAGTAATCCAGTTACTAGTGATTTTTTGTTATTGTTTAGTTGCCATTTTATATTAATTGAAAAGCACTTTAAGAAGTACTGTCTTTTGAATCATGATTGATATATGATGTCTCAGGGACTTTTACATGAAAAAATTTTTTCCATGTGAGCAGTGTTTTAATGTTGAAAGATTTGTATTTTGCTAAATCTCCATGTGTTTTTTATTTCAACTTTCTCGGTTAAGGGAGGAGTATAAAAGTCATAGTTTTGATCCTTTATTACAGATAAGGAAGACTGCAAAATCCACAGCCACACTTTCATGAGTGATGCCAGATTAGCTGGTATTCCTTTACTGTAAATAGATGTTTGAAAGCTAAAAACCAAAACAGTTTAATAGCCTGAGGCAGTTTTTCAGTGTTTTCACCAAATTTTTTATTTCTTACAAGACAGGTGGTAAGACTATATTTGTTCTTGTGTACTAGTTAATTAATTATACTAATTTACATATTTGAGGGTGCTGTGAGGAAATGCATGGTTTGTTGAAAAGAACTGAGGACTGACAGCCGCCTCCTCCATGATTACCCTGGCTCTCTGTCCCACCCTTCTCATGGCGCTTGGGGGACCATGGCTGATCCTGTCCTGAGACAAATTAAGACTCCTGTGGTGAAGCAGTTGGTCGAGAAAAAGTGATGCATGAAAAAGAAGCAAAACAAGAAGGAAAGAAAAAAAATGAGAGCTGAAGATGGTGAAAATGATGCCATTAAAAAGCAGGCAGAAAGTCTGCGAGAATCCCAGGTGATAAGCCTTGTTTGCCAGCACAGGTTGGAAGCTGCATATACTGTTCTTTGGCAGATTTTAGAAAGTGAAAAGGACTTGGAAGAAGCTGAGGAATATAAAGAACATTTAGTACTGGATTCAGTGGAGTTAGAAGCCTGAAACTTTTATGTACAGGGTGTTTTTTGCATTAAATCATGGGGTCCAGTTTACATTTCATTATTTTTGACCACTGCTGTGTGTTCAAGTGTGAGAACGTGATTCTTTTTATGTGATTGTGTACATTTCTTTGCCTGATTTAATTTGTCAAATGAATGACAAAACTGAGAACTAACAGTAGATACTACAAGGAACAGAAACGTATGAAGTCTGTTTACATATTTGTATTAAATAATGTTCTCATTAAAGTTATTTGTACACATAAAAGAGGTTTTTACTTACACTTACCTGTATATGTGAGATATTTGACCAATGGGTATTTAGTGTCCTGCTGTGCATAATAATACAAACTCACTATATAGTTGCTTTTTTTCCTGGTAGTGGGTTTTTTTGTGTGTCTGGGAGGAAGGGTGAGGTGTACCATTCATGCCTTTTTTACTAGTTTATTGGCAGTCACATGCATTGGCAAGATGAGCAAAGGTGTTGAGCCTGAGGCTGTAGAACAGAGCACAGTATATATTATAGATTTATGTTGCCTAGAAAGAGAATCTTTGTAACCATATAATTTATTATTCAGTCCTGGCCACCTTTGGGAGTGAGAGTTCTGTTAACAATTATACTGAAACAACAAACAGGTAGAACTAGGACATGTGGTGTTCTTAGCCGTAAACCCTGGTAGTCCTGGATTTAAATGACATGTTTACTTTTCCAGGACTTCAGATTTGTCTGAAGAGTGGAGAGAATAATGGTTGTTTCACGGGATTATGAAGATTGACTATATTGAGATGATTTATAGTATGTTGAGATAATATGTATGAAAATAATGTAGCACATGGCCTGGTA
This sequence comes from Homo sapiens, assembly GCF_000001405.40. NCBI lineage: Eukaryota > Metazoa > Chordata > Mammalia > Primates > Hominidae > Homo > Homo sapiens. Next base: position 98,908,696 of record NC_000004.12, on the reverse strand, counting down.
GTTACTGCTTAGTAAATGTTCCCTATCAAGTAAAAACTCATAGTTTGGATGAGGTGTGAGCTTTTCAAAATCATAAAGCACCATCCTTTTCTGTTCTTACTGTGTCTGTCCTTCTGCTCATTATTTCATACCTTTATTTAATATAGTGACTTCAATTTACTAGAATGTTGTATTAGTACCTTGTAGAAATAATTGCAGCTGTCTTTGCCATATGTAGCATTTACATTTCTAATATGGACACAGCTGGTTTTCCAGTTCAGCTACAGAAAGTGAAGGAAGGGGTAATATAAGGAAGCACTACTGGATATGAGTCACCAATCATGTTGTTATCCATTATTTGGTGCTGTAGCATTGACCGAACACGTTTATATTTTTGTGTCATCAGGAAGGGGGAGAGTGTTGGTATCAGAATTATTTAGGTGTGGTAACAGTAATCTGGGTAATTATTTCTAACTTAATCACGAGTTCTTTCTCTTTTCATATCCCTACTTACTGTGTGTATGATTGGGGGTGGGGTGAAGGTGGGGAAGGTCTGGTGTAAGGATCTGAGGATAGATAGAAATTATTGAGCCAGGACAATAATTTAGAGAGCATACCCTAGGTAGTTTAGGTTACCACTCCTTGTTCAGATATTACTGGGATATGAATGTTAGTGATTTATCTTCTATTGTTCTTAAAATTTTTTCCTCATCTTAAAATTTAAAGGACTGGAACTTCTCCAGAGTTTGAAGTCTAGTTCAGTATGCCGCATTTACTCAGCTCTTACCTTTCTAAACTCTTACATTAATGTCATCTCAAGTACTGATTGCTCATGGTAGCCGACAGTTATGGATCACTTCAGTGCCAAACTCTTGGATTGTTGATGAAAACCCACACGGCACTTTTTACAAGGGAAGAAACTGATCCTTACAGGGATTTTAAGGACTTACCCTAGATCACTTAAATCCCTATGGTACTCTGAAAGTTTTCTCCTATCATACTCATCTTAAGACTTAAAGGACTCATCAAGTTGGGGTTAGAGGTGGATCCAGGCTGTCTTGTTGAGCTACCCATTTTGCAGTATGGCTCCTAGTGCATCAGGGACTGATAAACCTGGGATTGCTTTTTCTGTTATGAGAGGAAAACTGTAGTAGTGAAGTCAGAGCCTGATATATACAGACTGTCAGTTGCAGCATTATTTGGAAGCACAGAAGATGGTATGTGAATAAATGTGCCTGATATAGAATGTCTTTCTCCCTCTAGCCCCCTTTTTTGTGCCTTTTTTGATGCTTGATTTCAATGTCCTTTATGCTGTTCCTTGGTAATAGATAGTTGCAGCTCAATGCTATATTTTAGCCATTCATGAGGCCAAAGATATGATGCCTTCAGTACAGAAAAGGGGAAATAGGGTATCTGGGAGTACCTTTAAAAGTAGGAAAAGTAGGTTTCCTTACTTCAATTTACTTTAAAATGACTTTATATTGCATTAATCATTATTGTTCTGGGAGGAATACCTATATCTACATATATCAGAAGGAATTTAGGAAGGAGGAAAGTGATAAATATAATTTAAAAAATTTTTTTCTTTCTAAAACAAATCATATGAAACAACTCAGCATAGTGGCTGGTCATATAGTTTGCTCTGAATAAATACTTGGAGAATGGCAAGCCAGGTAACCATTCACTTAACATTTTTAGCTACTTTATAAAAAGCAACCCTTATTTTGCATTTCCCATGTATCAGACAGTTTAAATGCTTTTATTTTTTAATTCATTTAATCCCCATTGTGATCCTAGGAGATAAATGTCACAATGCCCATTTTAAGATGAGGAAACTGAGGCCACGGAAGTTACTTGCTCTGAATTTTACAGCTGTGAATGGCAGAGCTGGGATTCCAACATGGGGAACATGGCTCTAGAGGGTGTGATCAGAAGCAGTGCATCTCATATTCTGATGACAATCTGGTTTGTGTTTGTTTTTAAAGTTTCATTTCATTTAATTTTTTAGAGACAGAGTCTTACTCTGTCACCCAGGCTGGAATGCAGTGGTGCTATCATAGCTCACCGCAGCCTTAGAACTCCTGGACTCAAGTGATGCTCCTATTTTGGCCTCCTGGGCTCAAGAGATTCTCCTGCTTTGGCCTCCCAAGGTGTTGGGATTACAGGGATGAGCCACCATGCCTGGCCTTTTTTTAAAAATTTCTAATATAATACTTTTGTAAAATGATAAAGATGAAGACATGCATACAATATGTAAGCCTGAATTTGATTAGTTTCAGCAGATACAAAATTGTCAAATTGCTACAGATTTTCAAAGTGTTTACTTTGCATTTCTATACTTAACCTCACTGTCAACCATAACCAGTTTGTGGACCAGCAGTAGTAGTCTGTGGACTATACTTTGAGTTACTGGTTCAAACCATTATTAGTGCCAAGAGGGACTACTGATTATTCCATACTTCAAATAAGGTGTTGGGTGATTTGTCTTAACCTGGAAAAAAATTTTTTGGAAGTTCCTGTGAGTAAGTAGATATTTGTTGAATGAAGGTAATGGAGGACACAAATGGGGTATTCTGAGGGGAAAGGCTCATCATTATTTCTAGAAGTGGTTTATATGTATATTTAGGTTGAGAGTTGCTGAGAAATCTTGAATGTTCAAAACTATGGAAAAGCACATCATGGTTTTGGAATTTAAGCAATGTAGACTTGAACATGATGAGGAGAACCTAAAGTTTAGTCAGATTTATTGAAAACACCACAGAATGATGCTAGATCTGGGAAATATTTACCTCTATAATATTAGGATTGTCCTGTAAGATTAATATTATACCTGTGCTAATTTTTGCAGAATGTAGTAAAAAGCTACCTGACATTCTTTGCAGCCAGTTGTTAGACTTTTCTCACCCTTGCTTGCTTTTTTTCTTCGCTTTCAACTTTCTCTTGTTGCTATGACAGTTTATTCAGCCCTGGGTTTGCTAAATTACAATACTGAACATTTTTATTTGAAGCTGATAAACTCAGCAAATCTTAAACCAGGTTTAATACTTTGCTCTCAAATTGGTTATCTTTTTCTCTTCCCTCACTTGCCATTTGTATTTAATCTCTTTGACCTTCTAGTTAATGGCTTTCATTGCCCCCAAGATGAAAGGTACACTTTTAGCCTGACCTTTGAGGCCTTTAACAGTCTCACTCCAACCTACCATTCTAGCTCTTTGGTTTCATGAACCCTCTCTTTCAGCCACATTGGTCACTACCTGGATGAACACAGCACCATCCCATGGCCTCGCTCTTACTCCCTATTCTACCCACCTAAAATTCGTTACACGATGCTTTTTCAAGGGAAGATTGCCTATTTTAGGGTAAAAATGTGTTTGACTACTTTGAGATTAGCCATAATCTGCTAAATTAGCCTTTACTTTTTTGTCCAAGTAGTTTATAAACCTAGAAATACTGGTCATTTAATTTTTTTTCCTTTTTTTTTTTTTTAAATTCCCTGATAGAACCTGAGATCGGTCATTTAGGATGTAATTTCCAGTGAAATTTGCTCATTGAGAGAACACTAGCCTAAGAGAGTAGAGAGAGGAATATGGTAGGATTTTGCAGTAGAGTTTTGTTTTTAAACTGAATGTAAACTTAAAACTATTTAGTGTCTATAGGAAGCAATCTTAAAAATAAGGTTAGATACCTTAAAATAGAACTTGTTTCTTGAAATATTTTTTAGTTCCCATATAGATCATACGAAAAGATGACTGTCTATGCCCAATAAAAATTTTTATGGTATTTCACATCATTCGTTTTAAAATCTAGTATGTTTAAAAGTGAAGACTAAAGATTTTAAATTAGTATACTTACTGATTCATACATACACACATATTTAAAAATGTGTAGCTCCTTTTTTAAGTTGTTGGAAAAGTACAAAATCATGTGTCCTTTTTTGTTTTGTTTTGAGACTGAGTTTTGCTCTTGTCGCCCAGGCTGGAGAACAGTGGCACGATCTGTGCTCACTGCAATCTCTGCCTCCTGGGTTCAAGCAATTCTCTTGCCTTAGCCTCCCCAGTAGCTGGGATTACAGGCGCGTGCTACCACGCCCAGCTAATTTTTGCATTTTTAGTAGAGATGGGGTTTCACCATGTCGGCCAGGCTGGTCTTGAACTCCTGAGCTCAGGTGGTGCACTTGCCTTGACCTCCCAAAGTGCTGGGATTACAGGCGTGAGCCACCATGCCCGGCCGATTATGTGTTCTTGATATGAAGACTATAGTAATCAGTTACTTACAGTGGGACTTTTATTTTAATTCAAAATAACACTTTAAAATTCTAGGAACTGAATATGTTTTTCCTGAGTGATAACTTGCTTTTAATTCCTGTATGTCCAAAGACTTGAGAGAGAGAGAGAAAGAGGATTGTTTCTTTTTCTTTCTTCCCCTTTCTTCACTGGGTCTCACTTGCTGAGGCTGTTTTCGAACTCCTGGACTCAAGCAGTCCTCTCGCCTTGGCCTCTCAAAGTGCTGCAATTACAGACATAAGTCCCTGCACCCGTTCTGCTTACGTTTCACAAATACTGGGCAGTTGCAAGTTTTGGCTTAGCTGTTCTTCTCTGTTAGGCCAACCAGAGTTACGCTCTGAAAGTGCCAGTTTAGGAGTTAGCCAAAAACCTGTGAGGGATTTTTACATATATTGAGGAGCCCACTTCTCATCTACAGCAGTTTTTCTCTGGTACCCTGTCCCCCAAAGCCTACCTGCCTGCCAGTCTCTCATTGTTTTCATCGAGACTCCCACTGTCTGCCTGGAAACCCATCATTAATTTTAAGCTAGTGGGATAGGAAATGTCATTCAGTAATTATCTGTTTGAACACTTAAATTTACTGGTAAGTAAATGTTGATAAAAATGTTTGGTTTTAAGGCATTACTTACTGTATGTCAATTTTCAGGCCTTAATCATTCTGTGTAAACATTTAAATTTATTCAGTTAAGTAATCAAGTTAATAAGTTCCTGTTGGGTTAAGTACTGTGATTATTGAGTAAAATCAAGACATGGTCTCCGTTCTGGGTGACTTTATAGGCTAATAGAAATTCTTGTACATGTCATATGTTGATAAGAAAAAACATATCCCTTGGGAGGCCAAGGTGGGAGGATTGCTTGAGCTCAGGAGTTTGAGACCAGCCTGGCCAACATGGTGAGACCTTGTCTCTACTAAAAATAAAAAAGAATTAGCCAGGTATCATGGTGCCTATCTGTAGTCCCAGTTACCGTGGAAGCTGAGGCAAGAAGATTGCTTGAGCCAGGGAGATTGAGGCTGCAGTGAGCTATGAGTGAGACCCCATCTCTAAGAAAAATAAAATACAAAAAAAAAAAAAACCCATATTCTTTCAAATAAATATTTACCACCTTTCTGCTCTGCATTCTTTTAGACAATAAATATTTGACTTACATATCTTGTTATGTTAACATAGATCTCTGTTGTTTGCTGCTTCAGTCTGATATCCAAACACTTGTTGCATTGCCCTTTTTTTGGTATCAGTCTTTGTCCTAGTGCCTTTCTTTGGCTCTCTTCTTTTGTTGACAACAATTTATGATAGTATGAAGAGCTACATGGAAGAATGTGGTGAACACCTATTTTAAATTACTGCCCCCAGACTACTTTTCTTTCTGATATTTTTAGATGACAGTGTTAATTTTGTCTAGCCTAAAAGAAGATTTAAGTTCAAGCCAATGTCCATCTTGTTAGGTTCCATTGAAAATATTAAGTTGCCGAACTTTTAGGTTACGATAGGGTAAACAGTATGCCATGAAGGTAAGACCTGCGCATCATTGGCTTGATCACTTTACAAAGCTTTTTTGTCATCATAATGTTGTTTTGTTTTGTTTTGTTTGTTTTTGAGACAGGGTCTTGCCGTGTTGCCCAGGCTGGTCTCAAACTCCTGGGCTCAAGCAATCCTCCTATTAATCCTCCTATTAATCTCCCGAGTAGCTGGGATTGTAGAGACGCACCACAGTGCCCAGTGATACAGTTGTTATACTCTTGAAACTTTAGTTTCCATCCTGTATCCTTCCTGATACCCCCTTCAGTACCATATGCAGTATCTTAATATGATGGTATGTTAAGAAAGATAGAAGATTTTCCCAACTTTGTTGCATAGTCTGTGACAGTCTTCCTGCTATTTAAAAAAAAAAGTGCAAGTGGAAGGATAACTATAAATACTGTTATATTTTCAAATTTGAGAAACCGTTTGCTCTTTGCTCTTAATGAAGAGATATGAGAATAGAGAATGGTTCTTTAGAGTTTGGTCTGTGGTCTGTTTTATGAAGCAATCTGCTTTAATTCCTTCTTCTTAAAAAATACTACTAGTGCCGGGTGTGGTGGCTCACGCCTGTAATCCCAGCACTTTGGGAGGCCAAGGCAGGTGAATCACAAGGTCAGGAGTTCAAGACCAGCCTGACCAACGGGGTGAAACCCCGTCTCTACTAAAAATACAAAAATTAGCCAGGCATGGTGGCACACATCTGTAATCCCAGCTACTTAGGAGGCTGAGGCAGGAGAACTGCTTGAACCTGGGAGGAGGAGGAGGTTGCAGTGAGCCAAGATCGCACGACTGCACTCCAGCCTGGGCAACAGAGAGAGACTCTGTCTCAAAAAAAAAAAATTATCAGCATATCAGTTCAGGTTTAGTTAGAATATTGCTGTCATAGATGTGTTAAGACATTTAAAATAATGTTTTATATTATTTTCCACTAGGAAACCACCCCTACTCCTAATCCCCCGACTACAGAAGAGGAGAAAACGGAATCTAATCAGGAGGTTGCTAACCCAGAACACTATATTAAACATCCCCTACAGAACAGGTAAGCTTTCTAACACCTAGGTTTTCTGAGTTAGGCCACAAGGTAAATTGTGAATGGGGCAAGTTTGAAGGGAAAGTTAGATTATGAGACTAGTTTTAGATATGCTAAGGTTGAGGGTTCTATTTTCACTTGGATGACCCATGACCAGCAGACAGTTTTATGTGTGAGTCTTGAGTTCAAAAGGAGCTATGTGAGAGATTAGTTTGAAAAGTATTGGTCATAATGGAAGCCACATTAGTAAATAAGTTCCCTTAAGGAGAAGTGAACTTGACTCAGGACAAAGACCGGGGATACTAGCATCATATAGGAGGCTTTTGTTGAAGAAGAATGCCTATGAAGGATGGACATACAAAGACAGTGGTGGTCGCCCAACGCGGTGGCTCACGCCTGTAAACCCAGCACTTCAGGAGGCGGAGGCGGAGGCGGAGGCGGGCGGATCACCTGAGGTCAGGAGTTTGAGACCAACCTGGCCAACATGGTGAAACCCCGTCTCTACTAAAAAATACAAAAATTAGCTGGGTATGGTGGCAGACGCCTGTAATCCCAGCTGCTCGGGAGGCTGAGGTGAGATAATTGCTTGAACCCAGGAGGTGCAGGTTGCAGTGAACTGAGATCGCGCCATTGCCTGCCAGCCTGGGCAACAAGAGCGAAACTCCATCTCAAAAAAAAAAAAAAGAGACAGTGGTGGTCATGGAAACCAAGAAGGTGGTTTATTCTAAGATAGGGTGGTTTACAGCACATGTGCTAAAAAGGTCAAATGAAGCAAGATGTCAAAATATCCATTGGATTGAACACTTTTAAAAAAGTCCGTGCTGACTTGGGAAAAAGTTTTTTAGTAAGGTTCCATAGAGTAGTTCCATAAAACATGGAAAAAGAGATTAGGGCAGTTTGAAGAGTGAATAGGAGATATACAGATGTATAGAGTAAGAACAGGTGACTTGAAGTTGGACTGAGAATGAGAAACGAGAGCCAGGGAATGTGGAGTTTGAAGGTTGGTTGGTTTGTAAGTGAGAGACTAGAAAAGGGGACAGATTAAAATTAGTTAAGTTTTCATAGTTAATAGTGTAACAGGAAATTGAGTATTAGTTCATTATATGGCTTTTCCCAACTCTTCCCACTCCTTTCCAGTAGGTTTGTTTTTATTTATTTTCTGGGGTATATGAGAATTAACTTGAGTTCACTGAATGCTGATGGTGGGAAGAAAATGGCAGTTCAGAAACATTGTAACAATCTAGAGGAAAGTAAATTGGAATTAACTTCTGAGGTTCTTGAAGTATTTCAGTTCATTTCTTGTCTTTTTTTGTTTTTATTTACTTTTTTTAGGGCAGACCATTCACTCTCTACTTAAAAGAGTCCACAAGTCTATTTATAATTGTTTCATTTATTAAAATTTTTTTATGATCTCAATTTTTTTAAATGTTTCCTTTATTCATCATGGAAGACCTACTGAAATAAATAGTTCAAATATGCTGTATGCAGTTTTCTCATAGGAGACCCTTTGGTTCAGTATATCCTCCAGTGAGGAACAAATCAGTTTTTTAGACAATGGAGATTCTCAGCTAGTGGGACATCAGAGGTCAAACAGTCTATAAAGGATAAAATCCTTCCTCAGGGAAGCAATGTACCACATGTATTAGGTTGAACAATTCGTTAGAGGCAGTCTTATATAGTTTAACCTAATAGTAGCACCAAAACCCACATTTTTTTTTCATTTTTTTCAGTGATATGAAACAAACTGTATATCTTCTAGCTGTCTGTGAACCTAGTTCTTGGTGTCACTTTTATTGTGGGGAGAAGTAAACAAGGCATATATCCCTCACAGCTTGAATGGAGTCTAAGAAGGGATTCTTAAGTGTCCTCATCAGTTTAAAAAAAAAAAAAAAGTTTAAATCTTAAAATGAAGTCTCTGGGGACTTCAGTTTCTCTATAAATTCTACTTTTTGTGTAAAATAGCAAGTATCATTTGGAAAAATACTATGTTTTATGGCTCCAATTTTGGCAGTTTTCTCATTATTTACTTCTTGCATTTTACTTTCTTCACTCCCCAGAGTAGTCAATGTTAAATTTGGTTTGTATTCCAGAAGTATTAAATGCACATATGTATACTTTTTAATACATACGTCTATACAGTTGACTTTTCTGTTTGTATGTGCATATTTTACCTCATTGTTTTAAACCACCGTCTTGCATTATATTGATATACCACCATATATTTTATTAGGTTTACATTAATGGCTGTATAGATTTTTCTTTTTACACACAGTGCTGTAATTTACATCCTTACATAATTGTGCACTTGTGTGAATATATAGGGTAAAATTTCAGATCTCCTAGAACAAAGATTACCCTTTAACAACCTTTGCGCAGATACTGCCACATTATTCTGTTTTATTGGCTTAGACTTAACAGTTTGAGAGTTCCTGGTTTCTATATCCTTGCTAACTCATGTGATTAGTCTTTTAAGTTGTTGCCAATCAGATTGGTCCCAGTCTGATTTGGGAAAACAATTTCAGTATTTTCAATTTGCATTTTAAAATTGAAGTTTCAAAATATTTTCATATTGATGATTTGTGGTTTTTATCTGAGGACAGATTATTCAGTTCTTCTATTTTTTTTCTTTTGGATTATCTTTTTTTTCCCCTACTTTCAAGCTAACAAGTTATGGAATATCTTTTCAAGTTTATTTCCAAGCATTTTATATTAGAGTGCTAACTCACCCAAGGCAGGGAAGTTGGAGGAGTATTAAGTCAGAAAGAAACAGGTTATCCATATCATTTGTCTTCTAACATTGTCTGTGGAATTGTATGGTTTTTTTTTTTTTAGAGGTCTTTAATTTTCATGTAGGCAAATACTGCTTTTCCTCAGTGGTTTCTGGGTTTCATATCAATTTTAGGAAAACTTTACCACACAGTTAAGCTTTTTTTTTTAAACTTTTTAATAGTTGCATAGTAGTCACTTGCGTGGATGTATGATATTTTATTTAAATCAGCAGTACTCAAGTATTTGGTCTCACAATTCCTTTACACTCTTAAAAATTATTGGTGACTCTACAGAGCTTTATGTGGATTTTTATCTATTGTTATTTACTATATTTTTACAGTAAATAATGCTAAGATGTTATTTTATTTTTCACATTTAAAAATGTATAATTTCACCTGAAAAACTTGAGAAATGTAAAATTATTCGTTTAGAAAATCTATCACATGTTAACCTAAGTGACATTTTGTAATGAAAATAATTATTTGAAATAAAAAATATATAATGGGAAGAACAGCATTTTTGCCATCTGTTTTTTTTTTTTTCGGAGTCTCGCCCTGTCGCCCAGGCTGGACCTCCACCTCCCGGGTTCAAGCGATTCTTCTGCCTCAGCCTCCCTAGTAGCCGGAACCACAGGTGTGTGCCACCATGCCCGGCTAATTTTTGTAGTTTCTAATAGAGACGGGGTTTCACCATGTTGGCCAGGCTGATCTTGAACTCCTGACCTCATGATCCACCCACCTCGGCCTCGCAAAGTGCTGGGATTACAGGCATGAGCCACCGCACCTGGCCGCATTTTTGCCGTCTTAGAAGTCAACTGGATTTTCATAGCTGTTTCTGCCTTCAGTCTATGGAGTTAAGATGTTTCATTGGAAGTATAAGAAGACAATACAGCCTCACACAGGTATTTGGTTGGAAAAGGGAGAATAGTTTTTAAAAGCCTTTAAAAATAATTGTTGATATGCTCCTTTGATACACTACTAGGTTTCTTTTTTCCCCCCCCTTTTTCGTAGGACACATGCTCAAAGAGATACTAGGTTTCTTAGAGGCTAGTTGCAATGTGGAATCTGAAACCATATCCAAGAATTTTTTTCTACTTTGTTACATTAAAATCCATTGGTCTGTCAGTGTCTTGCATCTGGAATGGATCTCTTACCTGTGTAAGATTTTTAACATCATACACTGCTTATTTGGAAAATAATGGTTCAGTGAGTTATGCAGATCTTCCAATGTTGACACATTTTCTTATATAGTATCAAACAATAATAATTCATTAATATTACCTCTAAACTCATTAAGCGTCTTTGATTTTTAGGAAGTTGTCAGGCTTACAGTGGCAGATGAAATCTTTCTAAAATTCTGATTTTTCTACTGAAAGCTTAAATTTTAAGCAACAATCTTAAGTTCAGACAATTGCCTAAATATTGTATTTTGTTTTACAGTAGTGGAAGTGGTTTTTGTGCAGATTATGAAAAATATGGAAATAGAATGAAATTTAATGAAACTGGTAATGTTTATTGCCTCATCAAAGTCATTCCTTTTTTTTTGTTCTCAAGACGGAGTTTCACTTTGTTGCCTAGGCTGGAGTGCAATGGTGCGATCTTGGCTCACTGCAACCTCCGCCTCCTGGGTTCATTCTCATGCGTCTGCCTCCCAAGTAGCTGGGATTGCAGGCACCTGCCACCATGCCCATCTAATTTTTGTATTTTTAGTAGAGACAGGGTTTCACCATGATGGCCAAGCTGGTCTTGAACTCCTGACCTCAGGTGATCCACCCACCTCAGCCTCCCAAAGTGCTAGAATTACAGGTGTGAGCCACCATGCCTGGCCCAAAGGCATTCTTATATGAAACTCACATTATTAGTACTGTGAGAGTTGGTAGTAATAAATGTACAGTGACTACTCGTATAGTTTTGTGTCACTGTCTTGGTTCTTGCTAAGGCACCAGCAGATTTAACTACTGTTGCTTTTGCACCGTTAGTGCAAATGTGAATACTGAAAAGCAAAGTGCCTTCTTAGCATTATTATGAAAATGGATCTTAGGGCCTCCTGCCTGTCTGCAGACCACATTTTGAGAACTGCTGATTTAAATAATTCCTTGTTGATAAGCACTTAAGATGTTTTCAAATTTTCCAAAACTAAAAACGTCATTTGTTTGTTTTTGAAGACAGGGTCTCACTCTGTCACCCAGGCTGGGGTGGCGTGTAATCTCGGCTCACTGCAGCCTTCACCTTCCGTACCCAAGCCATCTTTCCACCCCAGCTGGGGCCCCACAGGCATGCACCACCACCATTTTAGTATTTTTTGTAGAGTTGGAGTTTTGCTATTTCCCAGGCTGGCCTTGAACTCGTAGACTCAAGCAATTCATCCACCTCGGCCTCGCAAAATACTGGGATTACAGGCATGAACCAACATGCCTGGCTTTTTTTTTTTTTTTTTTTTTTTTTTTTTGGAAGAGACATGGTCCCATTCTGTCGCCCAGACTGGGGAGCAGTGGCATGATAATAGCTCACTGCAGCCTCAAATTTCTGGGCTCAAATGACCTTCCCACATCAGCTTTCTAAGTAGCTAGGTCCACAGGTGTGCACCACCATGGCTAGCTAAGGTGTTTTTTTTTTTTTTTTTTTTTTTTGAGAGATGCGGGGTCTTGCTATGTTGCTCAGGCTGTTCTCAAACTCCTGACCTCAAGCAGTCCTTTCCCCTTCCCCTTCCATTCCCTGTCCCTGTCCCCATCCCTGTCCCATTCCTTGACAGGGTCTTGCTCTATCACTCACGTTGGCGTGCAGTGGCATGATCATAGCTCACTGCAACCTCGAACTCTTTGGCTCAAGCAATCCTCCTGCCTTGGCCTCCAGAGTGGCAGGGACTATAGACACATGCCATCATGCCTAGCTTATTTTATTTTATTTTATTTTATTTTATTGGAGATGGAGCCTCGCTCTGTCACCAGGCTGGAGTGCAGTGGTGCGATCTCGGCTCACTGCAACCTCCGCCTCCCAGGTTCAAGCGATTCTCCTGCCTCAGCCTCCTGAGTAGCTGGGACTACAGGCGCGTGCCACCACGCCTAGCCAATTTTTGTATTTTTAGTAGAGACGGGGTTTCACCGTGTTGGCCAGGATGGTCTCGATCTCTTGACCTCATGATCCACCCACCTTGGCCTCCCAAAGTGCTGGGATTACGGGCGTGAGCCACTGCGCCCAGCCCATGCCTGGCTAATTTTTTAAATGTCTAGTAGAGATGAGGTCTCACTTTGTTGTCCAGGCTAGTCTTGAGCTCCTGGGCTCAAGTGATCCTCCTGCCTCAGCCTCCTAAAATGCTGTTATTACTGGTATGATCCACCTTTCCTGGCCCCATAGATCTTTATGTGTTTAAATGGCTGGGTGCAGAGGTTTTTGTTTTGAAAAAAGATTGAATTATTTTTAAAAATCCAGCATGTATACTTGACCTCGTTGGTGGTTTTCTTGCCTTTTCTTCTTCTTTTTTATTGATAATGGGGTGGCAGTTGCTGACAAATTATCAAGTACATGTTGAAATGCATCTCATTTTTCTGTCTAGGTGAAGTTACCAAGCATTAATTATAGGATTATGAAATATATATTCAATTTGGAAGGCTCTTCAGACAACATTCGTGTTGATGAGAAAATGAAATTTCCCTTTGACTGCCCTTTGGTATTGTAATTCAGAGAATATTCAGTTTAATTCTTCTAAAGGAGAATCATCTTGGGATAATAACATTTAAGTGTAACTTTAATGTTCCACGAGTTTATCTTCAAGGCATTAGAGAAAATATTATACAGGCGTACCTCATTTTACTGTGCTTCACAAATCATGCCTTTTCTATAAATTGAAGGTTTGTGGAAATCCTGTGTCAAGCAGTTCTGTTGATGCCATGTTTCCAATGGCATGTGCTCACTTGGTGTCTCTGTGTCACATTTCGGTAATTCTCACGATATTTCAAACTTTTATTGTATCTGTTATGATCTGTGATCAGTGATCTTTGATGTTGCTATTATAATTGTTTTGGGGTGCCATGAACATTGGCGATATAAGATGGCAAACTTAATTGATAAATGTTGTATGTGTTCTGACTGCTCCACTGACTGGCCATTCCCATCTTCTTGTCCTTGGGCCTGCCTATTCCCTGAGACACAACAATGTTGAAATTAAGCCAATTAATAGCCCTACAGTGGCCTCTACATGTTATAGTGAAAGGAAGAGTTGCATGTCTCTCACTTTAAATCAAAAGCTTGAAATGATTACGCTTACGAGGAAGACATGTCAAAAGCCAACACAGGCCAAAAGCTAGGTCTGTTGTACCAAATAAGTTAGCCAGGTTGTGAAAGCAAAGGAAAAATTCTTGAAGGAGATCGAAAGTCCTCCTCCAGCAAACACATGAATGATAAGAAAACAAAACAGCCTTATTGCTGATATAGAGTAAGTTCAAGTGGTCTGGGTAGTAAATAAAACCAGCTACAACATTCCCTTATGACAAAGCCTAATCCATAGCAAGGCCCTAACTCTGTTCAGTGTTATGAAGGCTGAGAGAGGTGGGGATGCTGCAGAATAAAAGTTGAAAGCTGGCAGAGGTCAGTTATAAGGTATAAGGAAAGTCACCCCCATAAAAGTACAAGGTGAAGCAGCAAGGGCTGATATAGAAATTGCAGCAAAATCTCCAGATCTAGCTGAGGTAATTGATGAAGGAAGTTTACACTAAAAACAGATTTTCAGTGTAAACGAAACAGCCTTCTACTGGAAGAAGATGCCATCTTCTAGGACTTTGCTAGTTAGAGAGAAGTCATTGCCTAGCTTCAAAGCTACAAAGGACAGGCTGACTCTTGTTAGGGGATCTTGCAGCCAATGACTTTAAGTTGAAGCCAGTGCTCATTTGCCATTCCCAAAATCTTAAGAATCCTGAAGAATGATGCTAAATCCACTCTGCCCATGCTCTAGAAATGGAGCAACAAAGCCTGGATGACAGTGCATCGATTTATAGCATGGTTTACTGAATACTTTAAGCCTACTGTTGAAACCTACTGCCCAGAAAAAAAGTTTCCTTTCAAAATATCACTGCTCCTTGATGATGCGCCTAGTCGCCCAAGAGCTCTGACAGAGATGAATTGTTTTCATGCCTCTTAACACAGTGTACTTTCTGCAGCGTATGGAGCAGCAAAGAGGAATTTTGACTTTCAAGCCTTATTATTTATTAATAAGAACTATATTTCATGAGGCTAAATGCTGTAGATAGTGATTCCTTTGATGGATCTGGACAAAGTAAATGGAAAACCTTCCGAAAGGATTGAGCATTCTGGATGTCATTAAGAACATTCATGATTCATGGGAGGTCAGAATATCAACATGAACAAGAGTTAGGAAGAATTTGATTCCAACCCGTATTGATGACTTTGAAGCGTTCAAGACTTTAGTGGAAGAAGTAACTGCAGATGTGCAGAGAGCAAGAGACCAACAGTAAGAAATGGAGCCTGAAGATGTTACTGAATTGTTGCAGTCTCATGAGAAAACTTGAATGGATAAGGTGTTGCTTCTTATGGGTGAGCAGAAAAAAAGGTTTCTTGAGATGGAATCTATTCCTGGTGAAGATGCTGTGAACATTGTTGAAGTGACAACAAAGGATTTGAATATTACATAAACCAAATTGATAAAGCAACTGCAGGGTTTGGGAGGATTGACTCCAATTTTGAAAGAAATTCTACTATGTAAAATGCTTACAAACAGCATTGCATGCTACAGAGAAATCTTTTGTGAAATGAAGAGTCAATCAGTGTGACAGACTTCGTTGTTGTCTTAAGAAATTGCCACAGCCACCCCAATCTTCAGCAACCACTACTCTGATCAGTCAGCAGCAAACAAGGGAAGACCCTCCATCAGCAAGATTACCACTCTTTGTAGGCTCAGATGATCGTTAGCATTTTTAGCAATAGAATTTTTAATTAAGGTATGTACATTTTTTTTTAGATGTAATGCTATTTCAGACATAATGTAGACTACAGTATAGTGTAAACGTAACTTTTACATGCACCGGGAAACCAAAAAATTTGTGTGACTCTCCTTAAAGATAGTTCCTTTATTGTGATACTCACTTTATTATGATGATCTGGAACTGGACTCACAATATATCCAAGGTATGCCTCTATATATAATATGTTAGGTATATATAAGCTATTATGTATTATGTAGGAATAAAACTATTTTAAGAGAAGTATATACAGATATATTAAAACTGGTATACATTATTTCAGAACATATCTATGCAGCATTACTCAATCTTTATTATTTTCCCAGTTAGGTATTTGATTAAATATAGAATCACATTTAATAGTTTCCCCACTCCTGGCACTCTCATTTCTTCTTGGCTAATTTGTTCCTCTGAGAAATATCAGCCAACCTGTTTCTCGCCTTCTTTTTTTTTTTTTTTTTTTGAGACAGAGTTTCCCTCTGTTGCCCTGGCTGGAGTGCTGTGGCACAATCTCGGCTCACAGCAACCTCCACCACTTGGATTCAAGTGATTCTCGTGCTTCAGCTTCCCGAGTAGCTGTAATTACAGGCACATACCACCAGGCCTGGCTAAATTTTTTTGTATTTTTAGTAGAAACCAGGTTTCACCATGTTGGCCAGGCTGGTCTCGAACTCCTGACCTCACGTGATCCGCCCACCTCAGCCTCCCAAAGTGTTGAGATTACAGGCTTGAGCCACCGCGCCTGGCCCCTTGTCTTATTTTATAGTTTAAGTGTCTGCTGTGTTTTTTTTGTTTTTTTTTTTTGTTTGTTTTTTTGTTTTTTGAGATGGAATTTCGCTCTTGTTGCCCAGGCTGGAGTGCAGTGGCGTGATCTCAGCTCACCGTAGCCTCCTGCTTCAGCCTCCCAAGTAGCTGGGAATACAGGCATGCACCACCATGCCTGGCTAGTTTTGTATTTTTCCTAGAGACGGAGTTTCTCCATGTTGATCAGGCTGGTCTCGAATTCCCAACCTCAGGTGATCCGCCCACCTCAGCCTCCCAGAGTGCTGGGATTACAGGCGTGAACCACCGCGCCCAGCTCTGCTGTGTTTTTCTTAAATAACTGTGCTTGCTTATCTCTGTCAGAGCACTTAGCACACTGTAGTTGTCTCTCTGCGTCATTTCTGTGAATTCCGTTGAGTGATGAGTTTCAGTGTGTCTTGGGTCTCTAGGTATAGCAGGGAATCTGTTATGTAGTAGACATAACATACATATCTTTTAAATGAAAGAAATGGAGAACTCTCATTATTTGCCACTGTAATAACAACTAGCATTTTGCTTTTTTCCCTAAATTTTTGTGGTAAACATAAACATTTACAGTATTAACTATTTTTAAGTGTACAGTTAATGTTAAGTACTTTCTGCAACCAATTATTGTGCAACTAATCTCCAGAACTCTTGTTCATCTTCCAAAACTCTGTAAACTCTATAACCCTAAACTCCCTTCTCTTTGGCTAGTGGCAATCACCATTCTTTTTGTTTCTATGAATTTGACTTCTTATACCTCATATAAGTGGAATCATACAGTATTTGTCTTTTTTGGAGGGGGGCTGGCTTATTCACTTAATGTCCTTAGCTTCCCCTCATGTTTTATGAAGTGTTAGAATTTCCTTCATCAGGGCTTTTTAGTATTCCATTGTGTGTATATATACATTTTTCATTCATCTGTTGATGGACAGGTGGGTTGCTTCTACCTTTTGACTTTTGTGAATAATGTTGCTTTTAACATGGGTATGCAGCTACCATTTTTTGACACTGATTTTTTATTTTTAGATGGGCACTCTGGTTTTTTAAAAATGATAAAAGCAAAACTTGGCAAGCAAACCTGCGGCTGATCTCCAAGTTTGATACTGTTGAAGACTTTTGGGCGTAAGTAACCATTTGTTTTAGTATGTTTGTTGTTTTATTCGTTGTGTAGTTTTTTTATTTTTAAGTCGAATTCACAAAATGAAGTGTGAGTTAAACAGTTAATGAATGTTCATCTATTTTTTTATCTCCTCACAAAAGTTTGAATTGGTGATTATGCTTTATTAGTTTTACAGAGCTTCAATCTTGTCATCCCCCAGCCCCAATTATTGTTTCTTGTCCTGAGATATCCTTAGCTCAAGAATCCATTATTGCCCTTAGAACTTTTGACAGCTAGTTGGAACTTGTTCCACTCCTGGTTGCCAAGATACATTTGCCTCATAACTGGGTATTGCAGTGCGTTGTTGGGTCCTCATTTCTGCAAACTGTTTTCAGTGCAATATCTGGAATTTCCTGTACCAGAGATTTTAAGATATCAAAGGCTGAAGTGTTCAGAATTCACGGTTTGTCAAGGCAATGCCAGTATCTATCATGATACTTTATTCATTTCATTATACTTTGATCAACCTCAAGAAGAATAGTTGAAATATTTTTGAAATTTTGTTTCTGTATAGCAGAAAGTTAAGAATTGGGATCATCAACTTTTGCATGACCTTAAAACAAAATTTAAGGCTGGGCTCAGTGACTCATGCCTGTAATACTAATACTTTGGGATGCTGAGGCAGGAAGATCACTTGCAGCCAGGAGTTCAAGACCAACCTGGTCAACATGAGTCCCTGTTTCTCTATAAAATAAATAAAAATTGTAAAGTCTATTTCAAGAAGTTTTGATAATTGATTCTCTTAAAAACAAAGTTAATCCAGTGTGTCTAATTTACTTGGAGAATGACTAGGGAGGTACTATTTGAGACCATGAAAGGCAAAACTCTTTAATAAGCACTTTAAATTACCTAGCAGTTATCTAAATATTCTAACTTGTACATCTTTTTTTAGGATCATATACATGCTGAATTAGTGATGCTACTCTTATGTTTTAATGTAACCCCCTCAAGATATTCTGCTCATACAAAGAAATAGATTGTGGTATAAAATTTATACATATGTATGTACATCTTCAACAGCAGAAACAATATTTTTCTGTATATTTCCAGTGCTTGGCTTCTAATAGATATTTTGTATTCATTTGTGTTGCTGAAAAAAGCAAAGCATACGATTAAAACCATAAACTTTGAGAGTATTTGAGAACATTCATTTGAGAGTAAACTTTGAGAGTATTTATTTTTTATTAAAAGCATTGACACTTAATAATAACTACATTTAAGGCCTAATAATTTATAGGTCTAGTTTTCTAGTTAAACTAGGATTATTATTCTTTGCCCATCATCAAAACATCAAGTAGTTTTTCTTCTCTAGTTTTGTTTATTCAGGACTCTTAAATAACTCCAGTCTTCTGCACCCCCCAAAAAAAAGCTTTTCATTCTCCTACAGAGAAAAAGGAAGCCTTGAGCCACCTTCCCCAATCAGATTTGCATTTATCTAGTTTGTTTGGCTTTTACCAGTTTACATAATTCTACCTTCTAATTAGAACAGTTCTCCATGCTTCAGTTACATGTAGTCAATGTCATTACATAGTAGGTTTTTATACCATAACTTAGAGATATGAAGGATTTTTCAGTTTTCTATAAATGTGTGGGCCACTTCCTAATTTCTGTTTTTTTCTAGCAAATTTATTGCAGATAACCATTGAGTCCTTTTGTATTTATCCAGACTGCATAGTCTTAGGATTCTGTTTAGATGTGCCATTATAAATTCTCATGATGGACTTACTTGAGAGACCTTTGAGCACCACAGAAGAGAAAGGAGGCAGCAAAAGGGAAAAAGTATTTTATTGAAGGTCATTCCCACAATATCCATTCATTTTATGACATTAGTAGCGCTAATTTTATAGTCACTTAGTATCCCGTCTTTTTTTGTTGCCTAGTGGAGGCTGTCATTGATGATGTAGTTGGGAGTTACCATTAGGTAGTGACTCAGCAAACCTTATGTGGTCTTAGGTTGTCTCACCTAAACTATATTTGTGTGTTATACTATGGAATTTGATTTAAAGATGCCAACTTCTTTCTTAAATCTTTTTTTTTTTTTTGAGATGGAGTCTAGCTCTGTCACCAGGCTGAAGTGCAATGGGGTGATCTCGGCTCACTGCAACCTCCGCCTCCTGGGTTCAAGCGATTTTCCTGCCTCAGCCTCCCTAGTAGCTGGGATTACAGGCGCATGCCACCACGCCCGGCTAATTTTTGTATTTTTAGTAGAGACAGGGTTTCATCATGTTGGTCAGGCTGGTCTCGAACTCCTGACCTCATGATCCACCTGCCTCGGCCTCCCAAAGTGCTGGGATTACAGGCGTGAGCCACTGCACCCGGCCCTTAAATCTTTACCTGAAATATTCCTAGATGGGGTTAACATAGCACCAGGAGAACCAGACTAAGGATAGTAGAATCATCCATGGTCTGTAGACACAGCTAAGATCATTATTTCTGCCATCTAATATTGGAGACAAGCAAAAGATTCTTAAGAGTTGCCAATTTTTAAATCAATTTTGCTGTAAAAGACTACAGGAGATCAAATGATCTAAGCCTCCTACCTTCAGGCAAGCAACTAAGTCATCGCAAATGTTATTCTGTTATTTTGATACTTGGGAAATAGTTTAGAAATACAGACTGCAGGGTTCCATCTTATATTTAGGTGATTATAATCCCAAGATGTAGGGCTTGTAACTATATTTATTTATTTATTTTTCTAAAATCAGTTTTAAAATGATTATTATGTTGACTAACCAGTGACAGTTTGTGGTGTTTGGGAACCGTTGATCTATTCTACTCTTGGATACCTTCAAGGATAATGACTGTTTCAGTCATGCAATCCTGATGGTCAGGAAGTTCATCGTTTCTGGTTTTTGTTTTTGTTTTTGTTTTTGTTTTTTTATGTTTGTGAAAAAAACTGTGTATTAACTTCAGAAATTATTTCATCTACTTAAAGCCACCTTATACCTCTCTTCTCAGTTTCTTATATATATACATATGTATGCACTGAGTTAACTAACATAAAATATATTTTTGTCAGAGCAGTCACTAGAAGTTTTTTTGAAAATTATACCTGTCATCTGAAGTTGATTATTTAACTGCTTTTAAGATCTGTTTTGTCCATTTTAGAAATTGACTCCTTAGAAACAAGTAAACATGAACTTTTATCTGTTTATTTTCATCATATGTTCTAAATGTATATATATGTAAGCACCTAAACTCTATATTACATATTCTGTGTTTTTAATTGTTATTTTCTTTTACCTAGTCTGTACAACCATATCCAGTTGTCTAGTAATTTAATGCCTGGCTGTGACTACTCACTTTTTAAGGTATGCTTAATTGGTGATTTTATATATTTATTATAGGACTGGGCCATTTGGTATTCATTAAGAAATCTTACCATAAACTTAGGAATATTTGATAGTGTGATGAATAGGCTGATAATTTAATTGGCTGTAGTATGCTTTAGTATCAATATATCTTATTCTATTTGTTTATAAAAATTGAGAGAGAGTTACTCTGTGGGCACATACTGAGATTGATTTTGATGAGAGCTTTGATTATCCAGTCTACTCCTTCCTTTATATATTTGAGCAGACTGAGTTTATCAAGCATTCTTAACCTTAGGAGCATGGGTCCTTGGAATACTTATTATTGGGCTTTGTCAGTTGGTAGAGGGACGGGACATTCATTAACTGAAATTGCATAGTTTTTGCATGTATTTTCTAGCTGTAGAAATGTACAGAGCTTCTAAAATATGTTTGCTTCTCAGAAAGTTTAAGAACCTTCAAATTAAGTGAAACCCAAGATTTGATAGCTAATAAGTGACAAAGCCAGGACTCTAATTCTGCAATGTCATGCCTCTGGCTTTAAGTCTTATGTGCTGTTTAAAAACTACATCAATGGCAGTTTTATGGGCAATAAAGTAAGAAGTTGACAGTGTTGTTGCTTAACTGTTTCTAATGATTATCTCTCAAAGTCAAGGTAACAATGTTGTGTAATACTGTTGTCTTCTAACCCTGTAGGATGGTATTGAGCCTATGTGGGAAGATGAGAAAAACAAACGGGGAGGACGATGGCTAATTACATTGAACAAACAGCAGAGACGAAGTGACCTCGATCGCTTTTGGCTAGAGACAGTAAGGTTTTAAAAGTATAAAGCAGTTTTAGAGGTAGTTTTGGAATACTGATACTTAAGATATGTTATGTTTTACATTTGTTACTTAATTTAAGAGAAGGATGCCCAACACTAGAAAATCAGGGTCAGTAATTATTTTTGTTCTGTCATATGACTCCTGTTTATAGTACAGTGAAACATCCTACCACATTATAAGTCAGATATTTTAAGTGATTGGCAGTTGACTCTCACCACAGTAAGCTCACTGTGGTCATTTCATTAACCTCAAAATTATAGAACCTTACATTTTGTATGATTGAAGTTTTTGCAACCCTCTTACAGCATTGCTATATGTATACTAAACTTTTAAATACTTATATTTTTAGAGCGAGGGTCTTGCTCTGTTGCCCAGGCTGGAGTGCGGATATTTATTTATATGGCTCATTTCAGCCTCACCCTCTGGGTTCAAGTGATCCTCCCACTTCAGCCTCTTAAGTAGCTGGGACTACAGGTGCATGCCACCATGCCCAGCTAATTTTCTAATTTTTTTCCAGAGATGGGATCTTGCTATGTTGCCCAGGTTGGTCTCAAACTTCTGGCCTCAAGTGATCCTCCCACTTCAGCCTCCCAAAGTGCTGGAATTACAGGTGTGAGTCACTGTGCCTGTCCCACTAAACTTTTTAGATTAGTGAAGCAAATAATAAAATTGTTGTGTACTACCATTTGACCTACATGTTGTGATATTAACTGGAACTTCTGGCTTTACAAGACAAATTAAATATGAGATAATAAGCATTTTCTGTAGACAGAGGTTCCAAACCCCAAGCTTATAGGAGCGGGGTTTGTAGTCTCTTTTGTATCCCTAGCACTTGAAACCGTGCCTGGTTTATAGTTAGCACTTGTTAAGTTAATCACTTTAAATGTTTGAATAAGTGACTATTTTGCTTTTTTTTAGAGACAGGGTCTTGTTCTGTCGCCCAGGCTAGAGTGCAGTGGGGCCATCATAGCTCACTGTAGCCTCCTGGGTTCAAGCAATCATCCTGCCTTAGCCTCTCAAGTAGCTGGGACTACAGGTGCATGCCAGCACAGCCAGCTAATGAATGAATGACTTTTTAAGAAGAAAATTCTGTTTTTGAGGGGGAAGATCATGAGCAAATACCATTTTTGAATTCCACATTAAAAAGTCAGGACATTTCCATTTTGCAGTTAAAAAAAATCTTCTGGAGATGGATGGTAGTAGGGATGGTTGTACAACAATGTTGAATGTACTTAACACCACTGAACTGTACACTTAAAGGTGGTTAAAATGGTAAATTTTATGTTATTTGTATTTTACCACAATTAAGAAATCTGTTAGGGCTGGGCTCACACCTGTGATCTCAACACTTCAGGAGGCTGAGGCAGGCATTTCACTTAAACTCAGGAGTTCAAGACCAGTTTGGGCAACATGGCAAAACCCTGTCTCTACAAAAAATACAAAAATTAACTGGGTATGGTGACATGTCCCTGTATGTATGCCCACCTACTCAGGAGGCTGAGGTGGAAGGATCATTTGAGCCCAGGAGGTTGAGGCTGCAGTGAGCTGTGATGATCCCACTGCACTCCAGCCAGGGTGACAGAGCAAGACCCTGTCTCAAACAACAACAACAACAAAAAACCAGACCATTAACAAATATTCATAAAAAATAAGAACAAGAGGAGATTAACCATGAATAGCTATTTTTATTATTCTATTAATATTTGTTTGCTCATAAATATAAGCAGCAGCAGAGCAAATGAATATTAATAAAATCAGCTTTTATGTCTGCCATGACATTAACTGCCAAATTTGCTGAAAAAGGCTGATTTGATAGTAAATAAATGAATGAGTATTTAAAAGTCAGGACAGATCAATATATGCAAATAAAATTTACACATTTAAAAAATTAACTCTTGATTTAAAAACTGCCTTTAGTTTCTATGCAAATACAGAAGAGACATTTGCAGTGTAATGAGCTTGTTTATAATCTATTAAATGTAATTTGGGATTTTTTTTTAAGCTTCTGTGCCTTATTGGAGAATCTTTTGATGACTACAGTGATGATGTATGTGGCGCTGTTGTTAATGTTAGAGCTAAAGGTGATAAGATAGCAATATGGACTACTGAATGTGAAAACAGAGAAGCTGTTACACATATAGGGTAAGTTTTGCTCTTTGCCTACTTATTTTACAGTATTAAGATGAGTAAAACCAGAAGTTATTTTATTTGTAGCTTTAGAAATACTTCAGTTTGTAGATCCTGTTTTCCTTGTATTGTTTTCGTGAACACTTTTATAATTTTGAACGGCTCAATTGGTGCGCAACGTCTTGTTTTTTTGGGTTTTTTCACAGCTATTTATTTATTTATTTATTTAGAGATAGAGTCTCACTCTGTTGTCCAGGCTATATATAGTACAGTGGCATGATCTAGGCTCACTGCAACCTCCGCCTCCCGGGTTCAGGAGATTGTTATGTCTCAGCCTCCCGAGTAGCTGGGAATACAGGCGCATGCCACCATGCTTGGGTAATTTTTATATTTTTAGTAGAGACCAGGTTTTGCCACGTTGGCCAGGCTGGTCTTTTAACTTTTGGTCTCAAGTGATCCGTCCACCTCAGCCTCCCAAAGTGCTATCATTACAGGCATGAGCCACTGCGCCTGGCCTTTTTCATATGTTTTTTATTTCTGTAAAATTGCTTTTTCTTAGCAGTGAAGTATATAACCACTAGAGCACTCTCCTTTGGCATGTAGCATTTTTTATTCATTCACAAATGAGAATGTATTATTTCCTACTTTGAAAGTGCTGTTTGGAAAAAAGTACTACTTTGAAAAGAGCTAATGTATGCTCATAATAATAATTCAGTGATTATTGGCAAATAGTATATGTGCATTTAAAGCATGTGTGTTTACTACGTATAATTTTCATTAAAATTTATATAACATATCTTGGTTTTTGTTCCATGTTTAAAACCCACATATGTAGGGTTTTATTAAACCTTTTTTTGTAAATTTTATTCTTTGCAAAAGTGGCTTTTTTTTTTTTTTTGAGACAGGGTCTCACTGTGTTATTCAGGCAAGAGTGCAGTGGTGCAGTCATGGCTCACTTCAGCCTCAACCTCCTGGGCTCAGGTGATACTCCTACCTCAGCCACCCAATTAGCTGCAACTACAGGTGTGTATGACCACACCTGGCTATTTTCTTGTATTTTTTGTAGAGAAGAGGTTTTGCCATGTTGCCCAGACTGGTCATGAACTCCTGGACTTGATCAAGCCACCTCAGCCTTTCAAAGTGCTGAGATTACAGGCGTGAGCCACCATGCTAAACCAGCTGACATTTTTTTTCTAAGATTTCTTTTTACCTCAATTATATTAGTAATATTTGACACCAGGCGCAGTGGCTCACACCTGTAATCGCAGCACTTTGGGAGGCTGAGGCAGGTGGATCACAAGGTCAGGAGATTGAGACCATCCTGGCCAACACGGTGAAACCCCGTCTCTACTAAAAATACAAAAAAAACAATTAGCTGGGCGTGGTGGCGGGCGCCTGTAGTTCCAGCTACTTGGGAGACTGAGGCAGGAGAATGGCATGAACCCGGGAGGCGGAGCTTGCAGTGAGCCAAGATTGGGCCACTGCGCTCCAGCCTGGGAGACAGAGCGAGACTGTCTCACAAAAAAAAAAAAAAAAAAAAAAATTTGACTTACAATTTTATGTTAAAATTAAGTGCTGGTCAGTCAGTGGTCAAAATGTTTGGTTTGCCCCTTTGTGATTTTTCAAATATTATTAATTTTTCTTTTTAAAATTAATTAATTTTTTGAGACAGAGTCACACTCTGTTGCCCAGGCTGGGGTGCAGTAGCGCGATGTCAGCTCACTGCAACCTCCACCTCTTGGGTTCAAGTGATTCTCTTGCCTCAGCCTCCTGAATAGCTGGGACCACAGGCCTGAACCACTGCAGTAGTTTTTGTAGAGACAGGGTTTCGCCATGTTGGCCAGGCTGGTGTCAAACTCCTAGCCTCAAGTCATCCACCTGCCTCAGCCTCCCAAAGTGCTGGGATTTCAGGCGTGATCCATTGCTCTCAGCCATGTAAATTTTTATGTGAACATAATTTATTTCTGGATCAAAAGGTATAGGGATTTTCTACATTTCATGCTATATGGGGTTCCATAAGAGAAAAGAGTTGATTTGTCATCATATTTTAATGTTTCTTCCAGCATCAAAACCTAATTTTGGAGGATTTACTTTTTTTTTTTTTAAATGAGTTAAATTAAGAATTTTTTTCCTACGGAAGTTTTGTATTTTTGTCAATATTAAATGTTTTTGAGTGTATATTAAGACTTCAGATTTTCAAACGAAGATTTTCTTTTTTAACCTTCCAATTTGCATGACTCAATGGTCTTGCTTTTTGACATTTTTAATAATTAAGTATAATTGAAAGGAATGCATTGCATTATAATGCAAATTTGATAATTAACACTTTAGTTACCATAAAATTACTTTTTAATACCTTATTTTAGGGGGAAGGTAGTAAATCTTCTGGAAGGTATAAAAAAAACCTATCCTAGTATCATGTTGGAGGATTTAACTCCATTAATATCTTTATTCCTTTATTTTTATTTGATTTTTGCTTATTTTTGAATTTTTACTATTTTTTTCCTAAAGATTCTTTTTTCTTTTTTTTTTTTTTTTTTGAGACGGAGTCTTGCTCTGTCACCCAGGCTGGAGTGCAGTGGCACAGTCTCACTCAAGCTCACTGCAAGCTCTGCCTCCCAGGTTCACGCCATTCTCCTGCCTCAGCCTCCCGAGTTGCTGGGACTACAGGCACCTGCCACCACACCCGGCTAATTTTTTGTATTTTTAGTAGAGGCGGGGTTTCACCATGTTAGCCAGGATGGTCTCGATCTCCTGACCTCGTGATCCGCCCGCCTCGGCCTCCCAAAGTGCTGGGATTACAGGCGTGAGCCACCGCGCCCAGCCAAAGATTCAAATTTTTAAGATGACCTATGAAGCTCTCTGTGATCTTCCTCTGAAACCTTGTCAGCTTTATCTCATGTTCACTTTACTTACAAGCCATAGCCACACAGCCTAATTTTTATTTCTCAGCTTTCAAATGTGCTCATTCTCTTAACATTATCCTTTTGACCTCGTGATATTTAAAGGGGAAGACTTCTCTAATGTTGTAGATGAGATTAGAATCTCCTTGTTATACAGTATCACAGCCCTTATGTTTACTCTTTGGCACTCATGACAAGTGCCATTTTATTCTTGCAATAGAGTCATGTCTTACTTGAAAATTAGGTTGTAAAGTTAGTATGTAAAGCAGAAATTACATTCTCCCTCGAAGTGTTTCATTCACTCCCTCGAAGTGTTTAATCTCCCTCAAAGTGTTTAGTTTTTGTTTGTGCAGTCTTATAACAGGTATGGTTAATATAATTTGTGTAGTAATATACAATATTTGCTAGGGTTCAGACGTGAAATGTAACATTTTAGATCAAAGAATGAAACATGTTTGTTTTACAGATTTCTGTTTTTAAGTATGCATGTGATACAGGTCTGTCATGTATTTGTGATTATTTGATTATGTTTTCTCTACTAGACTATAAATGCAGTCAGCTCAGGGACTGTCCTTACTTTGTTCACTGTTGATTTAGTAATAATTATAGTATCATAATAAATAACAATATAATAATATAGTAATGCTCCTGTAATTTAGTAATAACATACCTGACTCGCTCTCAAATATTTTAAAAGTAATTAACCAAGAATATCGCAAAAATGAAGAGTAAATTGTGCTGAAAGGAAAAGGGTGTATAATTAATTTCCTATTTTATTCTCAAGTCTATGTTTTTTAATATAAAGACTAATAACCCTAAATTTTTAAATGTATTTCTTGTGAGTAAAAGTTAATGACTACTTTTTTCTTCTTCTTTTTTTTTTTCTTCTAGGAGGGTATACAAGGAAAGGTTAGGACTTCCTCCAAAGATAGTGATTGGTTATCAGTCCCACGCAGACACAGCTACTAAGAGCGGCTCCACCACTAAAAATAGGTTTGTTGTTTAAGAAGACACCTTCTGAGTATTCTCATAGGAGACTGCGTCAAGCAATCGAGATTTGGGAGCTGAACCAAAGCCTCTTCAAAAAGCAGAGTGGACTGCATTTAAATTTGATTTCCATCTTAATGTTACTCAGATATAAGAGAAGTCTCATTCGCCTTTGTCTTGTACTTCTGTGTTCATTTTTTTTTTTTTTTTTGGCTAGAGTTTCCACTATCCCAATCAAAGAATTACAGTACACATCCCCAGAATCCATAAATGTGTTCCTGGCCCACTCTGTAATAGTTCAGTAGAATTACCATTAATTACATACAGATTTTACCTATCCACAATAGTCAGAAAACAACTTGGCATTTCTATACTTTACAGGAAAAAAAATTCTGTTGTTCCATTTTATGCAGAAGCATATTTTGCTGGTTTGAAAGATTATGATGCATACAGTTTTCTAGCAATTTTCTTTGTTTCTTTTTACAGCATTGTCTTTGCTGTACTCTTGCTGATGGCTGCTAGATTTTAATTTATTTGTTTCCCTACTTGATAATATTAGTGATTCTGATTTCAGTTTTTCATTTGTTTTGCTTTTGTTTTTTTCCTCATGTAACATTGGTGAAGGATCCAGGAATATGACACAAAGGTGGAATAAACATTAATTTTGTGCATTCTTTGGTAATTTTTTTTGTTTTTTGTAACTACAAAGCTTTGCTACAAATTTATGCATTTCATTCAAATCAGTGATCTATGTTTGTGTGATTTCCTAAACATAATTGTGGATTATAAAAAATGTAACATCATAATTACATTCCTAACTAGAATTAGTATGTCTGTTTTTGTATCTTTATGCTGTATTTTAACACTTTGTATTACTTAGGTTATTTTGCTTTGGTTAAAAATGGCTCAAGTAGAAAAGCAGTCCCATTCATATTAAGACAGTGTACAAAACTGTAAATAAAATGTGTACAGTGAATTGTCTTTTAGACAACTAGATTTGTCCTTTTATTTCTCCATCTTTATAGAAGGAATTTGTACTTCTTATTGCAAGGCAGTCTCTATATTATGTCTTCTTTTGTGGTGTCTTCCATGTGAACAGCATAAGTTTGGAGCACTAGTTTGATTATTATGTTTATTACAATTTTTAATAAATTGAATAGGTAGTATCATATATATGGAATTAAATTGATGTGGCTATCTTTGTTTTTTTATAAAGTAAGGCACAGTCATTCAGTCTTAGGTAAATAATGTACTCTCTTAATATGTTAATACTCATGAGAATTGGGATCTGATGCATCACCATTTGATTGGTAGCAACAGTGGTTGTAAAACTTGGTTGCTGAATTGAGTTGTTTCTATGTTAAGTGTCAAAATGATAGTGTAGGGAAAGTACAGGTGGTGGGGACATATGCATTAAGAATCTTGTTAGTGTTGCAATCTAAATAGAATGGAATAAACAGGTGTTAAGACATATTTATAGTGGTAAATTGTTGTAGTATGGTATTCTGTAAACTTGAAAACTTGATCTACTCTTTGTAGGTATCATTTGAAAGCAAACTTGAAAATGTTTTGTACATAGTACATACTTGTATAGTCCTGTGAGATGAAGTATGGCTATCAGACCAAAGGATAAGCCAAACTGTAGGTAGCAGAATGGAAATTATTATTTTGAGAGGAAAATTTGTCTTTGAATGGTGATTATGACTTAATCATTTTAAAACTGATAAACTTGACAAAAACCCTGTATGAAATAAACATGAAATTAATAGCACTGATTTCATTGTAAAATTTTAAAGCAGTTTAAAGGGTACCACAGGTTATCACAGTACTCTCAATGCCACAAACACCTCTTGTTCAGTATTCTAGAAATACTGAATCAGAATTCTGTGTTTATTATAATCTCAGCATACTGTACATAATATCTGCTAGTTAAACTTGGGTAATTGGTTAAGGTGACTTACTGTCTATGTCAATATGTATAGTTTTGAGTACTTCAAGAGTTTACTTAAAAGTGATGATGTTACTGGTATGTTGGCAGTGGGTGGGACTGAAGTAGTGTATCTATTATAAATTGATCTATTTTCTTAATTCTAAGATGAAGTCCAATTTTAAGCATCAGCTTTTAGGTGCAAAGGAGGAATTAACACATTAAATGTATACAGTTCTAAATTTTTGAAATAACTGATGTGTAGCATTTGATTATTGGTATTACCATTTTAGAATCATGATGTTATTTTAAACCTTTTTCCTGGGGACAAGAAAGGATAATAAATTACGCTGAATCACTTTTGGCAGTTGCCACTTAAATAGTACAGTGACTTGCAACTTTTATAACTTTATCAGCATCTTCTCTAAATACAAAATTAGGCTATATGTTATTTTCCAACTTACTGTTTTCTCTCTGTTTAGCAGGATATTATAAATAGATTAAATAGATATATTTTCTTTTTTTTTTTTTTTTTTTGAGACGGAGTCTCGCTTTGTCTCCCAGGCTGGAGTGCAGTGGCGTGATCTCCCAGTAGCTGGGACTACAAGCACCTGCCACCATGCCCGGCTAATTTTTTTTGTATTTTTAGTAGAGACGGGGTTTCACTGTGTTAGCCAAGATGGTCTCAATCTCCTGACTTTGTGATCTGCCTGCTTCTGCCTCCCAAAGTGCTGGGATTACAGGTGTGAGCCACCGTACCCAGCCCAAATAGATGTATTTTCATAATAGAGAATTGAAATAGGCTTTAATGGGTGAATAGCAGTTTATTGTAGGCATGTGACATTTCATTTAATGAATTTAAAGTTTATTATCCCAATTCTACAGAAGGATTTAATGCATACTATGCAATTAAATAATTATAACACTACATAGTAATAATTTATGTGCCAGGCAGTAGTTCAGTCACTTTACATGCTTATTAACCTGCAGAATAATCTTTTGAGATGTAGGTGCTGTTACTGAGAATTTAACTTTTGCTTGTAAATTGCAAAGGGTGGATTTGAATTCTGGAAATTTGGTTCCAGAGACAATAATTACATAACACTTTCTCCATAGGGTACAGCCTGTCTAATAGGCTATAGTAAATCACCTCAGCTTGTTATAGGTCGGGCATGCAAACATTTCTCCATTTTACTCCCTTTGGTAATGAATCTAGTAATAGATGGAAATTTTCCCTAGATTCACTGTGTTAGTCAGTTGGGGAAGTTTGGAGGCAAAGATACAGGAGTTTATGGGGAGGTAGTGTACATAAATATAATCATATGCTATATAAGGAAGTTTTGGTCAGCAGCAGACCATATATAGGATGGTGGGCCAGTAACATTGTAACACTGTATTTTTACTGTATCTTTTCCATGTTTTGTTATGTTTAGATACACAAATAACATTATGGAGTATTCAGTATGGTAACATGCCATACAGGTTTGTAGCCTAGGAGCAGTAATAGACTGTTCCCTGAAACCTATATTTGTGGTAGGTTTATACCATTCAGGTTTGTGTAAGTACACAACGAAATCATCTAATGGCCCATTTCTCAAAACATATTCCCATCATTAATCAATGCATGGTCATGTTTTCGTATACATTTTAAGCTTCTGTATTCTAATCTAATATAAATGGCAAAATATTCAAACTGATAGGCATTGAGATTCTTAAATGCTAAAGTTGCATTCAAAAGGATAATTTTAGGCGTTGTGACAAAGCAGTGTTATATTTTAAAGTTAGTGACAAGGCTATGCACCTTTTATCTCTAATTGTTTCTTACAGAATGTTTTTATTATTGAGTAGTAAAACAATAAATGTCAGATCCTTTATACAAATTCAAGATTGACATTGATAAACAAAACTTCAGCATATCACTCAAGGTCAGCGTAGAAATTGTGTGTCTGGAAACTTCTATAGTAATTTTATATTACTGTGACATTAGTATGTGATCACTTTTCTAGTAATGTTTTAAAAAAATATATCTTACAGGCCAGGCATAGTGCTTTATGCCTGTAATCCCAGCACTTTGGGAGGCCAAGGTGGCAGGATTGCATGAGTCCAGGAGTTCAACACCAGTCTGGGCAATAAAGTGAGACCCCATCGCTACAAACAAATTAAAAAATATTTATGTATGTGTGTAATATATATAATATATAACAAAACACATATGTATGTGTATATATAGTATGTCTGGCAGAGTACAATTTAGGGGTTAAGACTGGTCCCTCACATATGGTGTGAGAAACACTGTTCACAGGTTGCTTTCCCCATTAGCCCAGGGCAACTCATTTGCCCATCATTTCCTAGAACAACCGGGTCTGTTACGTCTACAGTTTTCATCTTCATGCAGTTATGGATTTGGTGTCAAAAACTTTGGTCCTGTTCTCTACCATCTTAAAATAAACTCTTGTGTCCTGCTTTACTATGAATTGCAAAGTAGGCATTAGGTAGCCTTCCTACTACCATAGTTTAGAGTTCAATATTCTTATGACCATTCTACTGGTAGAAGCAAAAAATGAACTTGTAGGCATGTGATCACATGTGCCTATGGTGCTGTCTTTTCCAGTACAGGGGAACTAATTTTCATATTTTAATCTTGCAGCTTTTTGTTTACTTCATGCATTGTGATTTCTCATAGTTTTGCACAGAACTCACTTCCCTACCTTTTCTGAAACAAAAGTATGTATACACACATACATATGTATTGAGCACCTCTATTTACTGTGTTCCACGTGCTGGGCATATAGCAAGAACAGAATGGTCTGGGGCCCTGCTCTAAAGAAGATTTAAAAGCAAACATATATTAAAAATGCGTGAGTCTGGCCAGGAGCAGTGGCTCATGCCTGCAACCCCAGCACTTTGGGAGGCTGAAGCGGGTGAATCACCTGAGATCAGGAGTTGAGACCAGCCTGGCCAACATGGTGAAACCCCGTCTCTACTAAAAATACAAAAATTAGCCTGGCATGGTGGCATGCGCCTGTAATTCCAGCTACTTTGGAGACTGAGACAGGAGAATCACTTGAGCCCAGGAAGTGGAGGTTGCAGTGAGCTGAGATCGCGCCACTGCACTCCAGCCTGGGTGACAGAGCAAGACTCCATCTCAAAAAAAAAAAAAAAACGTGTCTGTTCATAAGGTTCTACAAATAGCTGTTGTTACAGAAAATAGGACTAGGGTTTTATTACTGGGGATTATGCAGTCGAGGTAAATATAAAATGAGGTTGTTTCTTCTTTTTTTTATTTGAGACAGAGTCTTGTTTGCCAGGCTGGAGTGCAGTGGCGTGCTCTTAGCTCCGCCTCCCGGGATCAAACGATTCTCTTGCCTCAGCCTCTCGAGTAGCTGGGACTACAGGCGCGTGCCACCACACCCAGCTGATTTTTGTATTTTTAGTAGAGATGGGATTTCACCATGATGGCCAGGATGGTCTCGATCTTTTGACCTCATGATCCACCCACCTCGGCCTCCCAAAGTGCTGGGATTACAGGCGTGAGCCACTGCACCCGGCCCTGGTTCTAAATACTCTTCCAGCTCTAAAACATTGATTCTAAACAGATCACATTCCAGGAGGACTCTAGCAAACCAGCATATGCAAATTATAGCTTTTGCAAGACCGTTTCTACTTTTATATTACTGAACTCTATATGATTGTCCAAGTAAAGTTTTGTGTCTCTTTGATTATTTGATTGTACTTTAAAATTTTTTCACCATTCATTTAACATTTTTTACCATACTGTAGTATTTTTAATGCAATTGTGTTTGCATTGGTGTGGCTTTAGAGGCTTCTCCAACCACCTTCCCAAAATACTGATCTGTGATTTTTTTCTTTAATGTTTGGCCAAACATAATACATGCTTATTTTATTTTTCATCCCTACAGAAAGGTAGAAGATGAGAATTCTGTCTCCTACTGTTGTTTTTCAAGGTGCCACTCAAATTTCTTGTACGTGTCTAGAAACTTGTGCATACAATAGAAGTACACTGTGGCTGGGCATGGTGGCTCATGCCTGTAATCCCAGCACTTTGTGAAGCTGAGGTGGGTGGATCACCTGAGGTCAGGGAGTTTGAGACCAGCCTGGCCAACATGATGAAACCCCGTCTTTACTAAAATTAGAAAAAATTAGCCAGGCGTGGTGGTGTGCGCCTGTAATCCCAGCTACTCGGGAGGCTGAGGCATGAGAATCACTTGAACTCGGGTGGCAGAGGCTGCAGTGAGCTGAGATCATGCCACTGCATTCCAGCCTGCGCAGCTGAGCCAGACTCCATCTCCAAAAAAAAAAAAAAAAAAAAAAAAAGATGTCCAATATATGTAACTTTTTTCTTTGGACACAAAAATTCCATTAGCTTTGTTTTCTCATTTTTACTTGTCATGATGTATGTCGAACACATTATTTTTAGTGTCTGGTGTTCCATTATACAGATGTCTCTCTTGTTGGTTGAATTTTTGCATTCACAGACCCTCAAGTTGGATTCATATCTTTTTACACTAAGCATAAAGAAGACGGATTGGGGTCGGGTATGGTGGCTCACGCCTGTAATCCCAGCACTTCGGGAGGCTGAGGTGGGCGGATCACGAGGTCAGGAGTTCGAGACCAGCCTGGCCAACATACTGAAACCCCGTCTCTAAAAATATGAAAAAAAAATTAGCCAGGCGTGGTGGTGCGCAGCTGTAGCCCCAGCTACTTGGGAGGCTGAGGCAGGAGAATCACTTGAACCCAGGAGGTGGAGGTTGCAGTGAGCATATTGCACCATTGCATTCCAGCCTGCACGACAGAGGAAGACGCCATTTCAAAAAAAAAAAAAAAAAGACGGATTGATTTTCTTCAGCAGTATCAAGTGGCACTTACCATCCACCCCTTTAACACCCAAACCATTCTAATCCATGTATACAGACCATCATCTGTTTCGTTATTGTGTTCTATAATGCAGCTTTGCGAGTTATGCAGTTTTGGTCCTCATGATATTTTTCTGATTGGTTTTTAATGTATTTTGTTCTAACGAGCCAACATTGTTATACATGTAATTTGTTTATTTGCTAGATTGTACTCTTTCCCAAAGATGGGCTATGAACTAGCATCTACTTTCATTTTACCTATTTACCTGTAAACATTGAAAAAACTGAATCAAATGCAGTGATATCGGACCTAGTTTTATTGTTATGCCTTATAATGAATTTAACTTCACAGTTTTCTAAATGAGAGCATTTCCCAAAGACATCTTTATGGTCATAACCAGTTTCCCTTGGCATTTGATTTATTTTTATTTTTATTTATTTATCTTTTTGAGAAGGAGTTTCGCTCTTGTTGCCCAGGCTAGAGTGCAATGGCGTGATCTCGGGTCACTGCAACCTCTGCCTCCCGGGTTCAAGCGATTCTCCTGCCTCAGCCTCCAAGTAGCTGGGATTACAGGCATGCACCACCACGCCCGACTAATTTGTATTTTTAGAGACGGGGTTTCTCCGTGTTGGTCAGGCTGGTCTCAAACTTCCAACCTCAGGTGATCCGCCCGCCGTGGCCTCCCAAAGTGTTGGGATTACAGGCGTGAGCCACAGTGTCTGGCCTGATTTGTTTTTAAGAGCATTATTTTTCTGCTTTATTTTGTGACTTCAACATTTGACACAATTTTGGGTGAATGGTTTGTGCATGGTGCCTGACATCGTGTTTTGATGTGTAGTATATGCCATAGGACATGTGAGACAAGATATGTCCCAACTTGACCTTGTTTTGTATTGTTTATGTCAAGGTGTTGAGTGTATTAGATATACTGTTGGGGCTCTGTGTTCTAGCTCTGCCTTTTAGATAATAACCATGGTTAAATATTGCAATGTCCTGCATGTCTCCACACATGGGTTTTGTAACTGAGTCAGAATGATAAGTGATTAGTAAGCACATTTTTTCTCCTTTCAGGAAACCACTATTTTCCTTTTCTACATGCTGTTTTGTAAGTAGTACTTTTATGAAGGTTGTCTTCAAATGTTCGCATCTTCCATTTCTACTGCCCTTGGGTTATCCATCCTGTCATTTTGTGCCAATCACTTTTTTTTTTAACTTTTAAGTTCAGGGATGAAAGTGTAGATTTGTTACATAGGTAAACTTGTGTCATGGGGTTGTTGTACAGATTATTTCATCACCCAGGTGTTAAGCCTAGTATGCACTAGTTGTTTTTCCTGATCCTCTCCCTGCTCCCACCCTCCACCCTCTGATAGGCCCCAGTGTGTGTTGTTCCCCTCTGTGTGTCCATGTGTTCTCATCATTTAGCTCCCACTTACAAGTGAGAATGTGGTGTTTGGTTTTCTGTTCCTGCATTAGTTTGCTAAGGATAATGGCCTCGAGCTCCATCCAAGTCCCTGTAAAGGACATGATCTTGTACTTTTTTATGGCTGCATAGTATTCTGTGGTGTATATGTACCACATTTTCTTTATCCAGTCTATCATTAGGCATTTAGGTTGATTCCATGTTTTTGCTATTGTGAATAGTGCTGCAATGAACATACATGTGCATGTCTTTTTATAATAGAATGATTTATATTCTGTTGTGTA
Source organism: Homo sapiens (assembly GCF_000001405.40). NCBI lineage: Eukaryota > Metazoa > Chordata > Mammalia > Primates > Hominidae > Homo > Homo sapiens. The sequence continues at coordinate 98,872,540 of NC_000004.12, read as the reverse complement.
TATACCCAGTAATGGGATTGCTGAGTTGAATGCTATTTCTGCCTTTAGGTCTTTGATGAATTGCCACACTGTCTTCCACAATGGTTGAACTAATTTACACTCCCACCAACGGTGAATAAGTGTTCACTTTTCTCCACAACCTTGTCAGCATCTATTATTTTTTGACTTTTTAGTAATAGCCATTCTGACTGCTCACATCTATTTTGTAAATAAAGTTTTATTGAAACATGGCCTTACCCATTTGTTTACATATATTCATGGCTGTTTTTGTGCCACAATGTCAGAGTTGTCTTAAAGTAGACAGAGACTATCTGGCTGTAAAGCCTGAGATATATACTAACTGGTTCTTTATGTAAAAAGTTTGCTGACCACCTACTCTAAACGTTTTGCAGTGATGGTAGTGTTGGCAAAAAACCAAATAGCTTACCCTCTTTAAATTTCCCTTTTACTTCTTACAAACTCCTAACACCATTTACGACTTTGTCATCAATATGGTCAACTAAGCTTGGTTTGCATGGCTCTACTTCCTTTCACCTTCCACTTAGGCAGTGTCTCCAAGTCCACTGCAGTTTCTATTTGTCTCCTGACTGTTACTGTATCAGTTCTTACCTAAATAACATAACAACTGATCTCCCTACTTTTTGCCTATGCCCTCAAATGTGCTCATTGTTGATCTATCTCCCTGTTAGGTGTTCTTTTTCTCCTCTTTAGAAAGCAGCCAAGGAAACCAGGGTTCTCTCAAAGTGGAAAATACTGGAACTTATGTACTGTTATCATAATGATAGTTGGTGTTTTGAATTATAAGAATGATTCCAGGTGGTTTCTAAATCATCCAATAAAGCTGTATTCACTCTGTAGGACTGTCTTAGTATTTCATGCATTACCTAAAGCAGCATGTAGTGTGGATTTATTTGTTCATTGCCTTATTGCAGGAAGTAAATTTAAAAATGAAGAAAAGGGAGAATGTGAAAAAATATTAAACCAAAGGTAAGGTTAGCATGCCAAATGCATTCCATAAAGCCCATTCTAAGTGACCACTCTAAGTGAAGCAATTTACTCAAAGATGCTGATGTCATGCTTGGGCAACTTTCATTTGTGGGATATAATTTTTGCCCTAAGAAATCTAGCAGGCTATGCCAATGGAAGACAAGATCCAATAGATGTATACTTTATGATAACATTAAAGAAAAAGTAGCCACCCTCTCCAGAAAAGTGCATGCATGTTTGGGAGGCAGACAACCTGAGTTCACATTCTAGTTCTGCTATTAGCTGTATGAACTTAGTCAAAGTTAATTGAGCTTTCTAAGCTAGTTTCCTCATTTGTGAAACAAGGAGTAATACCTGTATCAGAGGGTGGTTGTGAGACTTTATGAATGAATTCCTGGGTGTACAGAATGTAACGTATGGCTTGGTGTGTAGCAAATGTTTAATGGATGTTAGCCTTCCCTATGTCTCGGTGAAGGAACACCTATAGTGTGAGTAATGCAGTGACTCTGTAACTCTTTTAGTTTTTTTTCTTTTTGTAGAGTTCATCAATGTAGGTTGATGAAATGATAAAAATTGCAATTCTGTAAATGTAACTGGGTGGTGATCCACATTTTGAGGCCCAAGTTTATAGTCCAGCCTAATTTATACAGTCTCAGGGTGTAACGTATGTTTCTTAATTTAGTACTTCCTGATAAAGTTATGTGTTCTTCACCCTGTGGTGGCAACACCTTGATGATTGATTATCATTTAATACCTATGCATCAAATTGTGTGCTACGGAGGACTTTATAGATCTCCTGAAGCTGCACTCAATAGAATTCTTGGCTGAAGATCCTTGTACAGTATTCCCAGATTAAGGCCCCCTGATCTAGAGGGATGATAATAGGTGCATAAATCTTTAAATCAGTGGTTAAGTCTGTTAGACCCAGCACCTCATATGTAAAATCAGTGCACACTATTATCCTGAAGTGAAATTCATGTGTATATAACTTGCTTACCTACTTTTTTTTAAAGGAAAAAAGTCTTAACTGGAGAATAATAGAGATAATATAATAGGTGAAATAAGAGGGAAGTCGTTTTAAATAAAATATTTGTTTTAGTTCCAACATAACTACATAATGAAGTAGTCTGATAACTGAACCTCCACCTAGATGTGCACATGATAACTTTTAAATTCAGGCTATTAAATAAGCTTTTCTGAAATGGGGCACAACACTTAGTAAAAGTTCTGGACAAAAATATATCTTTTCCTCAATTTACATATGGTATTCCTGGAAAATTCAGAATACATTAAAGTTGCACAAAAAATACTTGGTGCTAGATAATGTTAGAAAATTGAGTTCAATTCAAATGTTCACTATTATGATTAGATTATTTTAAAATTACATAAATATTTGGCAAGATATTTGAATGTCATTTGAGATGCCAGCTCTTAGATGTGTAGTAGTGCCAGAAGCACTTCATCAGTAATTGTTCCAACCAAAGTGTCCCATTAATTTTCACTGGTACAGCAGTGCTCACTGGTTCCGTGCCCATTGAAAACCAGTCCTATAGATCAGTGCTTTTCAAATTTATTGTGCTCATGAACCAGCTGGTCACTCTAATTATGCTTGCAGTCAGGTCTGTGATTCAGCATTTCTAAGAAGCTCCCAAGTGATTCAGATGATCCTTATAGTCCAGGTACCACCTTTTAAAAATCTATTTTTTGTTGATAATTGTACATATTTATGGGGTATGTGTGATATTTTGATACATGCATACAATGTGTAATGATCAAATCAGGGTATTTAGGATATTCATCATCTCAAACATGTAGCATTTATTTCTTTGTTCGTGTACCTACATTTTGAAAGTATTAAGGCATAATGCCCTGTATCTGTGCTATCCAAAACAGTAGCCACTATCCACATGTGGCTACTTAATGTTAATTAAATAAAATTCACCAGCTCCTCATACTAGCTACATTTCAGGTACTCAATACATGTGGCTAGTGGTTATTATGTTGGACAGTGCAGGTATTTCTAGCTCCAAAAGTTCTATTGGACAGCTGTGCTGTATGCATTTTTTTCTCAGGTGAGCTTTTAATGTTTCAAATGGCAGTGCATTTTACTTTTGGACAAGTATCTGAAGAGCAATCATATGCTTTGAGAGCTAAGCTTAAATAAGATTGTCATTCTTTTCGTTGAGTCTGATAATGAAATGTACCTGATTGGAATGCCACCAAATCATCCTAGCAGTGAGTCGAAGTTCTGCTGCAAAGAGTTCTAAAGCATAAAGTGTTTTTCAAAAAAGTTCCTTACTGTATCCTACAGTAAGAAATGCATTCTATATTGTGGCTCAGTTTATGTAGATATATGTATACACCAAAACAAAAGTTTCATTAGGTGGTTCTCAGTGTTACCATATGGAATGCGTTTTGAGATTTTCTATGCTAGTCTATTTCATTTAAAAATTTTAAAAAATTTAAGAGACAGAATCTCACTGTGTTTCCTAGGCTGGAGTGCAGTGACTATTCACAGGTGCCATCATGGTGCACTACAGCCTCAAATTCTGGGCTCAAGCCATCTTCTCACCTCAGCCTCTCTAGTAGCTAGGATTATGGGTGTGCACCACCCAACTTCTTCTTCTTCTTCTTTTTTTTTTTAATGCTAGTCTCAATCTTCTTTATCTAGTCAGTCACAATCTGTAGTTTGAAAAAGTGCCACAAAAAGTATCTGTGGTAATGTGGGCCTATGAAAATTACAAAGCAATTTATAACAGTTGGCCACCTTGGTCATAAAAAATTCTCTCTGAAGCCTTCATTGTTTGTTTACAATTGGTTAATTTAACTTCAAGTTATACTCTTAACATAAATACAAAATATATCCCTAAATAACTGAATGAATCATTTTGCTACATGGCACTGTTAACTATTAATCAGCTAAATAATCTGTCAAAAGTGTAATGCTGGTTTTAGATAGGTCCTCCGTAGAATATGTTTTGCAGGGGGTAGGGGGGTCAATGATGGAACATTTAATTACATTAGACTGGTTGCCTATTTAAAGCCTCACAATTCATGACCGTAAGCCTATGTCATCATCTGCAATAACATGAATACTTCTCTTTGTTGTGTATAGCAGAAGAGCCTATATTCACCTTATCCAAATGTGGTGTCACGTTGTTACAAATTAAAAAGAAGCTGGAGGGAATATGCACATTCCTTTTTTATACCACTAGAATTCTGACTCATTAAAAGATGTTTTTATTACTCAGTCTCCCACAAGTATCAAAAAGCAGACTCAGCCAATCAACAAATATTTATTGAGCATCTATTATGTGTTGAATAGACAGTGGAGAACAATAGGACATGGTTTCACCCTCATGATGATTATCTGTAAATCTATGAAATGTGTCCAAATCTCTACTACATTTTGTTAAGTGATTATTATATGCCAGGTACCTCTTAAGTGCTGGTTTACACTAGTAAAAGATCAGGACAAAAACATCTCCCCAGATGAAGCTTTTGTTTTTTGGGGGGTTTTTTGGTTTGCTTGTTTTTTTAAAAAATGCAATCTTTCTATGTTGCCCAGACTGGCTCAGTGGTCCTTCTGCCTCAGCCTCCCAAGTAGCTGGGAATACAGACATGCAACATCACACCCAGCTAATTTTTAAATTTGTTTGTAGAAATGGGGTCTCACTGTGTTGCCCAGTCAGGTTTCGAACTCCTGGGCTCCAGTGATTCTCCTGCCTCAGCCTCCCAAGTAGCTAGGAATACAAGCATGAGCCACCATGCCTGATTTAAAGCTTTTGTCCTAATGGATTTGTAGATATGCTCATTTCCCCCTTGTATTTCTAAGTTTTTGCCTTATACAATTCATGTAAAGTTATTTGATGCTAAAAGATGGCAATTTTCATTGCTAACTGTAGGCTTTATTACACAGAGAAATGTCTAATATTTCTCCAATGCAATATATATCCCTGGTATTATCTGTCTGAACTCCTCTCCTCTAGGAACTATTGCTTCTCTCTAACCCCTGAAGTCTAACCTTTAGTGTAGGTTAGAATTGTAAATGGACAGGTTTCACTTTAGACCAATCATTAGAATTATCTATGTGTAAATTCCAGGTTATTATTATTATTATTATTATTATTTTTATTTTTTTTTTTTTTTGAGACAGAGTCTCGCTCTGTCGCCCAGCCTGGAGTGCAGTGGCGCGATCTCGGCTTACTGCAAGCTCGGCCTCCCGGGTTCATGCCATTCTGCTGCCTCAGCCTCCTGAGTAGCTGGACTACAGGCGCCCACCACCATGCCCGGCTAATTTTGTATTTTTAGTAGAGACGGGGTTTCACCTTGTTAGCCAAGATAGTCTCAATCTCCTGACCTCATGATCCGCCCGCCTCGGCCTCCCAAAGTGCTGGAATTACAGGCATGAGCCACCGCGCCCGGCCAATTCCAGGTAAATATTTTTTTTTTAACTTTACGTCTTGACATAATTTCAAAGTTACATAAAAATTATAACAATAATACAAGAATACATTTTTTTTTGAGACGGAATTTCGCTCTCGTCACCCAGGCTAGAGTGCAATGGCGCCATCTTGGCTCACTGCAACCTCCACCTCCTGGGTTCAAGTGATTCTCCTGCCTCAGCCTCTCGAGTAGCTGGAATTACAGGCACCCACCACCACGCCTGGCTAATTTTTGTATTTTTAGTAATGATGGGGTTTCTCCATGTTGGTCAGGCTGGTCTTGAACTCCTGACCTCAGGTGATCCACCTGCCTCAGCCTCCCGAAGTGCTGGGATTACAGGTGTGAGCCACTGTGCCTGGCAAGAATACCATTATTTCCAAGACTATCCTTCACCCAGATTCATTAAATGTTAGCATTTTACTACCTTTACTTTATTCTTTTTTAAAACTTTTTATAGAGATGGGATCTCATTATGTTGCTCAGGCTGTTCTCAAACTTCTGTCCTCAAGCGACTCCAACCTTGGTCTCCCAACGTGCTGAGATTACAGGCATAAGCCACGACATTCAGCCTATTCTTTCTACCTAAATTTTTTTCCGAACCATTTGAGAATAAGCTGACATGATACTCCTTTAGCCGCAAATATTTCAGTGTGTATTTCCTAAAATCTTTGTTTCCTAAAACCAAGAACATTTTTTATTTTTTAATCTTAAGACCGAGTCTCTCTCTGTCGCCAGGCTGGAGTGCAGTGGCACGATCTCGGTTCACTGCAATCTCTGCCTCTCGGGTTCAAGCGATTCTCCTGCCTTGGCCTCCTGAGAAGCTGGGACTACAGGCGTGTGCCATCACACCCAGCTAATTTTTGTATTTTTAGTCGAGACAGGGTTTCACCATGTTGGCCAGGATGGTCTTGATCACCTGACCTCGTGATCCACCCCCCTCGGCCTCCCAAAGTCCTGGGATTACAGGCGTGAGCCACCGCGCCCAGCTTTCAAGAACATTTTTTTTGCATAACCATAGTATAATGATCAAAATCAGGAAATTAGCATTAATACACTCAAGCATTTTATAGGCCTTATTCAGATTTTACCATCTGTCCAATACGCCTCCTACTCTTTCTTGTTTTGTTTTGTTTTTCGCTTGTCAGTTGGATTTCAGTTGCATAGCCTGATGAAAATAACCATTTTATTCTTTTTAACTATAAATTTTTCATATTTTCTGGGGGAGTATTTTCTATCTGCTGGTCAGTTTTGCTGCTTTTTCGTTTTATTTCTATTATTATTTTTCACAGAGACAGGGTCTATGTTGCCCAAGCTGGTCTTGAACTCTTGGACTCAAGTGACCTTTCTGCCTCAGCCTCCTGAAGCGCTGGGATTACAAGTGTGAGCCACTGTGCGTGGCTTATTTTATTTCTGATATTATCTTTGATGTGCCATTTTAAAAAAGGTATTTAGTGAGGCCAGGAGTGGTGGCTCATGCCTGTAATCCCAGCACTTTGGGTGGCTGAAGGGGGCAAATCACCTGAGGTCGGGAGTTCAAGACCAGGCTGACCAACACGGAGAAACCCTGTCTCTACTAAAAATACAAAATTAGCCAGGCGTGGTGGCACATACCTGTAATCCCAGCTACTTGGGAGGCTGAGGCAGGAGAATCACTTGAACCTGGGAGGTGGAGGTTGCGGTGAGCCATTGCACTCCAGCGTGGGGAACAAGAGTGAAACTCTGTCTCAAAAAAAAAAAAAAAAAAAAATTAGTGAATTGCAGTTTGAGTGTACTTTTCTGGTATTTCTCACATTTTTGGTTGCCAGGCCTCCTTGGTACCATCTAAGTTTTGTATGCCCCGCTGCCTGTATCAGTCCTGCTCACTTCCATTTTTGCACTGCTTATAGCAAAGAAGGATATACATTTTAGGGTGCACGTGTATTTTGCTGGTGCTCTCTGAGATTTGCCACCAGTGGGCTGTCTCTATTCTGTCTGTACAATGTCAGGTGCTTTCGCACTACTTACCTATGTTTTGGCGTCCATATTATACTTTTTCTGTGTTTCATTGAGAAAGGTCATAGGGTCTCCCCTACCAGATATTCTTGTTGTTTTCGTCCAGGTGCTGTTATATATAAAGTTTCGGTGCCGCAAAATAAATAGCACTCGAATATAAAATTTTCCTTTTTAATTCTTAGCAAGGCAAGGCACTTCTATAGAAGGGTGAGCCCTTACAGATGGAGCAATGGTGAGTGCACACTTGCACAAGGGAGGGGAAGGGGTGCTTATCCCTGACACACGTGGCGCCTTCTGCTGTGTCTTTCCCTTATGGGCTAGGGTTAGACCGCACAGGATAAACTAATTCCGATTAGCTAATTTAAAGAGAGTGAGGGGGTGAGTGGTTGGCGGGAAAAAAGGTTATGACAGAGCAGGTTATTGGAATGAGTCAGGGTGGAGTAGGTAATCAGAATGAGTCAGGGCGGAGCAGGTAATAGAAAAACGTTGCTTTAGGAGGAAGTTAAGTTTAAAAGTAGAAGGTAAAGAATTGAACATACTGACATTGATTCTTTGAAAAGATATTTAGAACTTATATCTAACAGTTCTAAAAGGAGAAAGTAAAAGATGCTGATTTGCACAGCTATTTCACATCAGAAGTCCTTATTCCTCTTCACTGTTACTTCCTTATGATTTTGGGAAGGAAGGGAGACAAATTTATCCTCTGTCTATTATTTTCAATTGGAGGCCAGAGTTTGGTCATTTTTAACTTTTCAGATCATCCTTATTTACTGTACAAGATTAATTTATCTTTATTGTTATAACATATATCTTTGATTATAGTCATCTTTTTAGTTTTTAATTTTTATTTATTAATTTTTTCACTTTTAATTTTTTTTAAAATAAAATAGAGACAGTTTTGTTATGTTGCCCAGGGCTGGTCTTGACCTCAAGCGATCCTCTCGCCTCAGCCTCCCAACGTGATGGGATTACAGGTATGAGCAACCCCACCCTGCATTTTTAGTCTTTTAAATGCTTGATTGCTACTTCTTTTTCAGTGTTTTGCTTTAAACTACTTTCTTTGCTTTTGTATTTCTAAAATATGCAAATTTTGTATTTGACTTGTATAGTGGATGTTTTAAGTCTCCAAAATCATTCTTTAATCTGTGTTCTTCAACTGCCAGTGTCAACCGTGACATGACATGTAAGATTTTTATTTAGCTCCTCTTATTTAAAAAAATTCAACTTTTATACTTCTCAGTCTTTTTTAAATGCCCAATTATTTTAAATACTTTTAAAAACATCATCTCTTTTCTCACTGAATAGGAACTTTTGACTATTTGTACCATGGGTTTTTTTTTAATTTTTTTTTAAAATGTTTGAGGCAAGGTTTCACTCTTGTTGCCCAGTCTGGAGTGCAATGGTGCAATTTTGGCTCACTGCAACCTCCACCTCCTGGGTTCAAGCAATTCTCCTGCCTCAGCCTCCCAAGTAGCTGGGATTACTGGCATGTGCCACCACGCCTGGCTAACTTTTATATATTTTTTAGTGGAGACAGGGTTTCTCCATGTTGGTCAGGCTGGTCTCGAACTCCTGACCTCAGGTGATCTACTCACCTTCGCCTCCCAAAGTGCTGGGATTACAGGCATGAGCCACCACACCCAGCCTTGTACCATGTTTTATAATCACGTTTACAGCATTTAAGTTTATCTCTAATTTATCTTATTTATTGCCTGACTCTAATGTCATTTTTTAAAATAATGAAATCAGCTGTATTATTTTGATTTCATTATTTTAAAATAATGAAACTATGTGTAATAATAAAATAAAATTATTGTTTTGGGCTGACTCTATAAAGGATATTTGCTCACTAAAGATCCAAACAATTTATAAAAGTATAGGATTAAATGAAACTTACCTGCAATTTCCTTCCATCTCCCTGATCCAAGATAAGTACTGTTAATATTTTGGTGGTAATTTTTTTTTAACGTTTTTATTGAGAAAGGATCTTGCTCTGTCAGTCACCCAGGCTGGAGTGCAGTGGTGCAATCTTGGCTCACTGCAGCCTCAACCTCCAGGGCTCAAGTGATCCTCCCACCTCAGCCTCCCAGGTAGCTGGGGCTACAGGCCTGCATCACCAGTCCCAGGTAATTTTTGTATGTATATATATTTTTCTACAGGTAGGGTTTTACCATGTTGCCCAGGCTGGTCTTGAACTCATAGGCTCAAGTTATCCACTGGTCTTGGCCTTCCAAAGTACTGGGATTATAGTCATGAACCACTGCGCCTGGCCTCGTGGTCAAATTTTTATGGACTCATAAAATTCACATAGATACAGGGTTAGTTAAGATGTTGGGCTGCAGTTGACCCAAATACTTGACTGAAAGTAACGTCAACAATAGAAATGTATTCATTAAATATATAACATGTAATAAGAAGGCTGGAGATGACAGTTCTAGGATTGACAGCAGTTTAGCAGAGTCAGGGCTTTGGATTGACTTCTCTTGATCTTGCCTTCCCGGCATAGTCACAGGATGGCTCTACCAGCTTCAGTCATAACTTCCTCAGATAACTATGTTCAAAAGCTTGAAGCAAGGAAATGAGCTGCTTCTCTTCACGTCTCTCTTTTCAAGGGGAAACAATATGCTTCCTAGGAGACTCTAGCAGATTTTTAGTTCCCATTGGTCAGGTTACATGGTCATCCTTCAACTACAAGGGAGAAAGGGAACAAGTGTTTCTGGCATTTTCTGCTACTATATTGAGAGGTAAGCTTTGATAGCAAGGAAGAATGATCAGGAGTGGCTGTTGGACAGACAACCTATGGTATCTGCCACACATGTATAATTGTACATAATGGGGACTGTATCATTTGTGTTGATTTTGGTGTGGACATTTTTCAAAAGAGCATTATGTTTTTCCTTACCTTGCCCAAGCTCCACATGAGCATTATCAACACTGGTACCTCCCTTTCACTAGGCTAATATATGTATATGTATAGAGTGGAGGTTTAGTCATTGTTTCATAAAATGGGTTCATAGTATAAACACCTGAATCTTGCTTTTCTTGCTTAATATGTAGTACAGATCCTTCTAAGAAAACAGGCATAGATCTAATTTCAGTTCTTTTAAAGCCTGCATAAACTACGCTGTGTATGTAACACATTTTACTTAATTATATCCTTATTGCTGAGGATTCACTCTTGTTTCTAGTTTTTTCCACTATAAGTAGTGTTGTTATAGATATTCTTCTTTTACATTTGTCCTTATATTTGGAAGTTTATTTAGATTATGCAGATGGTGACCTACTGCTCAGTTAAGGGGAATATTATCATACATATGCATCATTTTACAGAAACTCAGAAATGCTGTTATAAATCCGCATATTCTCCATGAGTATAGAAGAGTTCCATTTTATTAGCATCTGTTCTAGTGGTCAGTGTTTGTTCATTGCATGTTTGTTCATTCTGTCAGTGTCTACTGAGTGTCTGCCATGTTCCTGGCACTGTTCTAGGTGCTAGAGTGAAAAAGTTCCTGTCTCCTACTAAGGGAGACAGGCAATAAACAAATGAATACAATAAAATAATTATTATACAAATGCAATAAGCAAGTCAGTTATGGTAGGTAACTGATAAGTGTTGTGAGGCAAATAAAGTAGGGTCAGCACATGGAGCAGTATGGAAGGAGCATTATATATAAGATTGTTGAGTGATCAGGGCAAATTTCTGAGCAGTTGACTTTTGGCCAAAGACCTGAATTAAGGAGCAAGCCAGAGTTGTATCTAAGGAATGAGTGTTTCAGGAAAAGGGAGCCGTGCTTTGTGTGAAGGTCACTAGCTGGATAGTGTGGCTGGGGTGGAGTGATAAGGGAGAAGTAGAAAGAAATGAGGTCAGAAGGGATGGTCTGGGTTTGGATTACATTAGCCTCTATAAGCTACAGTAACAACTTTGGTAACATGTTAACTAAAGCTCTTCGTTCTTGATAATCTAATGGATGTAAAGTAATTTGTCATTGTTACTTTATATTTCTCTGCATAGTGGTATTTTGAACATCTTTTCATGTATGTATTTGTATTTACTTTTCTGCATATTTACTTTCTTAGGACATTTTTCTGTCAAGTTGCTTTTTTACTACTGTTTTCTAAGAGCTATTTAACTATTTGTTTTGCATTATAAATACTTTTGCAAGCATATTGTTTATTGACTTTAGTTATAGTACTTTTTCTCATCCAAAAACTGTGATACAAATCTATGTATGTATGTTAGTTCATACAAGTTAATGACCATTATATCCACATGAATTGCTACTTTATATGATGCCTCTCTTTATTCAGTGTATGGCTTTTAATATTAGATGCACATGGACTGACAGTAACAAAGAGAAAAGGTTTTGCCACTTACTAGCTTGTGACCTTGGGTAAGTTTCTTAACCTCTGTACTTCCATTCTGTTAAAATGGGGATTATAACAATCTCATGGGATTGTTATGAGAATTAGGAGGGTTAATATTTCTAAAGTGCTGAGAAGAGGGCCTGGCACATTGTAAGTATTATATAAATGTCTGTTACACAGCTAAGATATCCTTTACTTGCTGAATGAAAAATAATTTCCAGATATGTAAATATTCAGAGACCATACAAACCACCTACAGCATTTTAGCCAAATGTTCAAGAAAGGACTCAAACTTGATTAAGAAAGAAATCTTTTTTTTGGAGGGGTAAGAAAATGACTCTTTTTCTCTCTCTTATGCTCTCTTTTTCTTTCAATTTGGAAGTTTGTATGATTTTATCCTTGGAGTACAGAGTTTTATGAAGTCATGTGTAGGTGTGTATGTTTTTTCTGACAATCCTAACTGGGACTTAGTGGACCCCTTTAATTTGCAGACTTCAGTTTTCTTTTATTAATTTGTTTAATTATTGCCTTTCCTTCATCTATACTTCTTTAACTTCTCTTGGCACTCCTGTCATTTTTTATGAGAGATGCTCTGGATCTGTCCTGGTAGTCTTTATTTTTTCTCTCATGAGTCCCAATTTTTTGCATGTTTGCTGAATGCTTTGAGCTAGGCCTTCAACCTGACCTTTACATTTCACCATTTGAAATCTAAATAGTGACCTTTCTCTGCTTCAATTCATCTACTTATTTTCTAAGTTTAAAACCCATGGTTTGTGATTTGTAATCAGGTTTTCTTAAGCACTTTTTTTGGTTTGTTCAAGATGGCTTCTTTGTCCTCCAGTAATTCTGTTTTGGGAGGTAATAGCGGTTCTGCCCACCTCCTCACTCTGGCTGCTAGGTTAGGGGTCTTGTTATTTTCCTTTTACTCTTCATGGCTACACCCTTGCTCAGAGCTAAAGTCCTGATGCTGGTGTCCCTCTAGTGCAACTCCACTAGTTCTGAGAGGCACTGTCGTTTTCTATCTTGCAGCCCACTGGCACCTAAGCCAGAAGGTGTTTATTCACTGCTGACAATGCTCTATTCCCTTGACTTCTCAGATTCTGGGCAGCAGGGATCCAATCTACCTGTCAGTTTTCCACAGGTCCCCAAGGGCCAGAGATTCAAAAAGAAATGTTCATGAGATCTGGTATGATCTTACATCAGTGACATTTTTTTTTCTTTTTCTTTTTCTTTTTTTTTTGAGATGGAGTCTCCCTCTGTTGCCCAGGCAGGAGTGCAGTGGTGCAATCTTAACTCACTGCAACCTCCGCCTCCCAGGTTCAAGTGATTCTCATGCCTCAACAGCCTGAGTAGCTGGGATTACAGGCGCCCACCACCACGCCTGGCTCATTTTTGTATTTTTGGTAGAGACAGGGGTTTCACTAGGTTGGCCAGGCTCGTCTTGAACTCCTGATCTCAGGTGATCTGCCCTCCTCAGCCTCCCAACGTAGTGGGATTGCAGGCGTGAGCCGGCCAAGCATATATGGGTGACTTTTCAATTCTCATCCTAAGGCTCTTGTTCTTTTTACAGGTCCCCATGACTTCATCTGGCCTGGAAGGGAAAGTCCTAAGTTCACTCTATCTGAAATGATCTAAGCAGACCTGAGGGTTAGCTCACATAGTCCATACCTACCTACTTGGGGAAGCAGTTGTTGCTGGGCTGGAGTAAAGAGTGTCGAATGGCAGGAACACATTCATATGGCCATCTTCTCTGAAATCTCCTAATCTTGAGCTCTGTATTTTGGGATGTTTGGTCTTTATATAATTTTTCCAAGAAGGATTCATAGATGGTATATTTTTCAGCCTTTGAATATCTGAAATATTCTTTCATTTCTCTTACATGTTAAAGGAAACTTGAATAGGTATAAATAATTTAAAATCCTTTGGTTGCAATGTTTTTCTTTGAAAACTTTATAGATATTGCTTAATTATTCTTGGCATTTAAAAATTGCATTCAGGCCCACCCCCTAATGTTTGCAGCTGTAGGGCCCAAGGCAAGAGTTCAAATGAAGATCCACATATAATATGTCTAACTATTTAAAATACTTGAATTGGCTGAGCACAGTGGCTCATACCTATAATCCTAGCACTTTAGGAGGCTGAGGCGGGAGGATCACTTGAGCCCAGGAGTTTGAGACCAGCTTGGGCAACAAAGTGAGGCCCTGTCTTTACAAAAAAATCAGTCGGGTGTGGTGGCACAGTCCTCTAGTCCCAGCTGCAAAGGAGGCTGACGTGGGAGGATCACATGAGCCCTGGTAGGTTGAGGCTGCAGTGAGATGTGATTGTGCCACTGCACTCCAGCCTGGGTGACTGAGTGAGACACTGTCTCAAAGAAAAACAAAGAGAAAATAAAAAATAAAATATAATATTTGAATCAAGCTAGCAAACTTCAAATATATTCCATCTTCTTACTTCGGCAAATAACTTTTCATTATAATGATATTAAGAAAGATATGTAACATTGTGGTTTGTATATGACACAGTACAAAATATCAAAGATGACAATTATTGCACTTATTCAGGTGTTTAGCAGCAATGTTTGAGTGAGTGATGAAAACGTATCTTTGGTTAATATTCATTTTGTTCAGATATCTTTTTCAGGAACTCTGCTTATTTTGATTCTGTTATCTATATATTTGGCTATTCTTCCATTGTTTTTATCTCTTCTTGTCTTTTCTTTTATTTTTGAGATGGAGTTTCGCTCTTGTTGCCCAGGCTGGAGTGCAATGACGCGATCTCTGCTCACGGCAACCTCCGCCTCCCGGGTTCAAGCAGTTCTCCTGCCTCAGCGTCCTGAGTAGCTGGGATTACAGGCATGCACCACCACACCCGGCTAATTTTGTATTTTTGGTAGACACGGGGTTTCTCCATGTTGGTCAGGCTGGTCTCGAACTGCCAACCTCAGGTGATCCGCCCGCCTCAGCCTCCCAAAGTGCTGGGATTACAGGCGTGAGCCACCATGCCCAGCCATCTCTTCTTGTCTTTTCAAATCTTCATTCCAAGAAACTTTCTCAGTTTTGTCTTGCTTTCATCCTAGCAAAATCATTAATTTAATTCTGTGTGTGTGTGTGTGTGTGTGTGTGTGTGTGTGTGTGTGTATTTTTAGAGACAGGGTCTTGCTCTGTGACCAGGCTGGAGTGCAGTGGTGCAATCATAGCTCACTACAGCCTCTAATTCCTGGGCTCAAGCAGTCTTCCTGCCTCTGCCTGTAAATGAATTTTCTCATTATTTGTGTTCTGTTGGCAGTAATATAAAATATAAAAAATGTATTTCAAATGTATAATATGTACATACATTTCATTGAAAATGAAAAGTTAAGTAAATATTAAAAATTATTTTCATGTTTTCAAAAAAGTTGTCTTTTAAAATATTCAAAATTATTTTTAAAAACAAATATAAATATAATTGTCTCAATTTTAAATAAAAATTTAAATAAAACTTTAATTTTTGAAAATTTAATAAAATGTTATTAAATGGTTTATATAAATAAACCTCTGCAATTCTAATGTTTAATGTCCACCTTGTTGCCAGTGTAAAAAATCAGTAGCACATTTCACATATTACTTCTACAACTATTTATACATACATTTAAGAGTTGGTTAATATTGCACAGTGTTGCACTTTGGGTACCAGGTATGAATATTTTGTTATTTGTATCATTGTGTCTTTTAAAAATCTAGTCTTATTTAGACAGCTCTGCTATTTTTTCCCCATGACACTGCCTATTTGAAGAAACAAGATCAGTTGTTTTGTGGGATGATCCACACTCCAGATTTTTAAACTTATTCCTCTATCCTCTCCCAGTTCTAAACTGGAAGTTCAGCCTAGTTGCTTGACTAGAATCATGTTAAATATTTTTGAAAATATTTATTTTCATGGCTGGTGCTGTGTATGGCATATTGCTTCCCATCAGTAAGCACATAATGTCAAGCTTGATCACCTGGCTAGGATGATAATATGAGATCTCTCCATTGTAGTGATATGTTTTTCCTTTGCAACAAGCAAGTAATCTGTGGGGTGGTACTTTGTTTTTGTTTGTTTGTTTTGAACTCAGCTTCAGAATGGGGTGATACTTTGGTTCTGCGCCAATATTTTCTTCTCCAACAATGTTATATCTAATGGTCTTAGCATCCTTGTCTGAATTACTTTACTGAGATTTGCAGAAAGATTTTCCAAGTAAATTCCTCTTCATTTATTAACACATTTTTTTCTCAGTCAGAAAGAATAATTTTCACTCATCAGCTGCAGATAAATTTTGGTTTGTCCTCAGAGTTTAATTCCTCTCTTTAAACTACCAGCTTTCAGAGTAAGAAATGGTCACCTATAAGGAATGAAGAGGGGATGAGGAGAGGACAAGGATAGAAGCAAGACTTCTCTGAATATAACCTTTTCTATAGTTTTGATTTTCTTCTTACCAGTGTGTTTTAAATGTTTTAAAAATTAATTTAGAAGTGTAAAAAGCAAACATCCAAATTTAATTCAAACAATTAAAGAACCTGTTTTTATTTCATATTGTTATGATCCATACAGAGAAAGTAATGATTCCAAGTGACTGTTGAATATAGTACTCCACTTGTACATCCTTAATAGGATATATTCTAAGAAAAAAAGGAACTCAACTTAAACTTTGCTAGGTAGTTTTATTGCTGATAGTAATATCAGTATTGTAATTATCAACCAAGATTTTCACTGCCAGAGAAAAGAGCTGCAAATATCACATCAAAAGTTCAGAAAGATCACTGTAGTCTTAAATATGAATTATAAATGTCAACATGAACTTCTTCAAATATATTTAAATAATTTCCTAGTTTTGTGCACTGAAAGAACCTAGATCTGATGATGCCCCAATTGGTAAAAATAAGGTTCCTAGGTATATATTATCTCACGCACAAAATTTATGTTTACCCTATAGTAAAACTGCAAGGCTGGTTAAATCCAAGTCTCCTCTCAAAGAAGTGCCTGTGCTCTGTGCAGCAGAACATAACTGGAGAGAAACCCACCCACATGAACTTCCCTGCCCTGAACCTACCTCATGAGTGTCGTATATATCCCTGGTCCATTCACTGCGTTCCTGTTCTAATTATCTCCTGCTGCTGTTTCCCCATACTTCCAAGTCACTTCCTTTGTCCTCACTCTGATGATTTTTGCTTCCTAATTCTCTGAGAAAATGGAGGCAATCGGAAGAAAACTCCCTAGGCTCCCATTTCATCTGCTCACGTAGACAATGACTCACAGGTATCCTGGTCTCACCTCTGCTCCTATAGAACCTGTTTTTGTTTTTCTTATTGTTGTTTGCTCTGCCAGCCACTGCCTTCATTCTCTGCTTTACAGCAAAATGCCTCAGAAGAGTGATCTGCACTTTCTAGAGGATCCATGAAACTATCATCCATGTACATCTATAGAACATTTCTGTCTCCTCAGGTTTCCTCATGTTCCATCCTAGTCAATACCACCCTTAATAATCACTATTCTGACTTCTGTCATTATTCATTAGTTTTGCCTGATCTCAAACTTCATATAAATGCATCATCCAGTATGCACTGTTGTGACCTCTTTCACTTAATACAGTGTCTATAGTATTAATCTATTTTGTTGCAAGCATCAAGGTTTTTGATTTTTTAAAATTACTCTGTACTATTCCATTGTAAGACCATAACATAACTGATTCATTCTACAGAGGGACATTTGAGTGGCTTCTAGTTTTTTAGTATTATGAATTACGCTGCTGTGAACATTCTTAAAGATATATTTTGGTGGACATGTGCATTCATCTCTTGGGTATGTGTCTAGAAATAGAACTGTTTTGTTTTAGCACATAGTGCCATCAATTTTTTTATTGCCAAACCATTTTCCAAAGTGGTTGAACAAAGTTATCTTTTTTTTTTTTTTTTTTTTTTTTGTTGGGACGGAGTTTTGCTCTTGTTGCCCAGGCTGGAGTGCAATGCGCAATCTCGGCTAACCGCAACCTCTGCCTCCCGGGTTCAAGCGATTCTCCTGCCTCAGCCTCCTGAGTAGCTGGGATTACAGACATGCGCCACCACGCCTGGCTAATTTTTTATTTTATCAGCAATAAACGAAGGTTCCAATTGTTGCTTCATAGCAACATTAATATCTTATATTGGCAGTCTTTTTAATTTTAACCATATGGTAGGTGAGTTATCTCATTGTAGATTTTTTTTTAGCAGAGTATTGTGCTGTTGCCCAGGCTGGAGTGCAGTTGCACCATCTCAGCTCATTGCAACCTCTGCCTCCCGAGTTCAGGTGATTCTCCTGTCTCAGCCTCCTGAGTATCTGGGACTACAGGTGCCCACCACCACACTCGTCTAATTTTTTGTACTTTTAGTAGAGATGGGGTTTCACCAGGTCACCCAGACTGGTCTCAAACTCCTGGCCTCAAGTGATCCACCTGCCTCAGCTTCCCCAAGTGCTGGGGTTACAGGCATGAGCCACTGCACCCGGCCTCATTGTAGTTTCAATTATTATTTCTATGAAAAATAATTATATTCAACACCTTTGCATATTCTTGTTGGCTACCTGAATAGCCTATTTTGTGACAGACCTGTTCAGGTCTTTTTCCCATTTAAAAAAATTGGATTATTTGTCATTTTCTTGCTGTTTTGGATACGAGCCTTTGTTGGATATATATGCCATGGAAATCTCTAAGTTTGTGGTTTGCTTTTTTAATTCTAATTTTAAATATAGTTTAGATGTAGAGATGGAGTCTTGCTTTGTTGCCCAGTCTGGTCTCAAACTCCTGACCTCAAGTGATCCTCCCACCTTGACCTCCCAAAGTGCTGGGATTACAGATGTGAGCCACCATGCCCAGCCTGTTGACATATTTAGTTCTGTCTTTTGATGAATTTTAATTTTAATTTTAATGAAGCTAGTCTTTTATGGTTAGTGTTCTATTTAGGACTGTCTTGAAGATGTTCTCTTGTTTTAAATGCTTTATTGTTGTATTTTATACACTTGATACTGTGATACATCTCAAATTAATTTTGGGCAAAGTATGATTGGGAGGGGTCAAGTTTCATTTTGTCCTATAAATTCAATTGTTCCAATACCAATTATTAAAAAGCTATTCATTCCCTTACAGAGTTGCACTGATATCTGTCACAAATCAGGTCTTTTTCTGACTATTCTCTTCCACTGGTCTATTTGTATATTCTTGTGGCAATCCCACACTATCTTAACTACTGCAACTCTGCACTAAGTCTTGAATTCTGGTAGCATAAATTCTTCAAATTTATCTTTTTTCAATCTTGATTGAGCTTTTCTGATGCTGTGTGGTTTTTTTTGATACCTCACGAAGTAATACATGTTAATGGGTCCAATGCAGATAACATCAATTTTAGGTTATCAGCAATTAGTTGATAGAAAAAAAAGTCTCTTCCATGATGCTTGAGGCAAATATTTTGAAGAGCCTCTGATGGTAAAATCTCACCAATGATGTTTTAAATTTCCATAGTCCGACTTTACTCATTCCTTTATTCTCCCAGGCCAATCATGTGCAGAAAGGTACCAGTTGCTAAAATGAGGGTCCATAATATTCATTTTGGAATGGTGGTAAGAAGTGGAAGGTTAACACTGATATCCTTGACATAAATAAATCAGAGAATAAAGATATAGTTAATAAATCCTCAGCTTCTTTCCGTATATTATTGACACCACCAGGATCTGTTGATAATGAATTGAGAAATTTTATTTATTTACTTATTGAGATGAGTCTCACTCTGTTGCCCAGGCTGGAGTGCAGTGGCGTAATCTTGGCTCACTGCAACCTCCACCTCCTTCAAGTGATCCTCCTGCCTCAGACGCCCGAGTAGCTGGGACTACAGGCGCCCGTTACCATGCCCAGCTAATTTTTGTGTTTTTAGTAGAGGTGGGGTTTCACCACGTTGGCCAGGCTGGTCTCAAACTCCTGACCTCAGGTGATCCACCTGCCTCAGCCTCCCAAAGTGTTGGGATTACAGGCATGAGCCACTGCTCCTGGCTAATGAATTGAGAAAATTTACATCTAAATCAGTGGTTCTCAACTGGGAGCAATTTTTGAACCCTAGGGGACATTTGGCAATGTCTGGAGTACTTCTGTTTTTTTGTTGTTATTGTTGTTGTTTGTTTTGTTTTTTTGGTCACAATTGGGATGAGGGGAAAGTGGGGAGGAAGGTGTGACTAGCATCTTGTAGGGAGAGGCCAAGAATGCTGCTAACCATCCCACAATGCACCAAACAGCACCCCTCACCACCAAGAATTATCCAGCCTCAAATGTCATAGTGCTGAAGTCAAGAAACCCCGATCTAGATGATTACATCTTTCTCTAAATGATCTGCTGGCAAATAACCCACCCACTTAATTCTGCTATGGGATTTGCAAAATAAAGAGAACAGACAGCACGTGTCTTGATGAGGGAATATGGTGCAGGAGTGGGGAGGTAGGATTTAAATATTAAGATAAACCACATGCAGTTTACCAGAAAATAAAATCAAGAATGCAAGGAAGAAATGGTGGTAATGTGAACTCTGGGGTCCACAGCAGCTCTCCCATGGAGGTTGGAGAAAAGGCTGACAAACCCACTCTCACTTCTATGTGAAACCATTCTTTCCTGATTTGCAATTGTAGCATTGGTTATGTGGAAGGGGAGGAGATATGCCACCCTACTCTGAAACTTTCCAGGGGGAATGGTATTTCCGGTAGCTGTAATTTGAAGCTAGTGTTTACATAAAAGTCTCAGTGACCACTCTCCATCAGGCCCTAGTATCTTTCTTGCTCTTCTCCCTTCACCCTCTTGTACTGATTCTTTTCCTCTCCCAGAGTTTAGAATCCTGGGTTTTGGGAACCACTCATGCTTTGCTCTCTATTGGGTCATTTCTATTAGTATACAAATATTTGTTTATCGCTACCGTCTTAAAAAATAAAACCTTTCCTTAAATCATTTCTGTTTTTTTTTTCTGCAAAACTTAAAAAGGTTGTGTTTCCTTGTTGTATCCAATTTAATTCTTCCAATTTTTGCCTGAAGTCACTTCAATAAGTCTTAGCTTACCTTCTAACTAGTCTTCCTACTTCTATCCTTCCTTCTCTGTTATATTCTCAGCACAGCCAGAATGATCCTTTAAAATGATCCTTTAAAAACGCAATATGCATGCTCAAAACGCTGTAATAGCTCCTCATTTCGCATAATAAAAGCCAAAGTTTTTCATATCCCAAAGACTCTATGTGCTCTGACACTCTTTACCTCTTTTTTTCCCTATCACCTAGTAATCTCCTCCTTGGTCATTCCACACCAGCCATTCTGTTCTCCTTGACGTTTCTAGAGTATTCCAGTCTCAAGGCTTTTCCATTTTTTCCTCTGCTTAGAGCCTCTTTCCTCCAGATATCCATATGGCATATTCCCACTCCTCCTCAAGTCATTGCTCATCAAGCTCTACCTTGACTCTAACTCCTCAAATTGTAAAAACTCCATGTTGTTTCCCAGTCTTCCTCACCCAGTTCTGTTTTCTTCACAACAATCATCCACTTCTTTTCTTTTCTTTTCTTCTTTCTTTCTTTCTTTTCTTTCTTTCTTTCTTTCTTTTTCTTGTTCTTTCTTTCTCTTTCTTTCTTTTTCTTGTTCTTCTTTCTCTTTCTCTCTTTCTCTTTCTTTCTCTTTCTTTCTTTATCCTTCCTCCCTCCCCTCCTTCCTTCCTTCCTCCCTCCCCTCCTCTCCCTTCCCTCCCTTCCTTCCTTTCTTCTTTCCTTCCTTCCTTCCTCCCTTCTTTCCTTCCTCCCTTCTTTCCTTCCTTCCTTCCTTCCTTCCTTCCTTCCTTCCTTCCTTCCTTCCTTCCTTCCTTCCTGCCTTCCTCCCTCCGTCCCTCCCTCCTTCCCTCCTTCTTTCTTTTTTGAGAAGGGTCCCACTCTGTCACCCAGGCTGGAGTGCAATAGCACAATCATGGCTCACTGCAGTCTGGAACTCCTGGGCTCAAGTGATCCTCTGACCTCAGCCTCCCAGGTAGCTAGAACTACAGGTGCCCTCAACTTCTAAGTTGTTCATTCCTTCAATATTTTTTGATTACCTACTGTGTGCCAGGCATAGTACTAGTTTCTGGGGATAAATCAGTGAACAAAATAGACAAAAATATCTGCCTTCACTGAGTTTATATTCCAGAGGAGGGAGACAAATCAACATAATAAGGAAATCATATTTTTTTTTTAAGTAGAAGAATAAATTGTCAGTGGCTCCTCAACTTGTGAGATGCAATTAAAACACTATTTAGAGGAAACTTTACATTAGAAAATAAAAAGGCTGAAAGCTAATAAGCTAAGCATTCATTTTAATGCTTAAAGTTAGAAAAGAAGTAAAAAGAAAGGAGTGTTAAAGATAAGAGAATTAAAACAAATTTACAGCTCAGGAAAAGCATGGTAAAAAGATAGGAGAATGAATGAAACAGAAAACAAATCTACAAAAGCAAGGACCAACCAAACTAAAAGTGGGTTCCTTGTAAACATTAATACATTTGATTAAGTTGTTCAGTCTGATCAAGAAAGAAAGCAAAACGAAATACCCAAGATCAGGAATTTAAAGAAAAATGTCACTTCAGATTCTACAAACACTCAAAAGATAACAAACTTTTTTTTTTATAACTTTATGCCAATACATTTGAAAGTTTGATTTAAAGGGACAAATTTCAACAAAAATGCAACTCACTAAACCTATGAAAGAAAGAGGAATAAAATCATATTACTATTAAAGCAACTGAATTAATAATTAAAAACCTATCACACACATACAAAAGTATCCAGGCCCAGATGGCATCAACTACAAGTTCTGCCAAACATTTAGGCAGAAATTATCTCAATCTTGTAAACTCTTCCAGAGAATAGATAAGAGGAAAACTTCCCACATCATTTTATAAGTCTAGCAAAATCCTGATACAAAAATCCAACAAGGACAAAATGAGAAAAGAAAAATAAAGGCCGATTTTATTTGTGAACATGGATGCAAACATGCTAAATAAAATCATTTCTTTTTTTTTTTTTTGAGATGGAGTTTTCGCTCTTGTCGCCCAGGCTGGAGTGCAATGGTGCGATTTCGGCTCACCGCAACTTCTGCCTCCTGGGTTCAAGCGATTCTCCTGCCTCAGCCTCCCGAGTAACTGGGATTACAGGCATGCGCCTCCACACCCGGCTAATTTTGTATTTTTAGTAGAGACGGGGTTTCTCCATGTTGGTCGGGCTGGTCTCGAACTCCTGACCTCAGGTGATCCACCCGCCTCGGCCTCCCAAAGTGCTAGGATTACAGGTGTGAGCCACCGCGCCTGGCCAAATAAAATAATTTCAAAACAAATTCAGCAATACATTAAAAAATAATGTATCATGACTGGCTGCTCTGCCTGTGGAGTAGCCATTCTTTAATTTACTTTCTTAATAAACTTGCTTTCAATTTACTCTACTGATTTGCCTCAAATTCTTTCTTACATGAGATCCAAGAACCCTCTCTTTGGGGTCTGGATTGGGACCCCTTTCCAATAACATTTTCCTTGCAAACCCCAAAGGGACTATACTGAGGAGACCCCCAACCCAAAGGAAATAGACTACAACACTGATTGGCTGACTTTGGGTAAGTGGTAGGGTATCCCGGTAAAGGATGGGATTGGGTTAGAGGCCCAACTTAGGAGAGTTAAAGTCTCTCCTAAGACAGAGTAGGTTAAAGGTGCCTCTTAAAAGGCAGGACACTTGACTGCACTTGCCTTCAAGGCCTGACTTAGGAAGGTTAGAGTCCTTCCTAAGATTTAGAGGGTTAGAGATCCCTCTCAGTAAAGTACCTCAGCTAAGAACGGATTTGGCACTACAGGATGTTAATTGCTATTCTTTTTGGATTAATCTGCCTTGCACTCTTTGCTGATGGCTGTGGGTGACAGGATTAGGCATGTACAGGATCATGGGACATGGGGAACTTTTTTTCTCCCCAAAGAGGGAATCTCAAGAGCTGATGGGACTGCTGGAAAAGATTCCTTCACTACCAACAAGCAGCTGCCTGAACTTTTGATTCAGTGTCACTGTAATGGGTGTGTCTTTCTCTGGCTTCCCTGAACTCCTTGCCTTCCCCACTCTGCTGCAGGCAATGCTTTTCTCCCTTCCTTTCCTTTCTCTTTTCTATCTTTTCTGTTATTCAGGGCAATTGTCCACTGTTTCATCCTGCCCAGAGACCACATGTTGAAAAGTGTTCTTGGGAGCTTGACCTTGTAACCACGTGGCAGTACTTCCTCTTGGTCTCTGGCTTCCATAGAACAGGGATTTTGGGGCTCCTGTCATAGTTAGCCCTAAAAATTATTTTGAACAGTTAAAAGCCTTTGCAAGCTCATAATTGGCTGCTCTGGACTCCTTCTGGGTCGGGCAATGGAAACTGCCCAATGTTGTAGCTCAGCAGCTAAGGCTTTGCCATTTTACAGTGGCAGGTTCAATCCTGATTTAGGGTATGCG
Organism: Homo sapiens; assembly: GCF_000001405.40. Classification (NCBI taxonomy): domain Eukaryota; kingdom Metazoa; phylum Chordata; class Mammalia; order Primates; family Hominidae; genus Homo; species Homo sapiens. The sequence continues at coordinate 98,848,255 of NC_000004.12, read as the reverse complement.
TACTTTCTGGTTGATATTTGAGTGACGTTTGACATTTTTTTATTCTCTTCCCCTCCATGAACCATCTTGAATTTTCTTTGAGCACCTGGGAGGTACCTTTGGTAAAGTTCAAAAGTCAGAAATATTGGTGGTTTGGCATGGCTAAAGTCAGGTAATAAGAGATTTAAAACGACCTTTTTTTTTTTTTTTTTATAAGAGCGCTATGGTTAAAAGTCAGCTTGATTAAAAGCAGATATTCAAGCTCTTATAGCCTGAGACTTCTTGGGAAGAACTGAGGAGGCACAAGATCATGTTTTGGGAAAAACCTGTTTTGGGGAAAATTTTCCTCACGGAACCCCAGGAATTGAAAGTGGATAGATCCCTCTCAAAATCTAAGGTTCTGTTCTGTTCCACCTGCCTCAGCCTCCCAAAGTGCTGGGATTACAGGTCTGAGCCACCATGACCAACTTCTTTGACTCTTGAAAATTTTCCGTTTAACTACTTTGGAGCATTAGATTCTAGATAAGGCATGGGCACATCTGGAGTCAGCCATGCCCCTAGCTATGCTGGAAAGAGGCAGACCTTATCTGCACTTCTGTCTGATGTCCTAGGCTCCACATCTAGTAAATAATTAAAATTCCTTAGTTCTCAGGTTTTTTTTTCGTCCAAAAATAATTGTTTCTAAGAGTTAACATTATAACATATAATTGAGGCTATTGAAGAAACAGTTTTACACGCTAGGTGTATAAGGAAAGTGAAATGTGTTTTTGGTAAAAGATTATAAGAAATCATGAGAATGTGGATCTTTTTTGCCTAAAGTGTTAAAGGATTGTTTCAAGTTAGATAGGAAAAAGCTGAAGGTTTGAACAAGTTGTGAAAGGTTTATGAACAATTACTCTTGTAAAAAAATTGTGTGTGAACATATTAGCTAAAAGTTACAGAGGCATTATTCACTTTTTCCATAAATTGAGCATTGGAATAAAAGCACAACAGGGTTTCCTGAGAGCAATGATCTGCTCTTTAACAAAAAAATTGTAAGGGGTTATAAAATGTTTATGAGAATCTTACCTTATGATCAAACTGATTAAAATTTGATAGATTTGTCCATAAGGTTTTATTAAGAATTGGGTTTGACATCAATAATGCTTTAATGCAGAGGTAAAATTTAGGCTTTCTCTTGAACAAGATTTTCATGGTATATTAAAAAAATGAAAATTTTTTGTTTGCCTTTTGAATAAACTACAGGAAAAAGAAGGGGAAGAAAAGAGACAGACTGTTTGGAAAGCTAAGTCTTCTCTCTATTAATAAGTAAAGGTTTTCCTTTTTGAAAATTTTGAGTTATCATTTTGTCTAAATGAATGGCTTATAGTAACCTCATATTCTATTTTAAAATATCAAGTACTTAAACCTTTAATATTTGACAAACTTTCCAAAATCAAATTATAAATTATGTCTTTTTCTTATGTAGTTAATCTTTTATATATTAAGTCCCCTAAAGTCCAAAAATGATGTATTTGGCTTATTTGGAATATTAAAATCATACAGGAAGTGTTATCAAATATGAAATGGTGTTTGGCTTTCTTTGGGCTGTATTTGTATAAATATGTTATTGGTATGTGTTCTAAAATTATGGGAAACTTATAATTCTGATATAACTTAGTGTATAACAGTTATATTGTTATGTACAATTATTGTATGACACAGACATAACCAAAAGTCCTATTTAATTGTGGCTTTAATAGTGGCTGCCCTAAGACTTTTTGTCATCTACAGATAATTGTTGTCTTGTTTTTATCCTCTTCAAAAGGTGGTTTTATAATCAACTATAGAACTCTAACAAACAAGCGCTCTTGAATGTAGGTTTCTAATAACTTTGGAGATTGTGACATTAGAATAGAGGAAAAAACTTTCAGGGCTCTCCTGGAGAGCTGGAATGTTCATGAATATCAAGCAGAACAGGAGTTAACTGCAGGGACTGAACTAATAGAAGACTGAAGTAATGTTTTTGGCTTTTTGCTTAAAATGTTGCTGATCCTTTGTTTTGTTTATCAGAGCCAAGAAAACTTTTCTCTTGAACTATTTACAGCTTTTAACAATTGAGCAAAGTATACTCCTGTGAACAAACTTTGGAGTATATTTGTTTCTCTCTAACTGATTTCTCCAGAATTTGGAAACTATTTGTGAGTATTCTTAATTTATGGCAATATAGTTATTTGCATAAATGCAGTAAGAATGTTTTCTTTTGCAACAGTTCACAGTTGGAGAAGTTAGTTATTTTACCAAGGCTTTGGCTGGAATAGTATGTTTTCCTTTAAGGAATCAAATTTGACTTGTAGATCCAATAAAAGCTGAAAACTGGCCCCATATCTTGTCTACACAGTCCCTGTACAGGGTTCCTAACTGTAGTAAGTAAGGAATGTTACTTTCTGACAGGCACAGGAGCCCCAAGTTATCTTAGGACAACAAGAGGAGAGGAATTTGCCCAATTCCTAGGTATTTGAGGGTACAAACCCTGGCCTGGGCTTGACTTCAGAAAAAGTCTTATCTGAGATTCCTTTTATGGAACAAAGTTCCATCAAAGCCCATTTTAAAAGCCTATGTAAAAAATAATTATTTTTGCTGCACTTTATACGAATAACCAGGCCAAATATAATAAAGCAAATCAGTCTTGCCATAATTTGTCTTTAGTAAAAATGGGAAACTGGAAAAAGAAAAAAATTATTTCAAGAACTATGATATATCTGTTATTAGATTCTAATGCCATCAGTTGTTTTTGAGTTGTTTCTTTTTTTTTTTTTGCAGCAATAGACTGACTGCCTATTCCTGTGAACCGACAAGTGATCTCTGGCTGCAGCTCAGAAGAAACAAGGACGGGTAATGTAAAAATTTGGATCAATATTCTAATTCTGACCACATATTGGAATCAGCTAGCAAACCCATATCAGCTTGGTTTCAATAATTGCGCAGTTCATGGAAATCCTTCTTATTTAGTTTACTTGGGATAATTTTACTGATTTTGTTTTACTGTTGTGGAAAATATTGCTGTTGTACTCTGTTTAGGAATGCAGGATAAGTTTACTGAATGTTTTCTTAAATTGAACACTTATTAATCTTCCAGATACCACCTTTTGTCAGAACTCAGAGTTATGAATGACCCTCAGCATACAGATATCTTGTGACCGAGCTCCTCTCTATCCTGAATATGAGAGACCCTAATAGGCAAGAATATCATTGCCCCCATTCAGCCTGAAGAAGTTACAGAAGATGGGTATTCATTCCTCTACAACCATTAGGATTACAGGTTGTTTTGTAAAAGGGAGGGGGAAATATGTCACAGGTGTTTGAACCAGAGCAACTCCATCTTGAATAGGGGCCGGGTAAAATAAGGCTGAGACCTGCTGGGCTGCACACCCAGGAGGTCAGGCATTCTTAGTTACAGGATGAGATAGGGGGTTGGCACAAGATACAGGTCATAAAGACCTTGCTGATAAAACAGGCTGTGGTAAAGAAGCCAGCTAAAACCCATCAAAACCAAGATGGTGATGAGAGTGACCTCTGACCCCTCTCACTGCTTATTATATGCTAATTATAATGCATTAACATGCTAAAAGACACTCCCAGCAGCACCATGACTGTTTATAAATGCCATGGCAACATCAGGAAGTTACCCTATATTGTCTAAAAAGGGGAGGAACCCCCAGTTCCCAGAATTACCTACCTCTTTCTTGGAAAATTCAAGAATAATCCACCACTTGTTTAACATATAATCAAGAAGTAACAATAAGTACAGGCAGTTGAGCACCCCAAGACACTGCTCTGCCTATGGAGTAGACATTTTTTTATTCCTTTACTTTCTTAATAATCTTGCTTTCACTTAAAAAAAAGATGATATATCATGACCAAATTGGATTTATGTAAGGATTTCAAGTTGGCTTAACATCAGAAAACTTACCAACATAACTCACCAATTAATAGATTAGTGGAGAAAAATTATAATATTTCTCAATATATGCAGAAAAAGGATTATACTAAATCCAACATCCATGATTTTAAAAATACTGCTAGTAAATTAAGAATAGCAGGGAACTTCCTTAATCTTACAGACAGCATCTACCAAAATTTACAGCAGAAGTTATATTTAACCAGGGAAAGTAAAAAGGTTTCCCTTTAAGAATGGGAGAAAGATAAATTTGCCCACTTCTATTCAACATTCTATGGGAGGTCCTAGAGAGATCACGAAACTGAAAATAGCAATGCACAGGAGTATGAGATAAAAAATAAAATTGTCATTATTTGCAGATAATAGGATTGTGAACTTAGAATTTAGCAGGGTTTCTGGGTTCATAAGCAATATATAAATCATATTTTTATATATCATTAACAAGCAGTTAGAAAATAAAATTTAAAATAAGCAATATTAGCATTAGCATAAAAAATGTCTAATGAACAGATCTAATGAAAAAAAATGTTAAAGACCTTTATGCAGGAAGCTAAATAGATTACTGAAAGAAATTTTAACAGATTTAAATAAGGGGAGCTATATGTCATGTTCATGGAATGAAAAATCCAATACTGTAAGCTGTCAATTCACTCAAATTGCCCATAGAGCTATAGATTTAATGTAATATTAATCAGAATGGCAATGGAAATTTTGTGTATAAATTAACAGTGATTTAAACTTATGTGGAAATAAAAGGCTAAGAATAGATAAGACACTCAATAAAAAAGAACAGTTTTCAGGGAACTTGCCCTACCAAGTGTCAAGACTTATTTTTAAGTATTAGGAATTTTAAAAATACAGTCTTTTGGTGCAAAGATCAGAAAATAAGACAATGGAATAAAATAGAAAACCCAGAAATAGACTCATGTATATATGAACACCTGACTCATGACAAAGATGACACTATCAGTGGGGGGAAAAGATGGCCTTTCCAACAAATGATGCACGAAAAATTAGACATTGCTGTGGAAGAAAAGAAGCTTCAGCCCGAACTCATATCACAAACACACAGAGTAATTCCAGCTGAGATAAAGACTGTATTAGTCCATTTTCACACTGCTGATAAAGACATACCTAGACTGGAAAGAAAGAGAGGTTTAATTGGACTTACAGTTCCACATGGCTGGGGACGCCTCAGAATCATGGTGGGGGCGGGGGGAAAAAGGCACTTCTTACATGGCAGCGGCAAGAGAAAATGAGGAAGAAGCAAAAGCGAAAACCCCTGATAAACCCATCAGATCTCGTGAGACTTATTCACTGTCACGAGAATAGCATACCAAAGACCGTCCCGCGTGATTCAATTACTTCCCCCTAGGTCTCTCCCACAACACGTGGGAATTCTGGGAGATACAATTCAAGTTGAGATTTGGGTGAAGACAGAGCCCAACCATATCATTCCGCCCCTGGATGCTCCAAATCTCATGTCTGCACATTTCAAAACCAATCATGCCTTCCCCAACAGTCCCCCAAAGTCTTAACTCATTTCAGCATTAACCCAAAAGTCCCCAGTCCAAGGTCTCAAGGCAAATCCCTTCTGCCTATGAGCCTGTAAAATCAAAAACAAGCTAGTTACTTTCTAGGTACAATGAGGATACAGGTATTGGGTAAATACAGCCTTTCCAAATGGGAGAAATTGGCCAAAACAAAGGGGTTACAGGACCCATGCAAGCCTGAAATCCAGCGGGGTAGTCAAATCTTAAAGCTTAAAAATGATCTCTTTGACTCCAGGTCTCACATCCAGGTCACGCTGATGCAAGATGTGAGTTCCCTTGGTCTTGGGCAGCTCTGCCCCTGTGGCTTTGCAGGGTACAGCCTCCCTCCCAGCTGCTTTCACGGGCTGGTATTGAATGTCTGTGGCTTTTCCATGCACACAGTGCAAGCTGTTGTTGGATCTACCATTCTGGGGTCTGGAGGACGATGGCCCTCTTCTCACAGCTCCACTAGGTAGTGCCCCAGGAGGGACTCTGTGTGGGGGCTCTGACCCCACATTTCCCTTCCACACTGCACTATCAGAGGTTTTTTATGAGGGCCCCGCCCTGCAGCAAGCTTTTGCCTGGGCATCCAGGCGTTTCCACACATCTTCTGAAATCTAGGCAGAGGTTACCAAACCTCAATTCTTGGCTTCTGTGCACCTGCAGGCTCAACACCACATGGAAGCTGCCAAGGCCTGGAACTTCCACCCTCTGAAGCCACTGCCCGAGCTGTATGTTGGCCCCTTTCAGCCATGGCTGGAGTGGCTGGGGCACAGGACACCAAGTCCCTAGGCTGCACACAGCACAGGGACCCTGGGCCCAGTTTTTCCTCCTGAGCCTCCAGGCCTGTGATGGGAGGGGCTGCTGTGAAGGTCTCTGACATGGCCTGGAGACATTTTCCCTATGATCTTGGGGATTAACATTAGGCTCCTTGCTATTTATGCAAATTCCTGCAGCTGGCTTGAATTTCTCCCCCCAAAATGGATTTTTCTTTTCTACTGCATCATCAGACTGCAAATTTTCCAAACTTTTATCTTCTGTTTTCCTTTTAAAATGGAATGCTTTTAACAGCATCCAAGTCATCTCTTGAAAGCTGTGGTGCTTAGAAATTTCTTCTGCTGGATACCCTAAATCATCTCTCTCAAGTTCGAAGTTCCACAAATCTCTATGGTAGGGGCAAAATGCTGCCAGTCTCTTTACTAAAAGATAACAAGAGTCACCTTTACTCCATTTCCCAACAAGTTCCTCATCTCCATCTGAAACCACCTCAGCCTGGTCCTATTGTTGATATCACTATCAGCATTTTTGTCAAAGCCATTCAACAAGTCTCTAGGAGGTTCTAAACTTTCCCACATTTTCCTGTCTTCTTCTGAGTCCTCGAAACTGTTCCAACCTCTGCCTGTTACCCAGTTCCAAAGTCGCTTCCATGTTTTCGGGTATCTTTTCAGCAACACCCCGCTCTACTGGTACCAGTTTACTGTATTAGTCCATTTTCACACTGCTGATAAAGACATACCTGAGACTGGGAAGAAAAAGAGGTTTAATTGGACTTACAGTTCCACATGGCTGGGGAGGCCTCAGAATCATGGCGGGAGGCAAAAGGTGCTTCTTATATGGCAGTGGCAAGAGAAAATGAGGAAGAAGCAAAAGTGGAAACCCCTCATAAATCCATCGGATCTCATGAGACTTATTAACTACCATGAGAATAACACAGGAAAGACCAGCCCCCATGATTCAATTACCTCCCCCTGGGTTCCTCCTACAACATGGGAATTTTGGGAGATACAATTCAAGTTGAGATTTGGGTGGGGACACAGCCAAACCATATCAAAGACCTAAATAAAAGGCCAAACAATGAAATATTTAGAAGATAACATCTTCGTGGCCTTTGGCCATGGCACAAAATGCATTAATAATAAGAAAAAATTAATTTGATTACATTAAAATTATGAGCCTGTATTTCTCAAAAAAAGACCATTAAGATAGTAAAAAGGCAAGCAATAGAGTGGGAGAAGGAAATTGCAACATATATAGCCAACCAGAATATATAAAGCACTTCTACAGCATCAAGAAGGAAAAAGTTAAGAAAACTCACAGAAAAATTGCCAAAAAACCTAATCAACTTTACAAGGAAGATACCCATATAGTTCACAAACATGTGAAAAGGTGCTAAATCTTATCAGTATTTAGGAAAATATAAAGTAAAACCACAAGATAGTACCCCACACCCACCACATAGGCAAAAAAAGTCCTGCAAAAATTGAAAAGCCCAACAAAAAGTGGAAGGGTCAAATATTTTAAAAATTACATTGGTAGATCAAAATCCTACCATATTAATAACTGCATAAATATAAATGGACTAAACTATTAAAAGGTAGAGATTATCGAATGGATTAAAAAAGCAAGACTGACTCCAATGTATTCTATCCACAAGAAACGAACTTTAAATATGAAAGATATATTAAAAACAAAAGGATGGAAAGAGATATACCATGCAAATGATAAGCATCAGCATGTTGGGATGGGCATATAAGTGTCAGTTAATATACCTGACAAAACTAGTATCACAAAGCAAGGCTACAGGGTAATTGTACACATATCAGTGCACAAACTTTAAAATATTAACAATTAGAATCTAGTAGCACGCCCGGGCATGGTGGCTCACACCTGTAATCCCAGCACTTTGGGAGGCCGAGGCAGGCATCAGGAGTTCAAGACCAGCCTGACCAACAGGGAGAAACCCCATCTCTACTAAAAATACAAAATTAGCCAGGTGTGGCAGTGCATGCCTGTAATCCCAGCTACTTGGGAGGCCAAGGCAGGAGAAACGCTTGAACCTGGGAGGCAGAGGTTGCGGTGAGCCGAGATTGCATCACTGCACTCCCGCCTGGGCAACAAGAGCAAAACTCTGTCTAAAAAAAAAAAAAAAAAAAAGAATCTAGTAGCACATTAATGCAGTAATAGCCTATACTCTAGTTGGAATCATATCAGAAATACAAGAACAGTCACAAAGAAAACAATAACAGCTAACCAGGTTAATAGATAAGAAATGAGAATGACAGGATTATCTCTGTTGATGCATACAAGCATTTAAAAAATTTCAATATCTCTTTTTGATTTTTAAAAAAATAATAAGAATTAGAACTTTTCTTAACACATTTTTAAAGTCATGTATAGGCTGGACTGGGCTTTTACCTAGGGGGAGTAGGGGACAATCCTTTTCCAAGCTCCTTTAGGTTGTTGGCAGTGCTTAGCTCTTCGTGGTTGAAGGATCGCACTTCCTGTTTCCTTGCTTGCTGTCCGGCAGGGACTGCTCTCAGCTCCTGGAAGCTGTTAATATTTCTCACCACGTGGTTTCCTGCACTTCCAAAGCCAGCAATGACATGTCAAATGTTTCTGACACTTGGAATCTCTCTGACTTCCAGCTCTACTACCAGCTAGAGAAAAATCTGTTTTTATAGGGCTCATATGATTAAATTACACCAACCAAAGTTCTCTATCTCTCTATTTTAAGATCACATGATTAGTAACCTTAATTACATCTGCAAAATACTTTTGCCATGTAACTAATATAATCATGGGAGAAACACCAGGGGGCAGAGACCATGGTGACCATCTTAGAATTGTGCCTACAACAGAAGCTTAGAGAAACAAGGACAGGATTATGAAGGTGTGGTGTACGCCATGAATAGAGAGAAATAGCCTTAGGCTGTAAAAATTTAACATGTGATTTTTTTCTCTGTAACTTAAAAATAATCTTAAATTGAGAAAAAATACTCTCATAAAAAGGTAAAAGACAAAAGGGTCATATATTAAATTGCAAATTTTTTGAATAAACTAGGTTGGTGCAAAAGTAATTGTGGTTTCAGACTGAATTTTAAATCATTATAACTAGGCTTAAACATCTTTATTAATGAAAATGGGAACCATTACAATCAACACATTTTTGTCAGTGAGAAATGTTTGTTTATTCCTGTAGTATAAAGATCCTTGCTTCAAGATTTGACAAATGCTTGGTTGGCAGATGAGGCCAAATTTCGTAGCATAATTCGTCCAACTTTTGAAGCGTTGGTTGTGCAATGTGCAGTCAGGCATTGTTGTGAAGAAGAATTAGGCCCTTTCTATTGACCAATGCTGGCTGCAGGCTTTGCAGTTTTCAGTGCACCTCACCGATTTGCTGAGCATACTTCTCAGATGTAATGGTTTCACTGGGTTTCAGAAAGCTGTAGTGGATCAGACTGGCAGCAGACCACCAAACAGTGACCATGACCTTTTTTTGGTGCAATTTTGGCTTTGGGAAGTGCTTTGGAGCTTTTTCTTGGTCCAGCCACTGAGCTGGTCATTGCTGGTTGTTGTATAAAATCCACTTTTTGTCACATGTCACAATCCAATCGAGAAATGGTTCATTGTTGTTGCATAAACTTCTGGAACCACCACTGCACTGTACGTTCATTAGCAGTTCTGGGCCAGATGCACTGTTGATGTTGCAAGTTGTCTCCTCTGCTTTACGACCCATTTTGAACTCAACGAAGAAAATTGCTTTTTGTCTAACATCATTTCTGTAGTCTAAAATAAACATAAACAGAAAGTAATGTTATTAGCCAAAAAAGTGAGAAATACCCATTAAAATGATGTATAACATAACCACATTTATTTAAGAATGTATTCCAATATCAAATGGCAAATTTTAACAATGCAAAAACCACAATTACTTTTGCACTCACCTAGTATTATTTTAATTTCAGCACAGTGCTGAGCACACAGCCACTGTCCCCAACCATTTCTGTCATTATTTAAATGAAGACCACTCGAAAATTCTGTTCCCTAATCATCACAGGATTTCTATGTGGGATAATTTGGAGATGGATTTCTTTAATTTTTTTTCAAGATAAAGAGCTATTAAATTAGAAGTGTGTGTGTGTGTGTGTGTGTGTGTTTAACTCATTGTATGACATGGATCACTAAGGCCTGTTTTAAGGGAGTAATGGAAGTCATCCGGGAACACTAAAATTAACCACCTCACAATATTCCAAACTAATGGGAAATGCATGACTAATTCTATTCTGATATGGGACACCAATGCTACATAAAAATTATTTCAAAAATTTTAAAAGGAGTATTTTTTAAAATTAATGTTTTTAAAATTACCTTTTAAAATTCTAGATGAAAAATTCCTTTAAAGGTGTTAGAGATTACTAAATAAGAATGAACATATTTTGTGGAGAACTTATGTTGTACAGTGTATTATTTTGTACTCCAAATATCAGTTGTCAGACACATGCCCAAAATAATCTCTGACACAAGGTATCCAAGTTCATACTGTCTAATTTGTAAAACTTGATTCTCAGAGAGGGCTTCAGTGTGTTATTTAGAAGCTCACATCTTTGTCTCAACTTTTCATACATGCAAACGTAAAATTTGAATAACAGCCTGTGGAAAAAGCAACTTCCTCACATCATTCACCAATCACAAGCCTCCCTTCTTCCTTATATATGCACACACTTAACCTTCAAGTTTTTTTTTTTTTTTTTTTTTTTTTTTTTTTTTTTTTTTTTTTGAGGCAGAGTTTTGCTCTTGTTGCCCAGGCTGGAGTACAATGGCACGATCTTGGCTCACCACGAGCTCTGCCTCCCAGGTTCAAACCATTCTCCTGCCTCAGCCTCCCGAGTAGCTGGGATTACAGGCACGCGCTACTGTGCCTGGCTAATTTTGTAGTTTTAGTAGAGACGGGGTTTCTCCATGTTGGTCAGGCTGGTCTCGAACTCCTGACCTCAGGTGATCCACCCGCCTCAGCCTCCCAAAGCACTGGGATTACAGGCGTGAGCCACTACGCCCGGCCTTCAAGTTTTATTTATTTATTTTGAGATGGAATCTTGCTCTGCTGCCCAGGCTGGAGTGCAATGGCACAATCTCAGCTCACTGCAACCTCCACCTCCCAGGTTCAAGTGATTCTCCTGCCTAGCCTCCCGAGTAGCTGGGATTATAGGCACCCACCACCACGCCCGGCTAATTTTTGTATTTTAGTAGAGATGGGGTTTCACCAGTTGGTCAGGCTGGTCTCGAACTCCTGACCTCAGGTGATCCTTCTGCCTCAGCCTCCCAAGTGCTGGGATTACAGGCGTGAGCCACCATGCCCGGCCATCTTTCAAGTTTTTTAAAATGTTGTTTTAACAACATCAACTGGAAAAGCATGGAAATAGTTAAGAATGCACTTTGTATCCATTTGGGTTTACTTTATTTTGATAACAGGGTTTTCATCATCACTTCTAAATTATTTATGAGGTAAAAGAAAAGTAGCATGTCATAGTAGAAAGTGCCCTGGGTTAGGATCCAGGGGGCCTGGGTTCTGGTCCTGACTGTACTCTGCTACTACCTACTGGACAAGTCTCTTAAACTTTTACTGATCCCCCTTTTTCAACCAGTAAGACAGGTTGTATTCGATCATTGTTTCCCAAAGTGTGCTTCATTCATGAGTATTAAATGCTAAAGAAAGTTTGGGAATATTGGATTAAGCCAAGTTAAAGATTTTCTTTAATGTAGGATTTCTCAGAAGTTTTAACATGCCAATGTGTATTGTGGATTTTCAAAGTAGAAATGCATTATGCAGGATCTCCTAAATTTGCCTGACTAAAGAACTCTTTTACTGAAAAGCACTTAATAGAAGCACTGTCAAGAATTGCTGAACCCAGAGATCGCTGAATTACTGTCCAATACCATGATTCTATCATGATTTCCAGGCCATTGTTCTAATCCTTTAGGGACTACACTCACATCTTGGTATGAGACTTTAGGTCTACTGTCCTGAAAATTTGTCCAGGAAGCCAGAGATGCAAGTAAATGGGTCTAAAATATGTTCAGTAATGCAAACTTGTATCCTAAAATATTTCAGAAGGGAAATACAGACATGCCATTACATGATTATCATTTTTTAGTAAGATACAATTTTTTGGATCACAGGAATGAAAAGTTCTAGATTTTACATTAATATTTTGCTCTGACTTTACTAAAGATATTAAAATAAGAGTAAATTTCTATTTTTTAAAGGATAATTGTTAAAGCTATTACAATGAGAAAGTGATTTATAAAGAAAGCAAGTCTTTAAAGACAAATAGAATTTTAAATTAACTCTTCCTTCTAATTTTTGAAGAGTGATATGTTTACCCATTATTTGCAATTCAAAAAATTATATGTGTACTTGCTAACCTGCCACATTGTGATTTTTGATATTCATTTGAAGTAAATTCACCAAATTAACCATAATGATATCTGTTTTTTGGGTTCGTTTGTTTGTTTGTTTGTTTAAAAGGGTCTCGCTCTGTTGCTCAGGCTGGAGTGCACTAATATTGATTATGGTTCACAGCAGCGTCAACCTCCTGGGCTCAAGAGAGCCTCCCACCTCAGCCTCCCAAGTAGCTGGGACTATAGGTACATGCCACCATGCCCAGCTAAGTTTTAAATTTTTTGTAGACAGGGTCTTGCTATGTTGCCAAGGCTGATATCAAACTTCTGAGCTCAAGCAATCCTCCCACCTTGGCCTCCCAAAGCACTGGGATTACAGGCATGAGCCACCGTGCCCAGCCAGAAGCATAAGATATTATACTTCATGGATCAGTAAAATATATATTTTCTTTCTTTCTTTCTTTCTTTCTTTCTTTCTTTCTTTCTTTCTTTCTTTCTTTCTTTTTCTCTTTCTTTCTCTTTCTTTTCTTTTTCTTTCCTTCCTTCCTTCCTTCTTCCTTCCTTCCTTCCTTCCTTCCTTCCTTCCTTCCTTCCTTCCTTTCTCTCTGTCTCTCTTTCTTTCTTTCTCTCTTTCTTTTTTTTTTTTTCTTGAGACAGACCCTTGCTCTGTCACCCAGGTTGGAGTGCAGTGGACCGATCTCGGCTCACTGCAACCTCCGCCTACCAGTTTCAATCAATTCTCCTGCCTCAGCCTCCTGAGTAGCTGGGCATGCACTACCACACCTGGCTAATTTTGTATTTTTAGTAGAAATGGAGTTTCATCGTGTTGGTCAGGCTGGTCTCGATCACTCTGGACCTTAGCTGATCTGCCTGCCTTGGCCTCCCCAAATGCTGGGATTAAAGGCCTGAGCCACTGTGCCCCTCCACTAAGATATATATTTCTAAAAACATTGGAGAATGTGGGAGTTCCCAACCTTTTTTTATTTAGGCCAGGTAGGGTATATTTAAAAGCAACTGAAAAAAAAAAAAAAAGCAACTAGCATCTACTATTTCCATAAGATAAAAACATAACATTTTAGCACCATAAATTTAGGAAAGACAACATCAGAATAAAAAAGGATAGTTATTTAGGCTGGGCATGGTGGCTCATGCCTGTAATCCCAGCACTTGGGGAGGCCGAGGAAGGCGGGTCACTTTAGGTCAGGAGTTTGAAACCTGCCTGGCCAACATGACGAAACCCTGTCTCTACTAAAAATTCAAAACTTAGCTGGGAGGGGTGGTAAAATTCAAAAATTAGCTGCTCCTATAATCCCAGTTATTTGGGAGGCTGAGGCAGGAGAATCGCTTGAGCACAGGAGGCGGAGGTTGCAGTGAGTCAAGATCTCCCCACGGCACTCCAGCCTGGGCAACAGAATGAGACTCTGGAGAGTTATTTGAATGTTAGCTTCATAAAAGGTCAGCTACATTGCTCCCTTTTTCATCAGTTTCACGTAGATTAGGGAAAGCTTCACCACACAACTCCTCTGGTCCAGGGACCAGCCACTGTTTCAATCAGGTGTGAAGAGCCTCCTTGCCTGGAAGGCCGAGGTCCTGGGAGACAAATGTCCCGCCCTAGGCAATAGATCTCCTGAGGCCACCTCTAAGCTGCAGTGTTTGGGAGAAAAGTTGGGTTATGTTTGTTGATTGGTTGGTTCTGTTTTCAATATTGCTTGCTATTTCTTTTATGTTGTTTCTTTCTCTTAACACCCTTTTCTTTCTCATTTTTCCTTCATTGTTACACAATCTATTCTCCTGAATCCATTACCTTAATTGGAAAACTCAGAATAAAAATTACACAACACTTTTTTAAATCCAGCAGAGCCAGTCAGGGAGAAGCTGATTTCTCCATGGGAGGAAGTCAGGGGACGAGGGATAGAACAAGGTAGAATGGTTGTCCTAAATGCCCTTTTTGAATTTGGCACATTACATTCTTTCACCATTGCCTCAGCCTTTGCATGCTCAGCAAGGAAGCACTTTGAGTCAATTATTCTTTGAAATGTTTCTTTCAGTGCCACTGTGAGTTGGTGACATTTTCCTTGGCTGCCTCTCATGACCTATTTATAGTACCTGTTTTAAAAATATGCCTGGTTTGACACTTCAGAGTCTATCAGAAGTATGGGAACATGAATAAAAAAGGGTATGAAAATTAGCAAAAAATAAACAAACCTATACACACACACACACACACACACACACACACACACACACACACACGGGTTTTATGACTACTCCTAGATTATTTGTTTGTGTGTATATATATATATATAATAGATTATTTGTGTGTGTGTGTGTATATATATATGTATATATATATATGTAAAATCTGGGAGTAGTCATAAAAGTCTAGATTTCTCTGGTCTTCAATAGCAGAGTCAAGGTGAGAGCTACTGAGCTATATCTCAGTTTCTCCATTTGTCAATGTCCAAGAGGCAAAGAAGAAGTCAGTCTGAAGAGGCACAAAATGGGGACCCACACAAGTTCATTTTGCCCCTTCTGCGTGAGCAAACACACCTATATGACCAACTCCAGCCCTGAAGGAGAAGCGACTCTCAGAGTATGGAGAAGACATTCTTTAACATTATCAATGTTGGTCAACATGAGCTCTCAACCCAGAGCACCCTTGCCCACATGTTATGAGTCCCCCGTGCTGAGAAGGCATTTTACTGATCATATTGCCTTCTCTTCTAGATTCTGGGTTTTTCACAGATCCAGCCTGTAGCTACTTTCTTCAACCTCATTTATGCTCTCTTTCTTTTTGTTTTGAAACAGAGTCTCACTTTGTCACCCAGGCTAGAGTGCAGTGGCGTAATCATACCTCATTGCAGCCTCAAACTCCTCAGCCCAAGCAATCTTCCTGCCTCAGCCTCCTGAGTAGTTGGGACTACAGGTGCGTGCCACCATGCCCAGCTGATTTTAAAATATTTTGTGGAGACAAGATCTCCTATGTTGTCCACGCTGGTTTCTAACTCCTGTCTTCAAGTGATCCTCCCACCTTGGCTTCCCAAAGTGTTGGGATTACAGGTATGAGCCATTGCACCTGGCTCCCCCATCTGTGGTCTCTTGATGGGCAGACAATACATTTCATGCAGAAGGAGCAAAAACATGGCTGGATCAACTATACTTTCTGGGTAGGTTACCTGTGTTTTGGAAACATTTTCCAATTATATCAAGTTAGGTAAAATTCCATTCATTTCATCATGAAGCAAATGATACATGAATTCAATATTTTTCCTTTATTCTTTCCTTACAGCTCTTAATTATCTGCACATAATCATTTGGAAATATTTTTATTTATATTTCAATATAAATAGAGTCCTCTGGTTCAAAATTTCAAAAATGGAAAAGGCAACCCAGTAAATGGCCTCCTTCTGTCCACGCCCCCAGTCATCTAGTGCCTGTTGCCAGAGGCCTTCAGAGTTTCCAGTTTCTTGTCTATTCTCTTGGGGAAGGGGCTGGGGAAGGACTTCTTTTGTTCATCCACAAGGTTTACCTGAAAAGTGTTTTTTCCCTAACTCTCCTGGCCTCGGCCCCCATCCCTTTCTCCTCTCCTCAGAAAATAATGAGTTATATGATTGATGAGGGTGGCAGAAAAATTGGTGCACGAAGCTTAGTTATTTCGTGCCCTTCCTTTTTGGAGCAAGGTGACTCCAGCAAACAGACTTTTTGCTCTCCAATCATGTTTAAGCATGGACAAGAGTGGCCCTCACATGGGGAGGGTTGTGGGGGCCCAGCCCAAGTGAATGAGACTGCCTAGTTCTTGGGTTTAGTACTGGGGAATCTACTGTTGGCGCATACCTGAGTTGTGTTCTCTGACATGAGCTTTATCAATAATAAAAGTAATATTTTGAATTCCCATTGCCATTCTTTGTTTTCTATCAACCACAATGTATATAGACACAGAGATATAGACACTTGTAATTTTCCCCTCCTTTCCTTTAAAAAATTAAGTGATGGTGTACTAAATATCTTGCTCTCCATCTAGGAGATCATTTGTTATCAGTACATAGAGTATATTCTCATTTTCCTTTCTGGATGCATGGAATTCCCTTGTGTGGGAAGATCATTATTTAATCAGTCCCATATTAATGAACAGTAAGGCTATTTTCAATGTTTTGGTATTACTAATGTGCTGTAATGAATGACTTTGTACAGATGTCATTTTCCATACATGCAAATATTACCTACCTGACAAAATACAATAATTAGAATTACTGGGTCAGGCTGGGCACAGTGGCACATGCCTGTAATCCCAGCACTTTGGGAGGCCGAGGTGGGTGGATTGCTTGAGCCCAGGAGTTCAAGGCTGCAGTGAGCCATGATTGCATCACTGCATTCCAGCCTGGGTGACACAGCAAGACCCTGTATCTAAAAATGAATGAATGAATGAATGAATGAATGAATGAATGAATGAATAAAATAAAAAGAAAAAAAAGAATTGCTGGGTCAAAAATGTGCATGTGTATTTGGATGCATTTCTGCCTTTGTAATTAGTCCACTGAGCAGTCTACCTTACCATATAACATTATTCAACTGGCTTTATAGTACATTTTAATATCTACTGTAGTATTTTTTAAATGACTTTGTGCTATTTCTTGCTGTTTAAGTCAATCAAAATTGTATAAAATTTATGCACCTAGTTAAGGAGAATTGACATCTTAATGAAGCTATTTCTTCATTATGATGCCTTTTTAGTTATTCAAGGCTCCTTTTGTGTCTCTTAGTAGAGTTTTAAAGTTTTCTTCATAGAGATCTTGAATAATTCTTCTTAATACTTTACCCCCAAGTATTTGTTATTTTAAATTTTTTATTTTTCCTTCTTATTAAAAAATTCAAGCTTACCAGAAAGTTGCAAAAATAGTACAAAGAACTCCCATACTCCTCTTGCTCAGATTCACCAAGTTTTAACATGTTGCCATATTTATTTTATTATCTCTTTCTCAGTATAGATACATTTTTTTCTGACCCATTGGAGAGTATGTTACTTTTATCATGCCCCTTTACCTGTTAATTCTTCCATGTGTATTTCCTACAGACAAAAATATTTCTTATGTTGTAATAATACAGTAATCAAACTCAGGAAATTTAAAATTGCTATATGCTATTATTTAATCTGCAGCCCATATTCCAATCTCATTAATTGTCACAATAATGTCATCTGTAGCAATTTCATTCTTTCTTGGGACAGGATCAGTCGCGGATCATTGGTTATCATGACTCTTCACTCTCTTTAGAGGACGTTCCTCAGTCTCTCTTTGTCTTTCATAAGAATGTCTTTGACTTTCATAAGACATTTTGGAGAAGGCAGGTCAGTTGTTTTATAGAATTTTTTCAGTTTGGGTTTGTCTGATGGTTTCTCATAGTCAGATTCAGGTATGAACTTTTGGCTGGAAAACAATATGAATGCTATTGTGTTCTTGGGGTATCATATTCACAGGCTTATTTATTTCTTATTTTAGCAATATTAATTTTAATAATTAACCCATTTGTTTCTTTTATTATTATTATTATTTTTTTGGACAGAGTCTCACTCTGTTGCCCAGGCTGGAGTGCAGTGGCATGACTGCAGCTCACTGCAACCTCTGCCTCCCAGGTTCAAGTGATTCTCCTGCCTCAGCCTTCCAAGTAGCTGGGATTACAGGCAGGCACCACCATGCCCAGCTAATTTTTGTATTTTTAGTAGAGATGAGGTTTCACCACGTTGGCCAGGCTGGTCTTGAACTCCTGACCTCAAGTGTTCCACTCGCCTTGGCTTCCCAAAGTGCTGAGATTACAGGCATGAGCCACCGCACTCAGCCCTACTTTGTGTTGTAATTCGTTGTGATATATATATGCATGTGTGTATGTGTGTGTGTATATGTTTATACATGTACATATAAATATGTAAATATATATCTTTCTGTCATTCCTTCTGATATTAATTCTGTATCCAACTATTTGTTTAAAGAAATGGGTCTCTCACGTTTCTGTACATCTTGCAAGCAGAGGCTCTGCCTGCCTGGGTCCAGACACTTTTTTCACGTTGTTGTAGTGAACAGTCAAGGAAGATAGAGATAGTCCCTTCCTCTCAAGCAGGGGAAAAGTTCATTTACTGTCCAGAATTGTGGTCCTTGAAAGTCACCTGTGTTAGGTACTTGGACTTTTGAATCACTTGTAGTCTGATATTAGTATACTTTTTATCATAAAAGTGACTGTCACAAAATTAGCCACTCAACAATAGGCTGATTGTGAAGAAATTCAATGGACCTTCCATGTTCTCTACCATTCACAGGCATCTGGTATCATTGAGTGTTAGAATGGCCTCCTAAAAAACCCACTCAAAAAGATTTCTAATTCTCCTTCCTTCACCTCCTACCACTCAACACACCTTAGTGAGGCAATCTGATCAATTAACGCAGCTATTTCCCAAAAGGAGTCATTTCCTCTCAGTCACTCCCTGGGTGATGACCAGAGGTGAAGGGCTATGTAGACTTAGTGGGATTCTGTCCCGACCATTCTTGGGCACGCTTCTTTCTTTCTTCTAAGAGCAACCAGGGCCAGCCTGTTTGGCACACCCTCCGAGCGACAACTAGCCAAAAGGGGGCACAGAAGAGTCAAACTTAATTCTGACTCAGGCACTGGGATTCTCTTTTTGTATTGACATGATCCTAGATCATAAAGATAATGACCACTAAGTTAAGCACACTGCTTGCCAAGTCCCCATATAGTGGCCCAGGTTGGCCAGAGTTTGTGATGTAATAGGCCTCTGTAAGTTTTGTCCATCTTGCACTTGACCTTTTCAACAAAATGATGAGTAAAAGCAGGGATATGACTGGAAAAGAAGGTGAAGACATAGCCACTGGACTGGATTTTGTAGCAATGGAAGAGGGAGCAAAAACCTTAGCACCTGCAGAGGGAACACCCTAGATCCTAGTGGTATGGGGAAGAGAGGGACATTAATATTTCTTTTTCTTTTCTTTTCTTTTCTTTTCTTTTCTTTTCTTTTCTTTTCTTTTCTTTTCTTTTCTTTTCTTTCTTTCTTTTCTTTCTTTCCTTCTTTCTTCCTTTTTCTTTCTTTCCTTCTTTCTTCTTTCTTTATTTTTTTAAGAACCACCCTGGAGCCTTCCCCATGAAGGAAAATGCTCAAAAATGCTCTGATGTGGCTCTCCTATGAACAGTGAGAAAGGGATGACAGAGTAGAGATAATTACTTTCTTAAGTTCTTATTTATCAGAGAGGCTGAGGGGAAGGACAGAAAGCTAAATTTTCATCTTCCATGGTGGGAAATTAATAGATGATGCCTAACCCCATAATTTTTGTTAGGTCCATATTCAGGTTTATTTTATTATGACTATTAAACCTTATCCATAGATAAGCCAGGTAGTAAACTAGGATTACTTTTTTTTTTTTTTTTTTTTTTGCTGTGCAATTTTTTGCAGAATGCCAGAGGGGTTGGGATCCAGTATACAAGTGGAGAATATGGCCCTAAAATTAGTTTTCTATATACTTTACACTAATTTAACTCTAAAATCTCCATGATTATCTAAATCTTTTTTTCAGAACTTTCATCAGTGGTTATGTATACTCTCGCTCTGACAAACTTGGTTCATCTGCTGTAATTGGAAAGATTCTGGCAGAGTATATGCATATAGATGAAGGTAGATTTGTTGAAGGAATGCCAAAAAAGTTATTTTATGATTGCAGCTGTTTTCTGAGTGAAATAAAAAGCGAGTTCATCAGTGAGAGTGAGAAAGGGCAAGAGGCTCGAAATTTAAGAAGAGGGAAGAAAGTGTGCAACAGCTGTAGAGGAAACTGAGTAAATAAACACAGGAAATGAAATAGGATTTTTCAGGCATACTGGAAGCCCTCTTGAGATTTGTGATCACTCATTTAAAGTAATGACCCTCAGCATATTGGGTGGTTTTATCCAGTCATGTTCAGTTTCTCAAATTTGGGGACAGAGTAGGCAGGGCATTAGACCAGGGCTATAACGTTGCTGGGCAAGGACAACAGAGGGCAGAGGGACTAGGAGTGGAGTTTTCCTGCAGGAGAATGATGATGATCATGATGATGATGATGGATCATGGCTTCTAAGCTGGGTAAGGAAGGAAATGAGAACATGCAGTTTCCTGCATGGACCTTGGTGTGTCGGAAAGAAAAAAAGAGAGAGAGAGAGAGAGAGGGAACATGAAGGGATTGCTGGACAGTGAAAAGATTGGAGGGTGGATGGACTGGATATTCTGGTGAGGGCAAAGAGTTGCTGGAGTGACAGTAGTTGAGGAAGTCAACTGAAAACATAGAAGGTACCAGAGCAGAGCCATTGAAATCAAGGATTAGATGGTGTTGCAGTTGTTGGTAGTGGGCAGTGTCTATATATGGCCATAAATGAGGTCAAGATGACAAATGTGGCAGGATCCTACAACTGCTTGAGCAAAGGACAATAATGGCATTTTAAGAACATTTGCTTGGTGTTGGCTAACTACCTATTTTAATGAGGAATTTCATTTATAAACTGGTTGTAGATAACTAAAGGGAAAAAAGCAACCCACCTAAGTTAATGTTACTCCAAGGAACAGAAGCCATTTAACAAAATCTCTAAAGATCTATCAACAGATAAATGGATAAATAGAACATTGTACATCCATAAAACAGAGTATATTTTATCAATAAAATGGAATATTGATACATGCTACAACATAGATGAACCTTGAAAACACTATGCTAAGTAAAAGATGCCTGTTATGAAAGACCATATATTGTATAACTCCGTTTATATGCAATGTCCAGAATAGGCAAATCTATAGAGACAATATAGATTGGTGATTTCCTAGGGCTGAGGGAGGGAGGATGGAGAGAAATGTGGAGTGATTGCTAATAGGTATAGGGGTAATGAAAACATTCTAAAATTGTGGTGGTAGTTGCATAACTCTATGACTACACTAGAAACCATTTAATTGTATACTTTCAATAGGTGAACTGTGTGATATGTGAGTTATATCTCAAACCTATTATTTAAAAAAAATCTTTAAATAATCAGTAGCTGAGTAAGACATCTGAGAAAATTGAGATTCAAAGAGAGTCAATGATTTGCTTAAAGTCCACTGCTAGAGCCAGTACTTAAACTGGGTTTGTGAGGTCTGGGACCAAACTCCTAACTTTACAATATGTGTTATATTGACACTGCTGATTTAATGTTTGACTTATTTTCCCTGTCTATTGTCTCTTCCTATATTATGAGTAAGTTATTTCAAGGGTAGTGAGAGGACACCTTTATGAGGTAAAATGACCATCCTCAGCAGAAATATGCTGACAAAAAGTAGAGAGGAGCTGAAAGTGAGGCAAGGAGGGTAATTCTCTAAACTTGGAACTGTCTCTTCTAATGTGTGATTGCAATGAATTATTTTGTGTGTTTGGAGCCCTTGTATTCACTATATTGTATTCTTTCCTTTATTAATCCAACAAAAAAAAGTTTTGGGTATTTGCAATGTGCCAGACAATTTTTTCTATAATTTAAGAGAAATTACCAGTGTCTACCTACTTTTTGCTCTTAAAAATTCCAAGCTTGAACTTATTGGTAACTGTGCTTAACCAGAAATTTGTGCTCTCAAGTTCTGTACATTATGTCCAATTCTCTAAACCTATATGGAATAAATTTTCCCTAAGCTTTTGTTAAAAACAATTTCTAGTAAAGAGAATGTTTGAAATTGTCAGACAGAACTTTTGATTTTTTTTTCACTTTTAAACATTTTTGGTAAGGGTATGTTGGTTATTTTAGTATTTGTGTTGCTTTTTATGGAAATGCTGTGGATTTTAGCATCCATTAGCATTGTTAAATATAGTAAAATCTACTTATACATCTGTACAAAAGAGATTCAGTATATGGAAATATCTATCTGTCCGATCTCTCTCTCTCTCTCTATTCTACCATCTATGATATTTTAAGCTTATAAACTCTTATACCCATTATATAATCAATATAGTGATAAGATCATAAGAACTGATAGTACCTTAGAAATGCTCCAGTCTAGTTTATTCTGTATCATAGTTGGGGAAACTGAGGCTCAGAGATACTCAATTGTGCTATGAAAATCTGCCCTTTGGAGGTCTATCGTCTCCACCTAGCTTTATTTTTCAACATAGTGTTGTAAAGGCATTTGCGACGAGTGCTTCCAGATTTTCTACCAAGAGAATCTTAAGTGAGGAAACTAGATGGAAACAGGGGATTGAAGTTGCCTTTTTTTTTTTCACCTTACAAGATTTTGAGAAAATATCGGTTACGAACATCAAAGAAAACAAGTGAGGCTAAAGACCCCCAAATACCCTTCTTCTAATGGCTCCATTAGAATTTACTTATTTATTTTTTGTATTTATTTTATTTTATTTTATTTTTCTGAAATGGAGTCTTGCTCTGTTGCCCAGGCTGGAGTGCAATGGCACCATCTTGGCTCACTGCAACCTCTGCCTCCCGGATTCAAACAATTCTCCTGCCTCAGCTTTCTGAGTAGCTGGGACTACAAGAGTGTGTCACCACGCCCGGCTAATGTTTTGTATTTTTTTGTAGAGATGGGGTTTCGCCATGTTGGCCAGCCTGATCTCGAACTCCTGATCTCAGGTGTTTTGCCTGCCTCAGCCTCCCAAAGTGCTGGGATTACAGGCGTGAGCCACTGTGCCTGGTTAACCATTAGAATTTATTATTGTTGTTTGTTTATTAAAGGTTTCATTAGTCAATCTTAACACCCAATCTCCAAATTTATTTTGTGTTTTCTCATTACAAAAGCAATATATACACTCATTACAGGAAAATTAGGTAAGGAAAAAGAAAAAACTCTTAGTCCCACACCATTAGAAGCATCCATTTTTAACCTCTTATGTTCACATATTTGTAAGTATACTTTTTTTTTAACAAAAATGGGATTGTTGTAAATTGCTTCTAAATCTTTCTATGCCAATATGTATATTTTTGTGCTTGTTGTTTTTTTTTGTTGATTTGTTTTTATTCAGAAAAATACTTCCAAGACAGCCAAGATCTTCACTGAACAATGAATGAGCTGTATTCTTTTATTCAGCAGATGATGGTCACATACTTGCTATGTGCTATCTGCTATGCCTGGTTCAAGGAAGGTACAATGGTGAACAGGACAGATGTAGTCTTTATATTCTAATAAGGGACACAAGCAATACACAAGTAAACATATCAAATAAATATCGATCAGGTTAAAATATATGAAGTTGATAAAAAGAGAGCTGCAAAAGAGTGTCACAGGGCCAGACTCCATCATACCCACTCTCTACTATTTCATTGAAGAGGGATTAAAAAAAGGTGAATCCACCTGACCAAAGTTGTGTTTGTAATCAATGATTCAACTAATTTATTTTTATTTTTATTATTTTAGATTCAAGGGGTACGTGTGCATGTTCGATACATAGGTATATTTTGTAATGGTGGGGATTGGGCTTCTAGTGTACGTGTCTCCCAAATATTTAACATTATATCCAATTGGTAATCTTTCAACCCTCATCCCATTCCCTCCTTCCCCCAGTTTGGAATCCCCAGTGTCTATTGTTTCCACCTTTCTGTCTGTATGTACCCATTGTTTAGTCTACTCTATATCCATGTGTACCCATGGTACTCCTATTTATAAGTGAAAACATGCAATATTTGATTTTCTGTTTCTGAGCTAGTTCACTTAGGATAATGGCCTCCAGCTTTATCCATGTTGCTGCAAAGGACATATTTCATTCCTTTTTATGGAAAATTGGATTAAAAAAGAAGACCCAACCATCTGCTGCCAATAAGAGATTTACTTACTGGCTAAAGATACCTTCAGATAGGCACCAAATTTACTAAGAATGACTGGGAGAAGCCTCTGAAGAGGTGACACTACACAGACACATGGAGGGTGAGAAGTTTCCAGTTGTGTGATGAGCCTTCCAGGCAAAGGCATTTCATTAAGGCCTTGAGTGGTGGAAAGAGCTTAATGCACCGAAGTTCAATCAGGGAAAAATCATATGGATTGAAAAAATGATCTGAGGTGACATCTCATGCATTAATTTAATGAATGTTGGCAAAATCATTTTGATAATGTCGACCTTGACAATACAAGGTGGATGGCAGACAAGCATCCTCCTACAGCTAAGATGGGACAGAACCAAAGCCATAACTCAGAACTCAGTTCAGGACTTTCTACTACATTAGTTGAATCATTGATTACAAACACAACTTTGGTCAGGTGGATTCACCTTTTTTTAATCCCTCATCAATGAAATAGTAGAGAGTGGGTATGATGGAGTCTGGCCTAGGTTTGAATCTCAGCTCCATACCAGTGTAATCTTGGACAAATTATTTAATCATTTTGCATCTCAGTTCTCATTTATAAGGTGGCCATAATGTTCCTTGCCTTATGGAGCCATTATGAAGATTAGATGTGGACAAGTGCTTAGCACAGTGCCCAGCACATAGCAAACCCTCCAGAACTTCTTAACAAATTCATCAGAGAATGTTGCTTTAGATTAAATCTATTTATAATCTGTTAAATAAATTTTATTTGCATGTTACTCCCAAAGGTATTGAGGTTATAAGAAGAAAGTTAACATTGTTACGTGACTATGCTTGGAGATACAGGGTATTTTAAAATTTCCTAGTATTTTAAAGCCAAACAGTTACAATGTTTTAGAAATTGACTCCCTCATAGCAGCTCACAGAGAGCTCCTGGTCTATGTTTCTGCTTTGCTTAAAAGCATTTCTGTCCTGCTTTTGCACCAGTAACTGTCCTTTCTGAATCTATTCTCTTTTTTTCTAAACAGCATACTTTTGAATTAAGAAAAAAATATTGTAGAGAGTAGAATAATGGTTACCAGAAGCTGGAAAGGGCAGCTGGGGGTGGGTTGGGGGAAGTGGGGATGGTTAGTGCTTACAAAAAAATACTTAGAAAGAGTGAATAAGATCTAGTATTTGTTAGCATAGAAGGGTGACTATAATCAATAATAATTTAATTGTACATTTAAAAATAACTAAAAGTACATAATTGTATTGTTTGTTACAGAAAGGATAAATGCTTGAGATGATAGATACCCCATTTACCCTGATATAATTTTTATGCATTGTTTGCCTGTATCAAAATATCTCATGTACCTCTTAAATATATATACCTACCCTGCACCCACAAAAATTGAAAATTAAAAGGAAAGAAAGAAAAAAAATCTTGCAATACCAACCATATTTGAAAGGGAGGAGTGCTTATCAAGCTTGGTGCAGTGTTCTCTGCGGTCTAGGGCACTCTTGCCTTTGAGGGCCTTGCCCTGTCGGGGACACTGAGAGAAGACATGAAGCAGAA
Source organism: Homo sapiens (assembly GCF_000001405.40). NCBI lineage: Eukaryota > Metazoa > Chordata > Mammalia > Primates > Hominidae > Homo > Homo sapiens. The sequence goes on along the minus strand of NC_000004.12, from coordinate 98,822,277 downwards.
GAGCTGTACGCACAAGTAATGTTGCTACACCCAAGTGTGTGTTGTTACGTTTTGAAAAGCATACACACTTTTCTTTTCCAAAGCTAGGAGACACCTATAGTACATTTATTTGTTGGTTTTTCTTGTCTGTTCTTGAAATATTTTAATCAGAGGCTCAATCTATAATTTTCCCCGTTCTTAAAAAATTAATTTAGTTATAGGAGATATAACTAATCCCAATTCATAGAGAATAACTCTGTCCTGGACTAATAATATGGACAAAGGAGATTTTCCTTTTCTGTTACAGAATACTGTAGTAACTCCTTATAGTTTTCCCCTAATTTATCCAAATCACCTCTGCTTTATTTTGGGATGGAGAAGAGACTAATATTTAAATAACACCTATAGCTTCTGTTGCCCCCAGCCAACACAGAGAGTCATGTAGAAATAGCATCTACTTTCACCTTTCTTTCTTCACACACACACACACACACACACACACACACACACACACACACACGCACACACGCACAGGGAGAACGTGGGATATAAATCAACATTTTGAGAGATGAGTAGAGGAAGAGAGCTTAAAGAAAAAGGGATTGAAATGGAAGTGCAGAGGAGAGACAGTGAGGGCTCAGTATTTATGAGAGTGAAAGAGAGATTGAGAGAGCAAATGGAAATGAGTCATAGCAAAGGAGGAGAAAATACAGAGATGGGAAAACAGCAAAACAGAAAAAAAAAGGGACACAGGGAAAGAAAATTAGACAAGCACTTGATTTTCTTTTGAGTCATTGATAACAGCTTACACCACTCTTTCCTTTTTTGGGAAGTCTCCTGTCTTCTACATAGGTTCTTTATGGTCCTAAAATGCTGCTTATATGGTTAGTCCTCATACATATTTCAATAACTGCTATAATCCTTAACTCTTTAAAGTTCAATCCTGAACAGCCCTGTACAGTGAAAATTATTTTCAAGATGTCTCATTAACACAGTATTATCTTGACCTGGTCCCTTAAAGCTCAAAGTTTCTTGCTCCTTCAGTACAAGATAGAGTTGAATTCAAATTCCTTAACTTGGAATCTAAGGACTTGCCTAATTGATCTCTGCTTATCGCCCACATTATCCTAGCAAAAAAACTCAGCTACTTCAACATAGCCAGACTGCTCTTTCTCCTCCCACTTTGGTGCCTTCCCCTCCTTCCTGGAATCGGCTTCCTTCCCATCTTCCATCTTCTCCTTTGGGGTCTTGACCAAAACTTGCCTCTTCAATGGTCTTCTCTGATCATTTCAGCCCAAGGCAATCTTTTTCTCCGCTGAAATCCTATAACATTTATAGTTTATACAATTAATTTGGCATTTAATCACATATGGCATTGCCTTTTATTTCTAGTTCTAACTGGATTATAGCTTCCTGACAGCAGAGTTGGGTCTTATCATTTGTTTTATAAGGTAGCACCTTGCAAAGTATTCTGGCAGGGGCTGAGACTGTGCCAGCCCCAATTCTTTCATGTGTAAAGTGGAAATAGTAATAGTTCCTCTACTAAGGTGAGATTTAGGTGAGATTATGAATACAAAAGAAATTTACTCAATACCAGAACATAATAATTGGTTCTAAAATGCTAACTTTTAAAATAATAAAAATAAAAAAGGTTAATAATTTAACAATTAATTAACCTTTTATTTACTATATTACTATTATAATCCCTGTTATTTGATAAATTCAGAAAGACAAAAATTTCTTCTTCTTTATGGGGGTATTTCTAGAGCTTAACTTGTTTGTCATTTCCTTGGGTTTCATTGCCTTCTCTAGTTGGTTAGAGGTCATTCAACAGGCTTTGACAAGGTCCATTTTGTATGCTGGAGGTGTCTATACCAAATTACCTGTCAGGCTCCTCTCGTCTATGACAGTTTCTTAGACCTTCCTTGTTTTTGGTGACCTCCATGGTTTTGGGGAGCACAGGTCAGGTATTTTGCAGAATGTTCTTCTTTTGGGATTTTCTGATGTTTTTCTCATGATTAGATTGAGGTTGTGAGTTTGGGGAGGAAACCCATAAAAAGTGCCATTTTCGTCATATACTATTGACATGGCCTATCATTGATATTGACCTGAATCATCTAGCTGAGGCAGTATTTGTCCAGTTTCTTCCACAACCCCTTTCCATATCGTACTCTTTGCAAGGAAGTTACTATGCACAGCTTGCCTCTAAGGTCTAAGGAGTTATGACCTGCCTTTTGAGGGCAGAATCTCTACATAAATTATTTGAAATTTGTCTTAGTCTATTTTCTGCTGTTATAACAGAATACAATAGACTGAATATTTTATAAAGAACAGAGATTTATTTCTTACAGTGCTCGAGACTGGGAAATCCAAGATCAAGAGGCACATCTGGTCAGGGTCTTCTTAATGTGTCATCCCATGGTGAAAGGTAATAAAACAAGAGAGCACGAGGAAGCAGTCCAGACTAACCCTTTTATTAGGAACCCACTCCTGTGATAACTAACCCACTTCCACAATAACTATCTTACTCCCATGTAATGGCACTCATCCATTCATGAAGGCAGAGCCCTCATGACCTAATCACATCTTAAAGGCTCTACCTCTCAACACTGTTGCACTGGGGATTAAGTATCCAACACATAAACTTCGGGATGCATTCAAACCATGGCAGAATTCTTCTGCATGTGAGATTTGTCTCTTTTCCCTCATTTCTTTATTTATATCCATATGGACAAATGAATATTTATTTTATATTTTGGTTTATAATTGAGTACTACTTTATTTGTCTTGTTGCTCAAATTATTCCAGCTTTTGTCATTGGGAGTCCTTTCAGTTGGCTCCTGTGTTCTTGGTATCTCCATCATTATGTGTGTGTGCTTGTCAGGGAGGTGTTTGAGTACTTTCTTACTTTGTGGAGCTACAAAATGTTCTATGCTTATCTTGTATATTCTTGCATTAGTCCTAGAATCAGCCATTTCTCCAGGAGCCCTTTCCTTTAACTGATACCATTGCAGAATGGTATTAGAAACCAAGATTTGGGTTCCAGGGTTATTTTTATTTTATTGCTGAACTGTAAGACTTCTTTATTCAAGACACAAGTCCTTCATCATAGATATGATTTAAAAGTATTTTCTTCCATTCTTTGTGTGGCCTTAAGCACAAAAGTTTCATATTTTGATGAAGTCCAACTATCTATTTTTTTCTTTTGTCACTTGTGCTTTTGGTATCATAGCTAAGAGATCATTGCCTAATTAAAGGTGACAAAGATTTATGTCTATGATTTCTTCTAAGTGTTTTATAGCTTTAGCTTTTACATTTAGGTCTCTGATCCATTTTGTGTTAGTTTTTGCACGATGTGAGGTAATGGTCCAACTTCATTCTTTTGCATATGGATGTCCAGTTGTCCCAGCACCATCTATTGAAAAGACTATTATTTCCCCATTGAATTGTCTTTATAAGCTTGTCAAAAATGTAAGGGTTTATTTCTGGATTTTCAATTCTATTCCATTGATCTATATGTCTATCTTTAAGCCAGCACCTCACTGTCTTGATTACCATGGTTTTGTTGTGGCTTGATTCTTGCAATAATAAAATTAACATGCTGGGTTTTTTTTCTTGAAAGTGAAAGCAAATTTATTAAGAAAGTAAAGGAATAAAAGGATGGCTATTCCATAGGCAGAGCAGCCCTGGAGGGTGCTGGTTGCCCATTTTTATGGTTATTTCTTGATGATATGCTAAAAAAAAAGGGGGTGGGTTATTCATGCCTCCCCTTCTTAGACCATATAGGGTGACTTCCTGATGTTGCCATGGCATTTGTAAACTGTCATGGTGCTGGTGGGAGTGTAGCAGGGAGGATGACCAGAGGTCACTCTCTTGGTTTTGGTGGGTTTTAGCCAGCTTCTTTACTGCAACCTGTTTTATCAGCAAGGTCTTTATGACCTGATAAGCTGTATCTTGTGCTGACCTCCTATCTCATCTGGTGACTTAAAATACCTAACCATCTGGGAATGCAGCCCAGCAGGTCGCAGCCTTATTTTACCCAGCCCCTATTCAAAATGGGGTTGTTCTGGTTCAAACACCTCTGACATTTCCCCCTTCCCTTTTATAAGAGAATCCTTAATCTTAAGGGTTGTAAAGGGATAAAGATCCATATTCTGTAACTTCTTCAGGCTGAACAGGGGCAATGATATTCCTGCCTCTTGTATTCAGGGTAGAGTGGAACTCAGTCAGAAAGCATCAGTGTGGTGAGGGCAATTCGTAACTCTGAGTTCTCATAAAAGGTGATATCTGGAAGATTAGTAAGTGTTCAATTTAAGAAAACATTAAGTAAGCTTATCCTGCATTCCTACACAAAGAGTACAACAACAATATATTCCACAACAGTAAAGGAAAATTATCCCAAATAAACTAAATAGGTAGGCTTTTCATGAACTGGGCAACTGCTGGAACCAAGCTAATATGAGGTTGCTAGCTGATTCCAGTATCTGCCCAGAATTAGAATACTGATCTGAATTTTTACATTACCCATTCCTCTTGTTTTTTCTGAGCTGCAGTTAGAGATCACTGGTTGGTGTGCAGGAATAAGCAGAGTTAGTTAGTCTAAATTATAGACAAAAGCGTAAAACGTAAAAACAACCGATGAGACCAGAATTTAATAACAAGTGTACCATAGTTTTTGAAATATAATTTTTCTATCTCCAGTTTCCCATTTTTACTAATGAGAAATCATGGTAAGACTGATTTGCATTATTATACTTGGCCTGATTATTTGTATAAAGTTCAGCAAGAATGATTATTTTTCACATAAGCTCTTTTTATTTTATTAATTAATTAATTAATTTGAGGCAGAGTCTCACTCTGTCAGCCAGGCTGGAGTGCAGTGGCACAATCTTGGCTCACTGCAACCTCCACCTCCCAGGTTTAAGCAATTCTCCTGCCTCAGCCTCCTGAGTGGCTGAGACTACAGGCATAAGCCACCACACTCAGCTAATTTTTGTATTTTTAGCAGAGAGAGGGTTTTGCCATATTGGCCAGGCTGGTCTCAAACTCCTGACTGCAAGTGATCCACCCACCTCGGCCTCCCAAAGTGCTGGGATTACAGGTGTGAGCCACTGTGCCTGGCCACATAAGCTGTTTTTAAATTGTCTTTGATGGAACTCTGTTCCATAAGGAATCTCAGATAAGATTTTTAAAAAAAATCTGAGCCCAGCCATGGCTTTGTATACTCAAATACCTATGAGTTGGGTAAATTCCTCTCCTCTTGATGTCCCAAGATAACTTAAGCCTCCTGGGTTTGTCACAAAGTGACATTCTTCACTCACCACAGGTCAGGAACCTACACAGGGACTGTGTAGACAAGGTATGAGGCCAGTTTTCCCAAGGGGCTTTTCTTGGCTCTGTAAGTTGAGTTTGATTCCTTAAAGGAAAGCACACCATTCCAGTCAAATCCTTGGTAAAATAACCCGTTTCTCCAATTGTGTCCTGTTACAAATGAAAACAGATTCTTATTGTGCTTATACAAATAACTATATTGCCATAAGTTAAGAAAACAAATAGTTTCCATATTCTGGAGAAATCAAGTAGAGAAAAACATGTATGCTCCAAAGTTTGTTCATAGGCATATACATTACTCAATTGGTAAAAGCTGTCAATAACTCAAAAGAAAAGTTTCCTTGACTCTGAAAAACAAAAACAAAGGATTAGCAATGTTTTAAGCAAAAAGTCAAAAAGATTACTTCAGACTTCTATTAGTTTAGTCCATGCAGTTAACTCCTGTTCTGCTTGATATTCATGAACATTTCAGCTCTCCATGAGTGTCCTGAAAGTTTTTTCCTCTATTCTAATTTAATAATCTCCAAAGTTATCAGAAACCTGCATTTAAGAATGCCTGTTAGAGTTCTATAGTTGATTATAAAACCACCTTCTAAAGAGGATCAAAACAAGATGATTGTCTGTGGATGAAAAAAATGCCTTAGGGCAGCCTCTATTAAAGCCACAATTGACTAGGAATTTTGTTAATTCTGTGGCATACATCAATGTAATGTAACAATTATAACTATTAATAGCATACACTAAGTAATATCAGAATTATAAGAGTTTCCCATAATTTTGGAACACGTACCAATAACACATTTATACGAATAAAGCCCAAAGAAAGCCAAGCACCATTTCATATTTGAGAATGCTTCCTGTATGATTTTTATACCAAATAAGCCAAATTTCATCATTGCATTAGTGCATTATTGATGTTAAACCCAATTCTTAATAAAACCTTATAGACAAATGTATTGTATCTTAATCAGTTTGACCATAAGGTAAGATTCTCATAAACCTTTTGTAACCCTTTACAATTTTTGTAAAAGAGCAGATCAGTAGTCTAAGAAAAACCTGTTGTGCTTTTATTTTAATGTTCAGTTTATGGAAAAATTGAACAATACCTATTTAACTTTAGCCAATATGTTCACACACAGAATCTCTTTTACAAGATTAATTTTTCACAAACACTTAAACTTTTAGCTTTATCCTATTTATGTTATTATTTATTTATTTATTTGAGACAGAGTTTCGCTCTGTCGCCCAGGCTGGAGTGCAGTGGTGTGATCTTGGCTCACTGCAACCTCTGCCTCCTGGGTTCAAGTGATTCTCCTGCCTCAGCCTCCTGAGTAGCTGGGATTACAGGCATGCACCACCACCCTCAGCTAATTTTTATATTTTTAGTAGAGATGAGGTTTTACCATGTTGGTCAGGCTGGTCCTGAACTCCTGACCTCGTGATCTGCCTGCCTCAGCCTCCCAAAGTGCTAGCATTACCGGCATGAGCCACTGTGCCTGGGCCGGCTTTATCCTATTTAAGTTAAAATAATCCTTTAACTCTTTAGGCAAACAAACAAACAAACAAACAAACACAGAAACACATTCCCATGACTTCCTACAATCTTTTACCAAAAACACATTTCACTTTTCTTACATGCCTTGCATGTAGAACTGTTTCTATTTCCCAAAGATTACTTAAGTCACATGAATTAAAGGCATTGCAGTTTTTACTTTTCTGAGAAAATATTTGATTTAAGCACTTATTTTTATTTTTTTATTTTTTTGAGACAGAGTCTCGCTCTGTTGCCTAGGCTGGAGTGCAGTGGTGGGATCTTGGCTCACTGCAAGCTCCACCTCCTGGGTTCACGCCATTCTCCTGCCTCAGCCTCCTGAGTAGCTGGGACTACAGGCGCCCGCAACCACGCCCGGCTAATTTTTTGTATTTTTAGTAGAGACGGGGTTTCATCATGTTAGCCAGGATGGTCTTGATCTCCTGACCTCGTGATCCACCTGTCTCAGCCTCCCAAAGTGCTGGGATTACAGGTGTGAGCCACCGTGCCTGGCCAGCACTTATTATTTTTAAACCAATTAAAGCTTTTTCATATATAAACATCACACACAACACATATAAATACACAGACAGAAGAAGATCTAGTACTTGTAAAATTTTTCATTTCCCAGTTTCTTAATTGAATTACTGGCTTCAGGGTGGAGCCCTTGGAGGAACAGGTCCAGGAAGGTATGCACTTTTTACCCCTGAATAAGTAGGCTCAGCTGGAAGGTAAAAACAGGTCCCCAAAATTAAGGGTCCTATTTTTATACCAGATCCTGGATCCCCAAAAGAGGGGATCAGCCCATCCCCATAGGAGTCTTAACTTTCAGTGGGGGGTGGGGACTTCGCCATACTTTCTAGGTAGCCAAGAGCATGCTTCTCTGATCTAAATGCGCAAAAAGCCGAGTATCCCCCCATAACTGCCATTAGCCATCCATAAAACTATATTTCCTACCTTGTTATGACACACCAATGCTCTCTCATAATGCGAAGTACTTTCTGAAACCCCTAAAAGTTAAAAACATCAGATAATGCAATACAAAACAGAAAAGAGCCTTAGATTTTGAGAGCGATCTATCCACTTTCAGTTCCTGGGGTTTCATGAGGAAAACAGATTTTTCCCAAAGCAGAGTCTGTAGCACCTCCTCTGTTTTTCCCAAGGAGTTCTAGGCTATTAAAGCTTGAAATATCCACTTTTAATTAAGCTGACTTTTAACCACAGTGCTCTTTAAAAAAAAAGTCCTTTTAATTTTTATTACCCAACTTTAACCAGGCCAAAAGGTCAATATTTCTGTGCTCAGAGAAAGGAAAATTTAAGAAGGGAAGCCAGGAGTTATTCATGGAAGCACCAAGAATTAACAAGTGGCCAAAGTTACACAGATATCAAACCAGAAAAAGACTTATTCCCTAAGCCAGGAATTGAATCTGAACCGCAATTGTAAAATGGCAAAACCTTAGCTACTGTGCTACAACATTAGACAGTTTCTATTACTCTTCCAAGAAGGAGTCTAGAGCAGCTTATTTTGAACTTGCAAAGGCTTTTAGCTGCTCAAGATAATTTTTAGGGCAAACTATGACATGAGCCTCCTCCAAGGCAGAGACCAAGAGAAAGTACTGCCACACGGTTATAAGGTCAAGCTCCCAAGAACATTTTTCAACACGTGGTTTCTGGGCAGGATGAAAGAGTGGACAGTTCCCCTGAGTAACAGAAAAGTTAGAAAAGAGAAAGGAGAGGAAGAGAGAGAAAAGGATGGCCTGCAGCAGGGTGGGGAAGGTGAAATGCTCAGGGAGGCCAGAGAAAGACCCACCCGTTACAGCGTTGCTGAATCAAAAGTTCAGGCGGCTGCTTGTCAGTCTCGAAGGGACCTGTTCCAGCAGTCCCATCAGCTCTTAAGTATTCCCCTTTAGGGAGGAAAAAGCTCCCCATGTCCCATGATCCTGTACATGCCTAATCCTGTCACCCACAGCCATCAGCAAAGAGTGAGAAGCAGATTAATCCAAAGAGAATAGCAGTTAACACCCTGTAGTGCCAAACCCATTCTTAGCTGAGAGGGTCTTTACTGAGAGGGGTCTCCAACCCCCTAAATCTTAGGAAGGACTCTAACCTTCCTAAGTTGGGACTCAAATCTGGGTTAGGTCAAGCATCCTTGCCTTTTATTAAGAGGGGCCTTTACCCTCTCTGTCTTAGGAGAGACTCATTCTCCTAAGTTGGGCCTCTAGCCCAATCCCATCCTTTACCTGGGTAAATACACCTCACTTACCCAAAGTTGGCCAGTCGGTGCTGCAATTTATTTCCTTTGGATCGGGGGTCTCCTCAGTATAGTTCCTTTGTGGTTAGCCAAAAAGATGTTACTGAAAAGGGGTCCCGATCCAGACCCCAAGGGAGGGTTACTGGATCTCGTGCAAGAAAGAATTCGAAACGAATCCATAGAATAAAGTGAAGACAAGTTTATTAAGAAAGTAAAGGAATAAAAGTATGGCTACTCACTCCACAGGCAGAGCAGCCTTAACATGCTGTTTTTATTAAGTCTTTTTGGTGATCTGCAAGAGTTGTCCAGGTGACTTCACCCGACTCCGTCCAGATTTTTATTTTGCTCTAAATGTACACTGGAACCTTTATTCTCTCACCACAATAGGAAGGTAGGAGGTATATAGGGGCTGTGAAATTATTTTAGGGCATGGCAACATGGTGTGACATTGGCCAGATGTGTAAACTGAGTAGCTCTGGATAGATACAAAGTCAACCAGCAGGATAAAGGGAGGTGCTTTGGGTAAGACATAAAATCCCTGCTTGGTATGTTGTTTCTGAGAAGCTCTTAGAGCTGCATCCTCCAGAAGCATAGCCCAAGGGGCCCCCAGGAAAGGTCACTCTTTCAGCCACTCTGACTCCCATGTCACTCCTCCTTGGCTCTCTGCTACCAAGACTTGGCTCTGAGATCTTCTGTAGGTGTAAAGTGGCCACATGCTTTTGGTGTCCATAGAAACAAATTCATTTTAAAGGGATGCTTCACAGAAACTTTCTAGACAAATGCTTATGCCATGGTTGTATATCTGAAAACAAATAGTCTTTTAGATGTGTTGATCATTACCTCCTTGGCATAGATTTCCACTGACATTAGTCAATTAAGAATTGTACATTAAATGGTAATTTTGAACTAAATTTTGGAGGCTGAGTGTGGACTAGTGTGAGAGTGAGAAATTCCCGAGGGCTGCAGTCTTGAGGGAGTCGTTGCATTTTTGTGGTCTTTAACTCCAGGAGCCCTACCCAGTTTTCACGGTAAAGATCTGAATGTAAATGGTCCAAATACACCAATAAAAGACAGAGATTGTCAGCACAGATTAAAAATAATACCTAACTATATGTTGCCTGCAAAGACCCATTTTTTATATAAAGACTCAGATACATTATAAGTAAAGGATAGAGAAAGATATTCTATGCTAACATTAATCAAAAGAGTATATTAATTTCAGACAAAGCCACTTCTGAAGAGAAAGATTATCAGGAATAAATTGGAGCATTACATAATGATAAAGGGGCTCATTCTCCAAGAAAAGATAACAACCCTAAACACATATGCACCTAACAAAATACATAAGTCAAAAACTGATGGAACTGAAGGGAGCAATGGGCAAATCCATTATTATGTTGGAGAGTTCAACATCCCTCTGTCAGTAATTGACAGATCAGCAGGCAGTAATCAGTAAGGATATAGATAATGTAACTAGCACCATCAACCAACCGGATCTTGGATCTCTAGTCAATAACAGCAGAATACACATTTCTCTCAAACTTATGTGGACTATTTACCAAGATAGACCACATTCTAGGTCATTAAACACACTTTGACAAATGTAACAGTACAGAAATCATACATATGATGTTCTCCAACCACAATGGAATTAAACTAGAAGTCAATAACAGAAAGATATCTGGAAAATCCTCAGAAAATTGGAAATTAAAAAATATACTTCCAAATAGTCAAAGACATCTCAAAGAACTCTGAAAATATTTTGAATCCCACTTTTAAAAAGTCACAGAGGACAAGACTGAAAAAACTGATCACAAAAACAGTGAAAGGTTTGATTGTCAAAACACATCACAAAGAAACTGAAAAGAAACAACAAGCTGGGAAAAATATTTACAGTAAATATGACAAGTATAAATAAAACATACAGACTTTTTAAAACCACTTAGACCTCAATAGATAAATGGCATAAACTGACAATTCACAAAAGAGCAAGCTCGAGAATTTAATAAGCATAAGAAGACATTTGTCTTTACCAGTAATAATAGAGGTGCAAAATTTTACCTATTAAAATATTAACTGTTTTTTTTAAATGATACTATTCCAGTGAGCTGTACATTTAAGATTAGTACATTTTAATAAAACCCATTTTTAAAAATTCTGTGCAGTGTTGGTAAAGGTTTGGTAGGAAAGATACTGCTAGAGATAATTTAAATTGTGCAACCTCTGTAGAAAGCAATATGGACAGTTTTCAAGAGCATTAATCATATTCATATACTTTAACTCAGGATTTCAACTTCTAAAATATGACACAATTTTACACACAGACATCCTTTATATAACTGAAAACTTAGAGCCAGAAAAAAATCCACAATAAATTAATGCTTACATATGTTAAATCTGTTTTGACGATAAATTAAGAAACTATAAAATATTGATCTACCAAGTTCTTCAATGATAGAATATGTTTTGACTATAAATAATATGCAAAGTTATAAATATAGTATAAATGCAATTCTATATTAAAATTCATAGAAAAAGAAAACAAGGAATTATGGCAAAAAGTTAATTATTGCTATAATATTATCCCCTAGATATTGGAGACATGGACCACTTTCTGGGGGTCATTGCTTTTTCTTTTGGGGGGTTCCTTTCCTTGTTGTTGTTTTTTTTTTTTTTTGAGAAAAAGTCTCACTCTGTCACCCAGGCTGGAGTGCAGTGATATGATCTCCATTCACTGCAACCTCCTCCTCCTGGGTTCAAGGGATCCTCCCACCTCAGCCTCCCGAGTAACTGGGACTACAGGTGTGCACCACCACACCCAGCTAACTTTTGTATTTTTAGTACAGACAGGGTTTTGCCATGTTGGCCAGGCTGGTCTTGAACTCGTGACCTCAGGTGATCAGCCCACCTTGGCCTCCCAAAGTGCTGGGATTACAGGCGTGAACCACCACACCTGGCCTTGCTTTCCATATTTTTAAAGTGAATATTTCTTACTTTAATAATTAGAAAACCACCGAGTGCAGTGGCTCATGTCTGTAATGCCAGCACTTTGGGAAGCTGAGGCAGGCAGATCACCTGAGGTCAGGAGTTCGAGACCAGCCTGACTAACATGGAGAAACACTGTCTTTACTAAAAACACAAAATTAGCCAGGCATGGTGACACGTGCCTGTAATCCCAGCTACTCAGGAGGCTGAGGCAGGAGAATTGCTTGAACCCAGGAGGTGGAGGTTGCAGTGAGCCGAGATCATACCATTGCACTCCAGCCTGGGCAACAAGAGGGAAACTCTGTCTCAAATAATAATAATAATAATAATAATAATAATAATAATAATAATAATAATGATAATAATAATAATAATAAGAAAACCTATAAGTAAATAAGCAAAAAACAAGCTCCAAGTTTCCAGAGCCCTGTGTTTCCTGTTCCCCTCCTGTTAGTTTCTTAACCGTCTTCTAAAGTACAACTCAAAGGCCACCTCCTCTGTGCAGGTCCCCAGGCCCTCAGACAGTGTTAGTTGCTCCCTCCTTTGTGTTTTGTCAACTCTTGGCATGTGGCTCTCCCACTTCATGTATCCCAATGACTTGTTTATTTTTCTGTCCCACTAGAGTAAGGAGCAGGGGCCATGTTTTGTCATCTTTGTATCCCTGGTACCCAGGACAGCATCTGATACAAAACTGTGTATAATGCCTGATTATCATGGTTATTTTTGGTTCAGTTCACTGTCCCCCTGATTCCCTGCTTGAGATACATACCTTTTCACAGCTGATATTCCTGGGAAACCAGAGAAGTAGGAAGCCATGAGAGCAGATATTTCTCAGCCCCATCGAGAAGCCAGGTCCAACAATGAGAGCGTTATGTCCCTGGGACAAGAAATAGTGTCATCTCCTGAAACAGAATGAGTTGTTTGTGTTTCTGCCACCTCTGAACTCTCATCTTTCTCTTCTATAGTGAGTGGATTAGATGGTTCTACATCAACTCAGGTGAAAACTTAGGCGAAAAGATCCTCATACCTTCCTCAAAATCTGGTCCTGAGAGAAGCATTTCTTGATACAGGTCTGTAAGAGCAGATGGGCCTGGATTTCTTGCTCTATAAACAACTAGAACGAAACTTGCCCATGGGTCTTTATCCTAATGAGGTAGTTACAAAATGCATTAGTTGTTGTAGCATAATGGGCCCTGAACTTTGATGATGCTTAAAGCTGCTTTTCCTTCTGGAAAAAAAAAATCAGGTTAAAAAACCATGAGATAAAAATATAAACATCACTAAATGACACATCAGAATGAATGAGCTTGAATTCAAATAAATAGATGGGCTCTTATTCTACCCATCTATCCAGCCCAGTGACAGTGGTTTCTTTTTCTCTCTGCTGCAGCTGAATTGCTAGATCAAGAGATGCCCCTGTGGCATCCTACTATTGGGAAATCAATTTTATAAAGCTATATAAAGCTCTTTTGAGCTGTGAATGAAAGGAGAGTATAATCCTTAATTGTTAATTAATTAACAATTATTAACAAGGACATCTACCTCCTCAGCAATATTAAGTATTATGTGGCTGGGTCCCATGGCTTATGCCTATAATCTCACCTCTTTGGGAGGTCGAGGCAGGGTTGCTTGAGGCTGGGAATTCAAGACCAGCTTGGGCATCAGAGCAAGACTCCATCTCTACAAAAATAAAAAAAAATTAGCTGCGTATGGTGGTGCATGCCTGTAGTTCCAGCTACTCAGGAGGCTGAGGCAGGAGGATGACTTGAACCCAAGAATTCCACGTTGCAGTGAGCTATGATTGTGCCACTGCACTCCACCCAGTGGGACAGTGAACTGAATCAAAAGTAACCATGATAGAGTGAGACCCTGTCTCAAAAAAAACAAAACAAAAAAAAAACAAGAATTATGTTGTTAACCTTCTTTTTGAAGATGCAGACACTTTTTAAATTTTTATTTCATTATTATTTTTTATTGCTGTCACCTATTTGTCCCAGATTAAAAATAATTTTTTTTTCTTTTTTTTTTCTTTGTTTTGAGATGGAGTTTCCCTCTTGCTGCTCAGGCTGGAGTGCAATGGTGCGATCTCAGCTCACCACAATCTCTGCCTCCCAGGTTCAAGCAATTCTCTTGCCTCAGCCTCCTGAGTAGCTGGGATTACAGGCGACTGCCACCATGCCCAGCTAATTTTTTTTTTTTTTTTTTGAGACTCGCTCTGTCACCCAGGCTAGAGTGCAGTGCCATGATCTTGGCTCACTGAAAGCTCCGCCTCTTGGGTTCATGCCATTCTCCTGCCTCAGCCTCCAGAGTAGCTGGGACTACAGGCGCCCGCCACCACGCCCAGCTAATTTTTTTTTTTTTTTTTTTTGTATTTTTAGTAGAGACGGGGTTTCACTGTGTTGGCCAGGCTGGTCCTGAACTCCTAACCCTAGGTAATGCACCTGCCTCAGCCTCCCAAAGTGCTGGGATTACAGGCGTGAGCCACCGCACTCAGCAAAAATAACATTTTTTAAGTCAGGTGCACACCACTGTAACAGTATTAGATATGAGGTTTTCCTTGAACCTTCAAGCATGGTGACTTAGTCCATTCAGGGTGCTATAATAAAATACCATAAACTGGGCAGCTTATAAACAACAGACATGTATTAATCACAGTTCTGGAGGCTGACAAGTCCAAGACCACGGTGCTGGCAGACTTGGTGTCTGGTAAGGGCCCTGTTCCTTATAGACAGTATCTTCTTGCTGAATCCTTACATGGTGGAAGGGGTGAAGGAGCACCTTTGGGCCTATTTATTCCTTCATGAGGACTCTGGCCTCATGACCTAATCATCTCCCAAAAGTTCCTACCTCCTATTATTATGGTTAGAATTTCAACATATGAATGGGGTTCACTTGGGGTTAGAATTTCAACATGTGAATTGGGAGGGATGCAAATATTCAGAACATAGTGCATAGTGGTATGGGAAATGTTAAATATCATCAATGTTGATTTGATTAATTGGTAATGGAGAGTAAGCCAGATAAGGCAACATCTATTTTTGGTAAGCCACCATCACATTGTCATCACTTCCAATCCAACAAAACAGGGTTCATTATAATTTTCTTGCTTCCTGTATTTGTTTTTTGTTTATTTTTCTTTTCTTTTTATTTTTTTATTATACTTTAAGTTCTAGGGTACATGTGCACAACATGCAGGTTTGTTACATATGTATACGTGTGCCATGTTGGTGTGCTGCACCCATTAACTCGTCATTTACATTAGGTATATCTCCTAATGCTATCCCTCCCCCCTCCCCACACCCCTCAACAGGCCCTGGTGTGTGATGTTCCCCTTCCTGTGTCCAAGTTTTCTCATTGTTCAATTCCCACCTATGAGTGAGAACATGCGGTGTTTGGTTTTTTGTTCTTGCAATAGTTTGCTGAGAATGATGGTTTCCAGCTTCATCCATGTCCCTACAAAGGACATGAACTCATCATTTTTTATGGCTGCACAGTATTCCGTGGTGTGTATGTGCCACATTTTCTTAATCCAGTCTATCATTGTTGGACATTTGGGTTGGTTCCAAGTCTTTGCTATTGTGAATAGTGCCACAATAAACACACGTGTGCATGTGTCTTTATAGCAGCACGATTTATAATCCTTTGGGTATATACCCAGTAGTGAGATGGCTGGGTCAAATGGTATTTCTGGTTCTAGATCCCTGAGGAATCACCACACTGTCTTCCACAATGGTTGAACTAGTTTACAGTCCCACCAACAGTGTAGAAGTTTTCCTATTTCTCCACATCCTCTCCAGCACCTGTTGTTTCCTGACTTTTTAATGATCACCATTCTAACTGGTGTGAGGTGGTATCTCATTGTGGTTTTGATTTACATTTCTCTGATGGCCAGTGATGATGAGCATTTTTTCATGTGTCTGTTGGCTGCATAAATGTCTTCTTTTGAGAAGTGTCTGTTCATATCCTTCACCCACTTGTTGATGGGTTTGCTTGTTTTTTTCTTGTAAATTTGTTTGAGTTCATTGTAGATTCTGGATATTAGCCCTTTGTGAGATGAGTAGATTGCAAAAATTTTCTCCCATTCTGTAGGTTGCCTGTTCATTCTGATGGTAGTTTCTTTTGCTGTGCTGAAGTTCTTTAGTTTAATTAGATCCCATTTGTCAAATTTGGCTTTTGCTGTCATTGCTTTTGGTGTTGTAGACATGAAGTCCTTGCCCATGCCTATGTCCTGAACGGTATTGCCTAGGTTTTCTTCTAGGGTTTTTATGGTTTTAGGTCTAACATGTAAGTCTTTAATCCATCTTGAATTAATTTTTGTGTAAGGTGTAAGGAAGGGATCCAGTTTCAGCTTTCTACATATGGCTTGCCAGTTTTCCCAGCACCATTTGTTAAATAAGGAATCCTTTCCCCATTTCTTGTTTTTTGTCAGGTTTGTCAAAGATCAGCACCTTTCTCTGATAGTGAGAAACTTGGCTCCCATGACACATAGTCTGTATTTATGTGATCAAGTCTCCTCACCCTGCTCAGGCTCTGGCCACCTGCCTGAGCCACCACAGATCCTCTTCTACCCCTTTCCCAAACACCTACCTTCCTTGGCCTCTCTAATGGCTTTGAACTAAATTGTTCAGAAAGAAAAGGGAAGAGGAAGCAAAAGTGGAAAATAAAAATTCTTTTTATTTTTATTTTTCCAGATGGTGTTTCACTGTTGTCGCCCAGTCTGGAGTGCAATGGCACAATCTTGGCTCACTGCATCCTCCACCTCCTGGGTTCAAGCAATTCTCCTGCCTCAGCCTCCTGGATAGCTGGAATTACAGGCATGTGCCACCATGCCTGGCTAATTTTTGTATTTTTAGTAGTGACGGGGTTTCACCATGTTGGCCAGGCTAGTCTCAAACTCCTGACCTCAGGTGATCCACCTGCCTTGGCCTCCCAAAGTGCTGGGATTACAGGCATGAGCCACCACGCCTGGCCACAAAATAAAAATTCTATTTAGCCAGTTTTTATTGAATGTGTACCACAGGCAAAGAATTATATGAGATGCTGTTTTGAGTAGAAAGGAAAATAAGATGCACTGGAGATTACAGAGTGTAGAAGACATCTGACCAGGTTCTACTGCAGTAACAAATGACTCCCAAATCTCAGAGGCTGAAGACCACTGAGGTTTATTTCTCACTCACATTTGTGTCCTTCATGTCTCTGCTCTATGTTGTTTTTGTTCCAGGAGCCAGGCTAAGGGAATACACTTTTTCTGGGATATGCTAGTCTTGGGGATGGTCTTGCAGTAGAGGAAAGAATGTGATGATGGAACCACATGATGGGTCTCAAAGCTTCTGATTGGAAGCTGCTTGTATCGCTTCTGCTCAATTTTACTGAGCAGAGAAAATTTCAAGACCGAACTGGGACACCATTGAAGCAAAGAAGTCTTCTTCTACAGAGAGAGGAAGCAAAATTTTGGTAACAATAATGCCATAAATGACATAGATCTGTGGAGGAAACAGACATATATACACTTAACTAGCAGACACTGTATGATAGAGGAAAATACATACTCCACTAATCCCACCTTGCAGTAAGATGAGTGGGGAAAATACGATAAATTGAAGGTATGACTCAGGCTCGCAAGACATTTTGTGGTCTTGAAGAGAGAGATCTCAGGCAAAAGTGAGAAACAGATAAAAGTGACAATAAGAACTCTTACTTGGGTAGGACAGAGGAAATAAGGAAAGCAGTATGTTTCCATGACCTAGAGAAGAAACATAATATATAATATTCCTGAGGAGGTGGATGTTCAGGCTAATGATTAGGGTTTGCACTCTCACTTCACCCACAGCTCAGAAGGGCTTTATAGAATTTTATCAGATTTATTTCCCCACAGTGAACTCCCACAGGGGCATTTCTTGGAATAACAATTCATTTGTAACAGGGAAAAAAAGAACCCACTATCACTGGGCTGGATCTAGGGATAGAATAAAAATCATATTTTGGATGTTTCCCAGTCTGAGAATTGAAAAATGGTATCTCTGTGTAGTTTTAATACACATTTCACTTGTTATGAGTGAGAATGAGCTGGTCTTATGTTTCCATTTAAGTGAGCTGTCTTTGTTCATATTCTATGCCTATTTATCTGTTGGGGTTTCCGTCTTTTTTCTAATTGATGTCCAGAAAGATTGAGAAAGATTTTGTCAGTCAGGGCAGAGATAAGAAATTCTGCCAGAACTGTGCTAGGTGCTGGGAGCGAATGAGACACTGTCGTTAGGCTGGGTATCTCGCGGTCTGTAGGGAAAACCTCCAGATCACACCAGAAAAGACACATCTGTGTTGAGTCTTGAAGTAGCCACCAGTTCACCTGTTGGGGCCCAGGGTTCCTGGTGGGCCCAGGCAGGGGCAAAGTCCCGTCCCGGGCAAAGAGAAGTTCTTAGTGCCTCAAGTAGGTCTCCCTAAAAGCAGACCTTGAGATGGGGATTCTCTTAGAAGTGTTTTTTTTTCTGATTATTCACAGGAGAAATGAATGAGAGAATCAGGATAGGTCATAGGAAAAAGGCAAAGCAAAAATGTTGTCTCCCTGGAAGACCAGCTTCAGCCTGTTCCCATGGGGAGGTTCTGAGGCATGAATTGCACCACAGAGTTGGTCGCTCCCTTGAGAGAAGGGAGACTTCCCTTCACGCCCCTTCATGTCACTAAGTCATTGGCTGAGGTCAGGGGATGAGTGTAGAGGGCAGAGCTCCCAGATCAAGACTGTTCCCACTTGGCCAAGGGCAGGTGTCTGGAGAAGGGGGCAGCTGTGAATTGTTAGCAGCCACTGCTCACAGCAGCTGAGGACAGGAGCACCTGCTTTTAAAGGGAATCTAGATGGGGCACCAACAACTTTCATTACATTTAGTAGGATCTGGAGCTCCCCCAAGAATGCTGCAGCATCTGCCAATGTACAAGTCCAACCGTGTAATTGAATGTCCCCTAAAAATGTCCCCAAATAGCAATTGAAAAGGCTTTTATCAGAAGCTAATGGATATAGCCCAGAAACACCATTATGAAACTCATGACTCAGAGTTTGACTTGTAGTTCCATTGTCTAGGATCATCATTTGTTATCTCGAGTAAGATACTCTGCTGGGACCCAAGTGTTAGTTTATGAATATTTTGATTATGCTGGAGCCCCAGCTGCAAAATGCCAGAAGCTTGACTCTTCAAATATATCACTAAGTTACAGGCAGTAATGGCTTCAATGATGGTGACAGAGTTTAGCTCAAGCAAATATTTATAATTGACAAAGAATGTGTGAGGAGGATGCTAATGAATGGATGTGCTGATTATTTTCTCCTGCCAAAAACATTAGCTTTTGTTTGGTTTAACTGTCAAGCTGACACCATAGATTAGAAATGACAGAATGCTGGCAAAGATCCACAGAGAGGAGGAATATTAAGAAAATTTGCAAATTGTGTAACTTTCAATACTTCTATTTCCAAATATAATTGTTTATGGGTGTTAGCAGAGGTTATGGCTCAGTTATAGGCCAAAATGAAGCATATTGAGATTTACAAGTACATTTGAATTTCTGAAATCTTCCATTTTAGAACAGAAATACAAGCCTGATGACATCTTCTTGGATTCAGGTGGATATCTTTAACTAAATGGTGAACCTGAAGATTAGATGTACACATGAGACAAACATTTTGTTCTTTCCAGATGTTATTTTCTGCTATAAACACTAGCATTTAAAAAAAATTCTCAGCTGGGCACGGTGGCTCACGCCTGTAATCCCAGCACTTTGGGAGGGCGAGGTGGGTGGATTACTTGAGGTCAGGAGTTCGAGACCAGCTCTGCCAACATGGTGAAACCCCATCTCCACTAAAAACACAAAAATTAGCCCGGTGTGGTGGCGGGCACCTGTAATCCCAGCTACTTGGGAGGCTGAGGCAGGTGAATTGCTCGAACCCAGGGGGCGGAAGTTGCAGTGAGCCGAGATTGCACCACTGCACTCTAGCCTGGGCGATGGAGTGAGACTCGATCTCAAAAAAAAAATCTCTTTGGCCTCTTGAACCTGGTAAACATTAGCATTTAGTTTTTATGATAACATATGCTAATTCTATATATATATATATATTTTATATATAATACATACATATGCTTGCATATATTTGTTTGGCCCATCGATATCATTGTTCCTTGTTTTCATGTGCTGTTGGCTTGTGGTGTCATAATCCATGAAGATGACCATTCTTTCTAGCAGGGTTGTGCTGGTGGCTTTACTTTGTGATGATTGTCCCTGAACTTACCTGCTGCTGAGCCAGTCTTCCCTTTTGATGCTATGCATTAGCTCTTAATGACAAGGCCCCAAATGCCAGACAGGGGTGTGCCATCCAAGCAGGCGTGTGTCTCACAGCCGTGGCATGACAGTCAGCCCCTGGGCTTAACTAGCACTTTGTGGGTGCCTTGGTGTGCACTTGGTCCTCCACTGATCCACCAGCATCTTGACCTGCCTTTCTCTGCATTGTCTCTTTGTATATCTGTGGGTCACAAAGCAGACAGTAGCTGCCAAGAAGCAGATGTGGTGACACAGTGTGCACAGAGTGGCTGGAAGGACTGACACTCTGTGGAGCATTGTTTCTCCAATGAATCAGCCCTGTCCCCACTTGGACCTCTTTCAGCTCAGCAGCAGGGCTTACCTTTAAGGCATTTTAAAGGTTCCCTTATCAAGGGTGGGAAGAGAGCTGAGGGAACCTACAGCTGTGTTCACTGATGGGCTAAAGCAGGCTTTTGATCACAGCTTTTCCTAGAAGAATAGCTGCGCAGGGATTATGTGCACCTCACTGTTTGTAATCTCTGACACAGCAGTGCAACTTTGCTTTGAGATAAAGGGCACTGCCGCCTCCTTTAATCACCCTGTGTGCTTCCAGGGAGTCGGAGCAGCAGTGGCCGGTGACAGTTCACATCGTGGCCGCTCCAGGCTCATCAGTTGAGAACTTACTATGTGCTGGGCACTGTGTTAAGGAAAATACATATTAGCAAACTCTTTCAACCAGCCAGTGTTGCGCTAAAGGTAAGTACTTTTATTATCCTTATTTTGCAGTCAAGAACACTGAGGCTTGAAGAGATTAAATAAGTTCACTGAGGTCACACAGTTAACAATAGAGAGCTGGAATTCCTACCCTGACCTTCCTGACGTGAAAACCCATGGTCTTTACCATTGTCACCTCCACTTTCCTGGCCTTCTGGAATCAGCTTAATCTCTGTCACATAGTCCTGGACTAGGCTCAGGCTAGGTCTTTTCCTCAGACTTCTGACTAGGGTTGGGGGGTCTACTTCCAGGACCACTCATGTGCTGTCACAGGCTTCAGCTTCTTATCGTGTAGACCTCAGGGCAGCTCACAATGTGGCAACTGCCTTCACCCAGAATGAGCAAGATGGCAGGGAAGGGGGTGGGGGATGGAGAGAATATGGGAGACGATGTTCAAGATGGAAGCCACAGTCTTTTTTTAGTCTAATCTCAGAAGTGACATCCTATTGCTTCTGTCATATTCAATTCCTCATTAGTGAGTTAACAAATCGAGTGTGTACTCATGCTAAAGGGTAGGAGCACCGGAAGGTGGGGATCACTGTGGCCATCTGAGAGTCTATCTACCATAACCCCTACAGTCATCTCTCCACTCAGTAGCCAGAGATATCTTTTAAAAAACTTTTATTTTGAGATAATTATAGATTCCAAGATGTCATTTAAAAATGTAAATCAGGTGAGGTGCAGCAGTTCATGTCTATAATGCCAGCACTTTGGGATGCCAAGGTGGGAGGTTCACTTGAGGCCAGGAGTTTGAGACCAGCCTTGGCAACATAGAAAGACCTCATCTCTACCAAAAATTTAAAACTTAGCTGGTGTAGCAGTATGCACCTGTAGCCCTAGCTACTTGTGAGGCTAGGTGGAAGGATTGCTTGAGGCCAGGAGTTCAAGGTCACAGTTAGCTATGATCACGCCACTGCACTCTAGCCTGGGCAACAGAGTGAGTCCTTGTCTCTATTTTTTTAAAAAAAATAATAATTATACATATTTTGAGACAGGTTCTGGCTCTGTCACCCAGGCTAGAGTGCAGTGGCATGATCTTGGCTCACTACAACATCTGCCTCCCAGGCTCAAGCCATCCTCCCACCTCCACCTCCCAGGTAGCTGGGGCCACAGGCACATGCCACCATATCCGGCTAATTTTTGCAATGTTATAAAGATGGGATCTCACTTTGTTGCCCAGGCTGGTCTCAAACTCCTGAGCTCAAGCGATTCACCTGCTTCAACCTCCCAAAGTGCTGGGATTACAGGTGTGAGCCACCATGCCCAGCCTAAAAATAATAATTAAAAAAAATAAATTTTAAAAATTCAAAAATCTAAATCAGATTATGTTACTCATCTGCTCAAAACCTTTTCATGGCTTCCCAATGTCCAAAGTTTTTATTTTGACCTGCAGAGCTCATTAGGGATCTCGGCTATTTTTTCTGACCCCATCTCCTTCCATTCACCCCTTTGCTCCCTTTATCCTTCTACACAGGCCTCTGCTATTTCTGCCAAACCCACTCCTGTCTCAGGGCCTTGAGTTTGGTGTTCCCTGTGCACTGGAGTCTCTTTCTCTGGATAACCACAGGCTTCTCTCAGATCTCTGTGAAAGTGGCACCTCCTCCTCCTGGCCACTCTAACTGAAATGCACCCTTTGCTAGTTTCTACCCCCTTATTTGGTTTCATTGTTCTCATGTCACATAGCACCTACCTGAGATGTTATATGTAATAACTGGTATAACCTCTGCAGAATCTTGTAGAATATTCATAGAATATCAAAGTCCTGAGTGCAGGGACTTGGTTTTGCATTTGCTTGTATCCTCCGTGCCTAGAACAATGCCTTGCCATAAATAGGTGATGATTATAATATGTCCCATTGGATAGAATTATGTGGAGGCAATAAACAAAATCCATGTCAACCAAAACCCAAAAAAGAAATAAAATAATTTTTATATTGTCTTTGTCGTGTGCTTTGCACACCAAATTCTGCCCTGGGAGTAGCAGTTTAGTCACTTCGGTTCACCAATATCAACACAGAGTTTTCATTATCAAGATGTCTGAATTCTAGCGCAAACCTCATAACACAATGAAAACCTTTTAAGACCAAAATGGCAATTTGATGGGAAAACTATTTTCAATCTCCTTAGTTTTTGAACTAGAACATACTAGCACTTCTCTTGGGAGCTCCATAGTGAGGTCTGATGCACTTCTTAATGGCTAAGAGAGAGGAAATTGGAGAACCCTGGCGATGAAGATATCAGCTGGGACAATGGGGAATTGAAGGTCAGTTTTGTACGCACTTCTTGCAAGCACTATAACTTAAATTCAAGCCTCCTAAGCAGTGACAGGGGAATAAAACCCAGGGCTGAATGATTGATTTTGTTGTCCTTACTTCAGTACTACATATCAAGTATATTTTTTAGTGGAAAGCTTTTGGTATACCTATTAGTATGGCAGGCTTTTACCCTCGACTCGAGAACTTGTGAGAAAATGCTTGAGGCTGGTGCAAAGAGTGCTAAGGGGATGTACTATATGATCTTTATCATAATGCAATAAGAAAAGAATTGAGTACTCTTTGTTGTAAAAGAAGAGAATTTGCTTTGAACACATCAGACTTGAGAAATTGAACGGGCAAAGGAGCCTGGCAGCTCAACTTTTATGGGATTTTTTTTCCTTTAAAATATTAGAATCTCTTATATAACTCATGGACTATTTTTCTGAGTAGCACTTGAATGTGAGAAGAGTCCTTTAGAATAATCTCTGTGGAATAAATTTTGTGTCAGCATCTTTTTTTTTTTTTTTTTTTCTGCATGGCATGGTGGGCTTTTAAAGACCGTTTTAAAAAAACTTCTCTTTCCTCTCAAAGACATACGCATTAGAAAAAAGTTGCTTCATACTGCCTGGAAACCAATTAAAATGGAAAATGCTAACTTGTCTAAGTCTCTGTTTTCTCACCTTTAAAGTGGGGCTGGTATTTCCACCGTTTAAGGATATAGTGAGGATTAAATGAGACAATACAGCCACAGCTCTAACCTCAGAGCTTTGCAAGTAGCCGACCTCCTATATATTATCCTTCTTGTTGTTACATTGTTATAAGAAGGAAGTAAAGAGCTCAATTTATAGCCTTAACAACAATTTAGGGAAGAAGTAGTTCCAAAGACATGAAAGTCCAAAGAAAAAGCTAACTGGTGGTGATTTCATAAAAATTTGCACAACTTTCAGGTTCAACTCAATAGAGTATCATTGTCCTCCTTCTATTATTCAGTAGCTAAATATGGTGTTCTCAAATCAAAGGGAAGTAATTGGCATTCATTTTAATTTTTAAGCTTTACTTTTTAAAAATTGGCTATACAAGTTGGGCATGGTGGCATATGCCTGTAGTCCTAGATACTTGGGAGGCTGAGGTGGGAGGATCACTTGAACCCAGGAGTTCAAGTCTAGCTTGGGCAACATAGTGAGACCTTCATCTCTAACGAAATAAAATAATAGGGGTTATACATTACATGGTTCAAAATTCAAAAGATCCACAGGGTGTGAAGCAATGTCTCCCTTCCACCCCAGCCTACCCAGATATAGTCTAGTTACATACAAAGACTTGTGCATACTTTTCCCTTTACACAAATGGGAACACATAGCACTTGCTGTTCTGCACCTTCATTTTTTCACTTAACAAATTACATTAACAATAATTCTCATTTTGTAATGGTTGCATACAATTCTTTGTATAGATGAACATAATTTGTAAGCCTGTTAATGAACATCAGGTTGTTTCAATCCTTTCCTGTTATAAACCACATTGCAATGAATAATCTTGTGCACACGTCATATCTCACAAGTGCAAATATATACTTGAAGGATAAAATTATAGAAGGGTAATTTTGATAGGAATTGGCAAATTTCCCTCTAACGCAGTTGCGTCAATCTTTTACTCTCACCAGCAACGAATGAGCAAGGCTTTTTCCCCACACCCTTGCCAACACAGCGTGATGCCAAATGGTTTTTCTCTCGGCTATTTTGACAGATGAAGTTTTATTTTGCATTTCCTATGAGCCCATTTGAACATCTACAAAATATGTTTAAGGGCCATTTGTATTTCCTTTCCTGTGAACGGTGGATTTCTCTCCTTTGCCCATTTCTCTATTGGCTACTGGTACAGTGGGATATTAAAGGTTAGAGTGCATTGGATAGTAGAAAGGCATAAGTCTTAAAGTTGATGGACTAATATTTAAATTCTGGTTTGATCTTTTATAGGTTATGTAAATACTTTTTGAGCTTCAGTTTCCTCATCTCTAAACTTATGATAACAATCTCTTTTTCACACAGCTCTAGGGAAGATTAAAAGAGATAATTTACGTAACATACTTAGTACAATATCTAAACCCTTAGTGGGGGCTCCTTCCATAATCCACGGTTTTATAAAGATTGCAGCAAACGTTTTTCATACTTTTAAGGAGTCACATATAATTTCACAAAAAAAGAAGAAAAAAGATATGAAGAAGAAAGAATAGTGAGTGGAAAGAGAAGCCATGTTTTATCTTTAAAAGCTCATGGGTGTTAACTTTTATTATAAAATTTTTCACACTTAGGTATTTTCAATCCTTTTTAATCTGTTGCCCAGCATGCTTCTAAAGCCACTTCTTCCTCTGAAGGTGATTAGGGAATACAGGCTAATTTTAATATTAGCATAAGTAACACATAATTAGGGAAGTAAATCTTCTGTGCCCAGATGCCCATTATGCATTACAAAGTCAATATGTAATATGGCTTTAAAAAGTCATTTGCTGCTTGGCATTATTTGGGGGTTTATCAGGGCTTTGCATAGAGCCTTACAGTCAGCTCACAATAGTGTTTGCTAAACTGACTTGGTCCCTTGTTTCTTTTTGCTGGTAGGATAGCAAAAATGCCATCTTCTAGACTCTTCCTTGGGCAGGTGGGTGCCATTTCTCTTTGAATCACTAGTGCCTAGCTCAGTGTGAGGGACATAGTAAAGGCTGAATCAAACTGAATCCTGAGGTGAGACATGGGCTTTTCAAATTCCATATGAATCAAGGTTAAGCCCCCAAAGCATTCTGAGTGTCACCGACTTTCCAAAAGGACACTGATGTACTCACTCTTTTGCTCTATATGCATTTATTTTGCCAGAACTATCTATAGAGACAGGATTTTCAACTTCTTTTTAAGTTCACAACATACTATTTTTACTGTCTTTCAAATTTCCTCTTTCTGATTCATCAAATGTGATATGCTATATATTCATTTGAAATAAAATTAATTGTAAATCAGTTTTGTGAGTTCCTTAATATCTCATGAGATAAATGGAGAGACTGTAAAGTGTTATGAAACCAGGATGGAAAATTTAGTCTGCATATTCCAGGATGTGCTATTTCAATAGCTTCATAAATGAGGGAATGCTGAAGATAACTTTCTCATGTTTTTTCTCTTTCTAACCATTTAATAGTTGGTTGCTCTCTTCTCTATAGGCCTAGGATGCAGTTTACTGAGAGTAAACATGGCACATGCTTCAGCATAGAGTTTCCAAGCAAAGGATGACAGATTCTCACAAGCCTCACTTTTACTTGACGAAATGGAAGGGTAGGATCTCTGTATTTCATTTCTGAGAAAGCACACAGATTACTGCAACTGTCTACCTTTTGGCTTCCGGCAATTTGTCTCCTTTGCCTATGAAGAACCACCTACTCTCTTTGTGTGCTTAAAAAGTCACTTGAAGATCCCTATCCTTTTGCTCATCACCAGTGCCCCCATGCCAACTCTGCGTGGGGATTGCAGAGTCTCCACTTAGTGACAGTCATATTCATCTTTCCAAAGTCTGGGAAGACTGCAGAAAGGGACACACCAATATATTCCTATGTTTCAATGCACTTTAGCCTTAGGGATTTTTGTCAAACATGGCAGGAAGGCCAAATGTGTATAAAACATCACTGCAAGGGCTCTGAGCCTGGAGATATACCCTAAAAGTGCCTGGTGAGATTACTGACAGTCCCTGTGGGTCCAAAGAATTGCTGTTCACTTGTCGGACCCTACTGTCTTCTTATTCCCTCCTCCAGGTTATCCCTTTCCATTGTCATTGATATCTTTGTCAGGGAATGTGCGATAGAGCAAGCAAAGGCAACACATCCTGATTAGCTCTATCACTTGCTAATAGATGTGGTAGAGCAGGTAAATTTCATAGGCAGAATCTAGTTTGTGGTTCAGCAACAAGATCCACCTGTTCCTGAGACCTGTAACCATAAGTAGTTGAGAGTTAACAACATGCAAATTTTTGCTTCAAGAAGAAACTAGTTAGGCTTCAGGGCTTGAACATACCCTTAGGGATAGGAACTGGATAACTTAGCAGAAACTCACACAAGTAAGAGCCTGCTAAGAGTGGGAGGGTGACTCAGCAGTGGCCCAGGAAGCTAAACAGCAAAGACTTGCTGATTAGTCTCAGAGAAGCTGATCTGAAAGAATATGAGAAGCTACAGGGACTGAGGTTAGGAATGAGGTGGTTCAGGTTGACACGCTGCTTTAATCACCAGATGCTCCATTATTTCCATCCTGCTAATTGTAGTTTCAAAATTAGCAACAACTCCCCCACAATAATTAGGGTTTATAAGTGCATGTGCCCACATTTCAGGATTACGCATGTAGTGTTCAAGTGTTATACAGCTAAAATTATTGTGTGTATTTGTGTAACTTGTTCGCTGAATAAGTGAATTAAGTAGGATACAATCAAGAAACAGCTCTGTTTCTCCTACCACTGCCTATAAACACACTTGGTCGGACCTCTATTCAAAGCCCCTTGAATGCATCTAGGGTAGAAACATAGTTCTTTGGTCTTTTATCACCTTACTAAATTCTTTCATTATTTATAATAGTTTTTCAATAGTGTCTCATATTTTCCATGTATTCGTCAGATCAAATGAAAATAGTTTGCAAAAGTTTTCTCCCATCTGTAGGCTGTCTGTGCACTCTGTCCCTAGTTTCATCTGGTGCAATGTACTTTATTCTTTTACTTCTCAAACTGTTTTCTTTTCTCTGTTGTAAAGCCACCCCACATTTTAGGGTTTTGTTATGGTAGCACCCCACTTTTGGTGCCAAAATAATTATTAGTTGTCCATATACAACAAGTTATCCTAAAATTTAAATGTTTAAAACAATCAATATTTACGAATGCACTCAATTTCTATGAGTCGGGAACCCAGGAGCAGATCACTTTGGAGGTTCTGTCTCCATGTCTGTATGAGGTTACAGTCAAGGTGTTGGTCAGGGTTGCAGTCATGTGTAAACTTGTCTGAGGTGGGAGGATCCTCTTACATGATGAAAAACTCAAGTACTTGGCAAATTCGTGCTGGTTCTTGGCAGGAGGCCTCAACTCCTCATTATGTGGACCTCTCTATAGGGATGTGATCATGAACATGGCAGCTGGCTTTTCCCATAGAGAATAGTCCAAAAAAGAGCAAGGTGGAAGCTGTAGTGTCTTTCATGCTACCATTTCTTGCATCTTATTGGTTACTTAGGTTAGCTGTATTCATTGTAAGAGGCTATAGCACAAGGTCATGATTACCAGGAGGCAATAATCATTGGAGGCCATACTAGAGATACATAATTATGGCAGATACCTAAAATAATGTGTTTGAAAGATCTTTAATGATTGGTTAAATGAAAGAAAAGATTCAAAACTGTTAAAGCAGTATAATCTAAAAGTTATTAAAAATAACGTTTTAATGTTGTCTGAAAGTATGTGTGCATGCAGAAAAGATAGACCAAAAGGGAAACAAAAATGTTAGCATGACTTTTTTCTGAGAGGATGATGAAAGTTTAGGTTTTCCCATTTTTCTCAATGTGTGTGTGTGTGTGTGTGTGTGTGTGTCTATTTTCAAAGTTTTCTAGAGTATAAATGAATAGCTTTATAATTAATAAACATGAATTTTGAGGGCACAATTAGAAAAATTATTTTAAAATTTTGCTTATTTTCTTGAAGACACAATTTATATTATTTCCCTTTAGTTTGAAAGTTAAAGTAAACTTTCGATACCCAGTAAAAATCTAATCACAATTTTAAATGCTAGGAGCTGTTAACTCTTAATTTGGCAGTTGATGACTTATTTCATCTTTTAAGATAATCATCTGCCAAGTTTTAAATTAATATTTGTAGTAGCACAGATGGAATATGTGTGCATGCATAAATGAGTGTGTTCAATGAGAGAGGGAGAAAAGGACTCCTTTAAATATTCTTCCAGAGAATTATTGCTTAGTAATAGCCTTTGGGCTATTTAATATTCAATACTAACTAAGAATCGCAAACTTTCAAATTTCCTCCTTTACTCAAACCCTTGCCTTCATAATTTTTCCAAAAAGATGAAATTTAAAGAAGAAATATAAAACATTCCCATGAGATTGTTTGAAACAGAAAGACAAAGCAAAGTTTAGTTGAGCTGGATCTGAAACTTCCAAAAATGTACCAAGGTTGAGATTCTTTGAAGCTCTTTCTGAAAATTAATGCAGAAGTTATTCTTTCCTTTGGATGTGAAAACCGTCTATGTTTATGAAGTTATTTAATGCACAACTCAGGATCCTAGAAATCTTTCCAATTACATCTCCATCCACTCAGATCAGAGCCACTGTGTTTCACTGCTCATAGGAGCCCAACTGAGTGTTACTGGGGCTGAAGTCCAGTTTTACATACTTTTCCAGACATTAACTATGAGAGGAAATCTGTTTTTTCCCCCTCCTAATTCATAAATTGTCTTCAGATGGACTAGGAGTGAATTTTATCACTCCTTTGCATTTTGAACCCTAGGAAATCCTAGCCATTTTGTCTGCTGTTTTGATTTTCCACTCATTATCTTTCAATTATTGCTGGGGTATTTCTGTGTTTTATACATTGCTTTCTCAGCTCCTTGTAAGTTCCTCAAGGTCAAGGACCATGCCTTACATTTCTCATTTCCTATGGGTGGCTACCAACATAGCAAATGGCAAACTCTAGCCATGATCAAAAGGCATTTAATTAATTGTTAGACACCTGAAACTTAAGTCTCTAATGTATTTATATCCCCGTACTTTGTGCTATTTTTGTTGTATATTTTCCATCTACGCAAATTGCAAATTCCAAATATAATTTTTTTACCTTAAAGGGCCAACTATCTTTAATATAATTAAAAAAGGAAAAAATGATAACCTTTTATATCTACCGAAAAAATGGTAACTTTTTATATCTACCAATGTATTTACATTTTTGGTACTTTTCATTACTTCTATAAATTTGAGTTGCCATGTGACATTTTCTTTCAGCCTGAGGAATTTTCTCTAACTACATTTCTTATAATTGATGTTTGGGGGTAATAACTTCTCTTAGTTTTCATATATTGACAATATCTATTTCACCCTCATTTTTGGAGTATATTTTGGCTGTATATATAGTTCAAGATTGACTTTTTCCCCCTTTAGCACTTTAAACAAATCTTTTAATTGTCTTCTGGCTTCCATTATTTCTGATTAGAGGTTACATATCATTTTCTTTTTTTTTTTTTAGAAAGAGTCTCATTTTGTCACCCAGGCTGGAGTGCAGTGCAGTGGCACGGTCTCAGCTCACTGCAACCTCTGCCTCCCAGTTCAAGTGATTCTCCCACCTCAGCCTCCTGAGTAGCTAGGATTACAGGTGTGAGCCACCATGCCCACCAATTTTTTTTGTATTTTTGGTAGAGATGGGGTTTCACCATGTTGGCCAGGCTGGTCTTGAACTCCTGACCTTAAGTGATCCGCCTGTCTTGGCCTCCCAAAGTGCTGGGATTACAGGCGTGAGCCACTGTCCCTGGCCCATGTATCATTCTTATAGTTGCTCCTCTGTAACATCATTTTTTTTCCTAACTGATTTAAAGATTTTATCTTCAATTTTCAGGCAGTTTGACTATAGTGTGCCCACATGTGGTTTTCTTTGTATTTATCCTGCTAGTGATTTGTTGAGCTTCTTGAATCTGTGGGTGGATGTTTTTCACAAAATGTGGAACATGTTTGGCCATTATTTCTTCTAATTTTTTTCTACTTTATTCTCTTTCTCCTCATCATCTAAGACTCCAACTGCACGTACATTAGACAACTTGATCTTGTCTCATACCTTCCCTGTCTATGGCACAGGATATTTGTGATGTTAATAGAATGTGAAAAATCATTTTGAAGGTTTATACTTTAGCCTCAATAATATGAATTTTAAAAAGGAGTCTGTAGTAGTACTATCAGAGTTATTACAAGGATGAAATGATTTATGAAAGAAGCATTAAGGAGTACCTGACATATACTAAATACTCAATAAATTATTATTATTATCTGTATCAGTTAGCTATTGCTGCATAATAAATCACCTCACATAATAATTGTGGTGGAAAGCAATTGTTTCTTACAAGTCTACAGGTTATCTGGCAGCTCTTCTGATCAGAGATGGGTTCATCTGTTCTCATTCACATGTGTGGGGATCATCTGGCTATTATGTAATCTATGATGGCCTCCACTGGGATGGTTGGGTCTGCCACATGCGTTTCATCCCCCAGCTGCCTAGTTCTCATGATGATGACAGAGCACAAGAGAGGAAGTGGAGACATTTGGAGATTTTAAAAAAATTCTTTCTTTTTTTAATTGACAAAATTATATATATATATATTTATGGTATACACATATGATATTTTGATATATGTACACATTTCAGAATGGCTAACTCAAGCTAATTAATATATACATTACCTTATACCCTTATCATTTTTTATAGTGGGAACAATTAAATCTACTCTCAGCAATTGTAAGTATACAATACATTGTTATTAACTATAGTAATCATGCTGTACAATGGATCTCTTGAACTTATTCCTTTTGTCTGTCTAATTTTGTGTCCTTTGACCAGCATTTCCCCAGTCTTTTCCACTTCAGCCTCTAGACCCTGGTAACCATCATTCTATTCTCTGCCTCCCTGAGTTCAACTTTTTTATTACACATAACAGGGGGAATAAAAATGTCCCTGGAAGAATGTAGTTAAAAGATAAAAATACAATATAAATATACATATTATTTCTCAATATAAACTCCATCAAGTTCAAAATACTTTTGTAAACAATGATACTAGCCTATCCCTAAAGAACTCAGGGCCTTGGGAATTTAATCATGTCAATGCAGTCTCTTTTTTTACATCATTAACTGAGAAAAAAAATGGGTGCCATTTACACATTTTTTAATATTAGGAAACAAAAAGAAGTCAGGAGGAACCAAATCAGAACTGTAAGGTGGATGCCTAAAATTGCCCTTGGTTGATGAGAAGAAGGAGCAGGAGCATTATCATGTAGAGAAAGAGTATCTGGTGAAGCTTTCTCGGGCATTTTTCTGCTAATAGCATTGGTTAACTTTCTCAAAACACTCTCATAATAAGTAGATGTTATTATTTTTTCTGGCTGTCCAGAAAGCCAACAAGCAAAATGCCTTGAACATCCCAAAAAACTGTTGCCATGACCTTTGCTTCTGACCAGTTCACTTTTGCTCTGACTGAACTTCTTCCACCTCTTGGTAGCCATCGCTGTGATTGTACTTTGTCTTCAGGATTGTACTGGTAAGGCCGTGTTGCATCTCCTGTTACACTTCTTTGAAGAAATGCTTCAGGATCTTGCTCCTACTTGTTTAAGATTTCCATTGAAAGCTCTGCTCTTGTCTGCAGCTAATCTGAGAGCAACAATTGTGGCATCCATTGAGTGGAAAGTTTGCTCAATTTTATTTGTCAGTCAGAAATGTGTAAGCTGACCCAGTTGAGATGTCTGTGGTGTTGGCTTTTGTTTCTGTCATTAATCGTCAGTCCTCTTCAATTAGGGTATACACAAGATTATTTTCTTCCTTGAATATTGATGTGGATGGTCTGCCTCTGTGAGCTTCATCTTTAACTTTGCCTCATTGTCCATTTGTAAACTGCTGATTTCTTTGGAGCATTGTTCCCATAAACTTTTTGTAAAGCATGAATGATTTTATCATTTTTCTACCTAAGCTTCAGCATAAGTTTGGTATTTGTTCTTGCTTCAGTTTTTGAAGATTTATGTGGCTCTGATAGGTGCTCTTTTCAAACTGATGTTCAATACTTTTTAATGCCTTAAACTAGATCCTGTCCAGACGTGTTTTTTTTTTTTTTTTTTTTTTTTTTTTTTAGATAGTCTTGCACTGTCACCCAGGCTGGAGTGCAGTGGTGAGATCTTGGCTCACTGTAACCTCCCCATCCTGGGTTCAAGTGATTCTCCTGCCTCAGCCTCCTGAGTAGCTGGGATAACAGGCATCTGCCACCACTCTTTGATATTTTTTGTATTTTTAGTAGAGATGGGGTTTCACCATATTGGCCAGGCTGGTCTTAAACTCCTGACCTTGTGATCTGCCTGCCTCAGCCTCCCAAAGTGCTGGGATTACAGGCGCCTGGCACCAGACATGTTATAATAGGGTAGTACAAGTTTATTTTGGTTAAAAAATGGTTTGAGATCTATGCATAGTTTTTTCACAATATGCATTTTTCCATGAACTTTTTGAAGTCCCCTTGTGTAAGTGAGGTCCTACAGTATTTGTCTTTCTGTGCCTGGCTTATTTCCCTTAACATAACGTTCTTCAGGTTTATCCATGTTGTCACAAATGACAGGATTTTTTAAATTTTTGAAGTCTGAATATTATTCTATTGTGTAAATATACCACATTTTCTTTGTCCATTCATCCGTTGATGGACACAGATTGATTCCTTAACTTGGCTATTGTGAATAATGCTGCAATAAATATGGGAGTGCAGCCATCTCTTTGACATGCTGACTTCATTTCCTTTGGATTTATACCCAGAAGCAGGATTGCCAGATCATATGGAAGTTCTAGTTTTATTTTTTTTTTGAGGACCCCCATACTGTTTTCTATAATGGCTGTACGAATCATGTAAAGGTTTTTTGAAGCCCCTGCTTACATCAACATTGCTACAGCCCCATTGGTCAGAACAAGACACATAACCAAGCAGAAAGTCAGTGTGGAAGGGTACTGCCCAAGAGCACGGATGTAGGAAGGCATAAAAGAATGGCCCATTAATGCAATCAATATACATTACCCTTATTTATCACTATTATTTTCATTTACTTCTGCAAATAAATCACCAGTAAGTTGCATTATGACCCTCTTCCACATTTACTTACTTTCAGGTGAGGTCAGTCAGAGCAAAACAATCTAGGAATGACAGAGGATGCTGTTTATTCTATTTTTTCTTGAACTGGGTCTCCTAATAAGGGACACACACAGAGCTTATCAAAGCATGAAGAAAGTGTATTTTTGCTTTCTCTTCACCACCTTCCTTCTCCACCTAACTCTCAGCCAGAGAAAACTGCAGATAAGAATTTAGTATTGCTAGAATATTTTGTGGGATGTTTTCCCCTATTGTCTATCTATACCATTCCCTTTATCAATGTGCTGCAGATATTTTTGGAGATAATAAGGAAATTGAGAAAAAATTCAAGGACAAGAGCATGATAGGGTAATGACCAAAAAAAAAAAAAAAAAAAAAAAAATCCCAAAACCAAAACCAAAAAACCCAGATGCTCTAAAATACAAGGAGTAAGTAGAGACTGGAAGGGGATAAAAATGTGAAGATTTTGGTAGCCAATTATAACAGGTTTGTAAACGTATATGAAATATGAAGTGTTCAAAAATTTCAGTATCATTTTATTTATCATTGCCCACTTTTAAAAAAATGAGATAAGGTCTCATGATGTTGCCCAAGCTGTTCTCGAACTCCTGGCCTCAAGTGATTCTCCCACCTCAGCCTCCCAAAGTGCTGGGATTATAGGCAGGAGCCACCACACCTTGCCCCAACTTTGTGAATAGAATGTACTGGCTGAATAGGAAGGAACAATGTCTTTTTTTATTCCAGCTGCTGCTTGCCTCTTCCTTTTCATGCTACCAAAGCGGAGTTCAGCACAACAGAAACAGATGGACAGAAAGTTTCAGAAGACATGGGATTTTAAAAACCACCGATCTGTTAGGAAACAGCCTTGTTTCCTCATTTCCACGGAAGTAAGGGTTTATTGGAATCTATGGACACCACAGAAAACCACCACTCCTGGTACTGCTGCCCTCTGTCTGTGTCCAAAGAAATGGATTTCAGGTCCTGCTTCCATTTGATAAAGGAGACATACTCAGCTACTCATATTCATGCCTTTCTTTTTCTCATTAACTTACTGGTCTTGATAGTGTATCACACCACGTTAATTTCTTTTATGGTCGGAGTTCTCCTTAGAATCGGAAAACTTTTTTTAAGTTTATTTTTTTCTTTTTTGAGACAAAGTCTCGCTCTGTCACCCAGGCTGGGGTGTCATGGTGCAATCTCGGCTCACTGAAATCTCCGCCTCCTGGATTCAAGTGATTCTCCTGCCTCAGCCTCCTGAGTAGCTGGGATTACAGGCACACAGCACCACACCCAGCTAATTTTTGTATTTTTAGTAGAAACAGGGTTTCACCATGTTGGCCAGGCTGGTCTCGAATCCTCAGTCTCAAGAGATCAGCCCACCTTGGTCTCCTAAAGTGCTAGGGTTACAGGTGTGAGCCACCATGCCCGGCTGAGTCAGAAAACATTTTAACTGCAAGGCCCACAGAAATCATCTCGCCCAAACCAATTCCATAACAAATGAGAAAACAGAAGCCTAGAGAAGTGAAGTCCAGGTAAAGATAGGTTAGCACTCAAGTTTGTAGCTTCCAGCCCAGAATATTTTATAACAACTTTGCTGTCTCCCTGTAGCACATCCATTGCACCAAACAACAAGTGTCTGAGCTCCTCGTGTCTTCCAGCTGTTCAGGGCACTGGCGGTATGCAGGCTCTGCATCCCTAGTCTGCACCCTCAGGCACATGTATCCCCTGTGCACCCCTTCATTCCTTCAGCCACAAATTAGTATTATTATGCAAATGGCCAACTCCAAGATGTGGCTACCCTTTAACAGATTAATTCAGATATGTCTGAATTTTACTTGGGCCCAAAGTCAGACACCAGCTAAAGTGCTCTGTAATCGTACGTATTATTTTATCAGTTTAGCAGTCTCATAACAAGAGTATCTGGGCCTTCCTGGGTCTTGATCTGTCACCCAGTGCAATGGTACAATCATGTCTCATTGCAGTCTTGAACTCTTGGGCTCAAGTGATCCTCCTGTTTCAGCCTCCATGTAGCTCAGACTACAGGGTGCCTGCCACAGTGCCTGGTTAATTAAAAAAAAAAAAAAAAACAACTTTTTTTTAACAGGATCTCATTATGTTGCTCACTCTAGTCCCCAATTCCTGGCCTCAAGTGATCCTCCTGCCTTGACCTCCCAAAGCACTGGGATTACAGGCATGAGCCACTGTGCCTGTCCTCATGTATAAATTTTATTTTGATACATATGAGAGCATCTTATGATTATGGTGATGGTCTGGTCCCTAAAGCTTAGTAGGTCCCACAGGACAGTATAGAAGTGGGCACAACTTACTACAAGGAGCAACAATGAAGAAGAATAGTAAAGTCTTGCCTAGGATAGACCATTTCCTGGTCACAGAAGATCTTTAACTTTGGAGCATATAAAAGAATGTGACCAGGGCTGTAAACACAGTTTTTTTTTTCCCAATAGCAATACTGTTCTGCAGGATGACCAAGTGAACACTGCAATTACTGGGAGGTTTTATAGACACCATAAAATTGTAAAACTGCAGAGGTGATTTCAGTAATTTATTGCTGGCTTCTTCAGCTCCCAGACCAAGTTGTATACAGGTAATTATAAGAGAGGAGTTAACAAAATACTGGAGTTGGGGAACAGAGAAAATTTATTTTTACTAAGTCACAAAGGGCAGGGAGGAGAGATCAGGCAAACGATCAAAGTGACAAAAGGCCATTCCTGGTTAAGAAAATAGCAGATGGTGGCAGAAACTTCTAATTGTCTCCCCTTTCATGAAGACCATGCATTTGGGTAGAGCACATGGCCACTAGCTAGAGACTATATTTTCCAGCCTCTTTGGAGGTAGCCATGGCCATGTGACTAGGTTCAGGCCTATAGCGTGTGAGTAGCAGCGATCGTGCAACTTGAGTCAACTCCTTAGAGGCAAAGTGACTTACCCCAGGCTTTCTCTTTGCCAGACATGAAGGTAAGCTTTCTTCAATCCTGTGGACAATGGCAACACCTCAGGAGATGGTGAAGAAATAAGATGGTAGGACCTTGAGTCCCTGAATGACTGTGTGGAGCAGCACTGCCCTTCCAGTTCTGTACACTCACCTCAGGACTACTTCAGGAGGGAAATACAAACTCTAATTGAAGGCATTCTCTTTTCATTGTCTCTTTGTTACAGCCACTAAATCTGAAGTCTCATACAACGTTCAAAGGCACAGGAATGTGAAACATCGCGTTATGCTCAGGGAAATCCTTGTGAGTGGAGCATCGATGAATGAGTTAAGAAGCAGTGGGAGGTCGGGCCAGAAATGTTGGAAAGGCAACAATCAGTGTGGCTTCGTGTACAGGAAACTCATGGCTGGGTTTGATTTCTCATAACAGAGCCACAAATGGGCTGTGTACAGACATCTTTGGTCTTAATAGGCATGGAATGAGGTCTGTCCTCTTCTAGTCATTTCTGCCTCAAAAACAAACAGCTAAGCAGCACTTTATTGCTGGCATCTAACAGCCTTGGTCCTGAATCATTGGCCATGCACCATGCCTCAAAGAATCTCAGCTTCTCATTTTGTGATGCATCTTCCAGTTGATACCTCAGCTGGCCACTTGTACTTCCTGTCTGACCCAGCTGTCCTCAGTCAACATCCAGCCTTGCCCACCCGGCCCTCTGCAGACTCTGCTTTGGTCCAGAGTTAGGGAGCACTCCCCCTGGGTCACCATAGACCCTGGGCCATAATTTGGTGGAGCACTCCAGAAATGTAAAACCTTTTGGTCAAATCTGACAGGTATTCTATTTCCAGGACAAAATTAATGAGAGAATTTCTTTTTCTATACTGAACTTTACTGCCATGTTGTTAAGGAACTTCCATATGCTTAACTTTCTACTGTATTGGCTGTAGTTGACAATTTGGAAAACAACTTACTTAAAGAAAATAGGGGCTTTAAAAATCCTATTTCTAATAATCAAGAAAGAGGCATTTTTTTCCTTTAACTTTCCTATTAAACTTTTTAACCACCCCAGTTTCAAGAATCTTCAACATACAATTAGATCTTTTATTATTTGGTGATGTTGGGTGTCAGCAATCTGTGCTTCTACAAATAAAGCTAAATGTTCATCACAGCCACATATCACTGATTTCTAAATCCAGCTTCCTTTCCAGATTCCCTTTCTACCCTCCTCTCTGCTGCTGTGTGTCCTGGGAGGCTGACCTGCCTACTTAATAGGCTTCCTGTCCTCTGGCTTCAGGGGGATTTGGGCAATGGGAGACCCTGTCAGGAGATCAGAGGGTGCAAGGAAAGTAAGGTCAGGAGGTTTGTCCCTCGTGGCTCCCTCCCACTGGGTTGCTATGGGTTGGCTGCAGAGTCAGATGCCTCACTCTACCAAAGATGACAGCTCCTCTCAGATGGCCATACCAGGTCTCCATACAGCTCTTCTCTGGGCTTGGGTTCAGGTCCCTGATCCTCCACACTCCCACTTTTTCTGACAATGCTGGCTCCCCAGTGCTGCTAGCTATGAGGAGCTGCGCCTTTTCCTCTTGGTTTCTCTAATGCTGCCTGCCCCCACCCACCTTTGTAAGTAGCCTCTTTATTAAATTGCCTTCAATTATCTAGTTTCAGGGTACCATTTCCAATTCCTGCTGGAAAACTGACTGGCACAGTGATTAAGCTAGAATTGTCTGGAATGCACCACAGCACATGGACCCTGGAAGGGAGGTTGCACATTAGGTGCATTCACCTGATCTGAATGACCTGATTCTAACCAGTGCCCCAACTACACCTCATGTATTTTTCATTGTTTCTTCAAGACAGAGGACTAGTTACTCCAGCCTTGACATGAAGATGGCCCTGGATTGGATGTTGCTACAGGCATAGGGAACAAATGTCTCCTTTCCCTACA
Source organism: Homo sapiens (assembly GCF_000001405.40). NCBI lineage: Eukaryota > Metazoa > Chordata > Mammalia > Primates > Hominidae > Homo > Homo sapiens. The sequence goes on along the minus strand of NC_000004.12, from coordinate 98,783,109 downwards.
GCACTCTTTCCCCAAAGAACATTGCTCTCTCTTTCTCCTCGTCTCTGTCTCTTTCTCTCTCTCTCTGTGTACGTGTGTGTGTGTATGTGTGTACAGCCACATATATGTGTGAATACAGAATTCTTTTTTTCTGAACCAACTGGATAAGTTACCTTATGGCACTTTACCTTTAAATACTTCAATGTGTATTTCTAAGAATAGGGATATTTTCTTACATAACTATAGTGCAGTTATCAACTCCATAAATTTACATTGATATAATATTTTCATCTAATCTGGCATCTATATTCCAGTTTGTCAGTTGATCTAATAATGTTCTCTACAGCGTTCCTTTCTCTTCTGGTATAGGATTCAGTCTACGGTCAGTGATTGCATTTAGTTGTCATACTCTTTTAGTTTTTTTTATTCCAAAACATTTTCACAGGCTTTCCTTGTCTTTTATGACATTGACTATTTTTTTAAAATACTTTTTTTTTAGATTAGCTTTAGGTTCACAGCAAAATTGAGAGGAAGGTATAGAGATCGCCCATATACCACCTTCCCCCTCACATGCAAAGCGCCCCATTATTAACATCCCCCGCCAGAGTGACATTGACATTTTGGAACAGCAGAGTGCCCCCCTCCCACACATGCACTCTTCTTTTTAAAAAAACAACAGTCTTCATTTGTGTCTCTCTGGTGTTTCCTGGTGTCTCAGGCTGTGCATTTTTGGTCATCATGCTACAGAGGCAAGGCTGTGTCCTTCATGGGGCATCACACCAGGAGGTACATGTCATCCATCCATCCTTCACTGGTAAAGGTAATTTTGATATCCACTGAATAACTACTGTTTGTTTTTTCTCCTTTGAACTAATAAGCAGTCTGTGGGGAGATGCTTTAAGACCATGCAAGTATGCTGCTCCTCTTCAAAATCTCCCCCTGGATTTAGCATCTGTTGGTGTGTTTTGCTGACTTCATCTTTATTCTATGGCTGCAAAATGATGATTTGCCTCTCCAGCACTCTCTCCACACTGAACGTTTAGCCCTCAGCATTCCACTGTAAGCGACAGCCCTCCTGTCTCCACTATTTATGTTTTTTAAAAATTATCGATATGGATCCATGTGTTTCTATTATTCCACGGTTTAAAATTTAGTTTTGTACTAGTATTTCAATTTACCCAATTTGGACAGTGGAACCCCTTCAAGGTGTCTCCCAAGTCCTTGTAATATATTCTGTTATTTTTGTGCATACTTTACTTTCTGGTCTAACAAGATTTTCCAGGCTCATCTGGCACCTATCCTGCCTCTGCCTTGGAATCTGCCATTACTCTGAGTAGTCCTGGTCCCTTTTTGTGGGGAATATTAGAGACTACATCTGGGCATTAGGTAGACTCACTGCCACTGGGATGTCTTTGCTTTTTGTGCTTTCAGCAGAGAGATCTAGGAAACATCAGCATGTATATCCACTTATACACACACGTACACACAGAAGAACATAAACATGTACATGCACATACATGTACACATTTTAGAAATCCTGAGTTTGCATCCTATCTCCAATTCCCATCCATTCCCATAGAGCTCTTTCTTGCTGTGCCTCATTCTGTATTGGTGTGGCCCCTCTTCCATAGTGAAAACCAAGCAACCTGGATACATTTATTCTTCTTTTGCTTAATTCTGTATTGCATCTAAAATATTTTCCAAATTGCTTCACTCATACCACTAAATTTAATAAACTTACTGTGTTAGTCAGGGTTCTCTAGAGGAACAGCACAAATAGGATGGAGAGAGAGAGAGTGAGAGTAAGAGAGGGAGACAGTCATTTATTTTAGGGTATTGGCTCACATGATAATGGAGGCTGGCAAGTACAAAATCTGCAGGGCAGGCCATCAAGCTGGAGACTCAGGGCAGAATTAACATTACAACTCGAGTCTGAAGACAGCCTGGAGACAGAATTCCTTCTTTCTGGGAGACCAATTTCTCTTAAGGTCTTCAACTGATTGGATAAGGCCCACCCATGTTATGGAGGATAATCTGCATTACTCAAAATATACTGATTTAAATGTTAATCTCATCTAAAAAACACCTTTGCTGCATCATCGAGACTAGTATTTGACCAAATATCTGGGTACCGTGGCCTCACCAACCTGACACATACAATTAACCATCACACCTACTAAGAAGAAGAAAACTTGCAGAAGAAATCTCAAAGGGAAGTGTGATATGTACCATGGAGAAGGTGAGAGCACCCCCATTTAAAGGATGGGGAGAAGGGGTAGAACACCCTCCATGCCCACCCTGGCTTGCCCCAGACCCCTGGAATTCCACGTGTCCCAGATTGAAAACTACTGCGTTGGCCTCAAGGAGTCATTAATGAGGGAATCAAAGGCAATACTACTGAGGAAGGGGTTCCTTTTGGAGGAAGGCAGGGAAGTGGCCTTTTAGGCCATCAAGTTATACCTCGACTATGCCTACCCACTGCAAGGTAATTTATTCCCACCCACTGCAAGGTAATTTATTCCCTTCCACAACTTTTGTAGCTCTTCCTTTTTCTTTGCTAAGGGCAGAGGCTAGGACATACATTTGAAGAAGCTCTTCTCAAATCCTCCCCTTCCCCGACACTCATACACTTCGTCTTAGCCATATAAGGCAAAGAAATATGTACTGGATTTTAAGAGTAAGTCCAAGGGATACAGTCACTGCTGATATGAGGGATTCCCTAGGAAATTTTGTTATCTGAAAGTACATGGTTACAGTACTCCTCAGACAAATGCTTCTCTCCTGGGTAAGGAAAAGTGTTCCAGATAACCATGCCTCCCACAGCCCAGATCTCACGCTTATCTGTTTTGTATGTCTGCGTCAGCTTTGCTTTGGTAGAAGCATTTTATTCTGCTGAGACAGTGGAGAGCAGCTGTTTGATCCCTGACCAGAGATAACCCTGGAGAGCTTCTATCTTACATGCTGGAAATTCTGAGTAAAATGACCATTCACAGAATTTCTGAGAGAGAGCAAGGCGTCTCTCTTCCAACCCAAAAAAAGACATCATGAAAACACATACACACACACACACACACACACACACACACACACACATACTCACCAGGAAGATTCTTCGATGCACGGCATGTGAGTGGAGTTGTTGGACTGGCACAGAGGGACACACAAGCTTCCCTCCATGTGCACTTTGGCAGGGCTCACAGCCATAACCCAGGCTGCAGCTGTTCCATATCTTGGAGGCATCAGTGTTACTCTTGGTGGGTGGCCTATACTAGGGCATTCCTCAGAGGCCTGGGCACTGTAGGCATGCCCACCTCTGTCAAGGCAGTGACCTGCATGGAAAAAGGAGCTGCACAAATGGAGGGGAGGAGGGACTAAGGAAAGGCCCCCCAAGCTATGGCTAAGGGGAGGGAGAAGCTGACAATAAAATGCCTTTGCTGAGTGCTGGCATGTTCTTCCCAGATGCAGCCCTGTCTGCCTCACTGGTCTGAGTAGGACTAGCTAGATCAATGTCTGCAGCCCAGCTCTCAGCACATCTCTCCCCAGACCAAGACTCTTAAGGATACAGCCCAAACTCGCTTCCCGTCACGACTGTCCAGCCTGACACTGGGTACCTTCCAGCCTCTTCTCGTACCCATAAACAATATGTGTCTGCCACACCAGACTGCTCTCTGTTTCTGAAACATATCCTATTCCCTCGTGACATCATGGCTTTGCAATATGCTCCCTTTTCCTAGAATGTCCTTCTAAACCCCTCTCTGGCAGATACTCTTCTTCAAGAACCAGTTCAAACCTCTTCTCCCCTACACCTTCCCTGACTTCCCTTCCTTAATTCCTTCTCTACATTCCCTTGGCAATCTGATCTCAGTTCTCACACAGCTGTAATTATTTATTATGGTCTCTGTCCAATTTCCCTCGTGCACACATATTTGTCGTGTGAGGCCCTGAGACTTTAAGCCTGTTGTTCTGCCTGGGTCCACTCAGACAAACTCCACACCCCAGCTGTGCTCCCAGCCTAGGTCCTAAAGCCCTTCTCTTCTGCAATTCTTGCTGTCAATGTCCTGCTGTGGGCCTTCCCAGGGCTGGACTTCCTACCTTGCCCTCCTTCCATGGCCAACCCGCTCATCCTGGATCTGTTACTGAGTATCTTTCTCTGAGGACTAAGCACAGATTTAGTTTCCTGTGCCAGGTACTTGCACGTTGCCTGTGATTGGTTGGCTCCTCCAGGTAACAACTGCGTTCATTCCAATCTGGACGTAGCATCAGCCTCTTCATTCCTGTTGGGTGGGCCCTGACTCCAAAGACAGAAGTCAGGCACCCCCACCCTGCCAGCAGTAAGGTTTGTAATAGTACCGTCTCTTTTTTCGTGTGAAAGCTCCTAGCACAATGTGTGGCACTTAGGTGGCAAGCAATGCTTTTTGAATAATGAATAAATAAGCCCTAAACCTCTCACATAATATGATTTAATACAAAACCTTGTTAACAGTTATTACTGCAGGGAAAACCCAGGCCTTGGCCTGTGTTCTTAGCCACCATAAGAAACCCTTTCTAACGTTTAAAAAAACTTAGGACCCACATAAAATTATAATTTTATTAATTTAGTTGACAAACAATTGATTCACAAATTACTACAGATACAGTTTCCAGCTAATGGATTCACAAAGCCCTTGGAACAGTCACAACAGTTTCGGAAGCTCTGTGTTAGTGTTGACTTTGGACTGAGCTGTTACGCAAGTTGATTCATCTACCAGTTTACAAATATCGTGGTGTGACTCACCCTACACTAGTTGATTTTGTTAGTTTTTCTCCCAGCAGAAACTGTAGAGCTCACAGTTTTGTATATCATGAGATGCCACTTCATACCTAATAGAATGGGTAAAGTGAAATATAAAAACACCAAGAGTGGATGAGAAAGTAGAGCAACTAGACTCTCATACCTTCCTGGTGAGAATGGAAAATGATGTATGGGTCCATCTGAGTCGGGTCTGTCCCCACCAAAACTCATGTTTGGGTTTGGCCCCCAGTGGAGCCAGTGTTAAGAAGTGGTGCCTTTAAGAGGTGATTAGATCATTAAGAGAGATCAAAGCCTTTCTCCAGGGAGTGAGCTCTCGTTCTTGCAGGACTGGATTGGGTATTGCGAGAGCAGGTCGTTATGAAGCGAGGCTGCCTCATATTTGGTCTTTGCATGCCCCACGTTCCCTTCCTTTTCTCCCCCATGTTCTGATGCTGCACGAGGCCCTCACTAGATGTGGCTGCCCATCTTGGATGTCCCAACCTCCAGAATAGTGAACTAAATACATCATCTCTTTCCTTTATAAATTACCCAGTTTTGGGCATTTTGTCATAGGAACAGAAAATGAACTAAGACAGTAATAGAACTATTTTACTTGAAACCATGTTCATGTATATAAGTCTGATAAAAACCTATTACTTTAATTTTCCACATTAATATTTTGTAAGAAAAAACCATATGATCATCTCGATATCTAATTTTAAGAGCACTAGATAAAATTGAGCATACCTTCCAATAAAAACCATTTAGAAAAGTAGTAATAGAAGAAACTATCTTAACCTGATAAATGTTTCTACCCAAACTCACCAAAACATTATACGTAATCATGAAAAATAAAAATTATTTCATTAAAATCAGAAGGACAAAATACCCAATATCACCGTACCTATTTAATAATATACCAGAGATCCTATGAGTATAATAAGTTTTTGTTTTTGTTTTTTTGAGACAGGATCTCACTCTGTCACCCAGGCTGGAGTGCAGCGATGTGATCTCAGCTTGCTGCAACCTCCACCTCCTGGGCTCAAGCGATCCTCCCACCTCAGCCTCTTAAGTAGCTGAAACTTCAGGTGTGTGCCACCACACCCAGCTAATTTTTTGTAGAGATGGTTTTTCACCAAGTTGTCCAGGCTGAGTACAGTAAGTTTAAAAAATTAAATAAAAATCAAGTGAAAGGTACATGGATTGCCAAGGAAGAAGCAGAACTGCCATGGTTCACAAATTACATTATAGTCTACATGGAAAATCCTAGGGACTCTATTTTCTAATTATTAGAACTAATCAAATTAGTTTGACAAGATTGTTGGATGTGAATGCAAAAAATTCAATTGCATCCCTACACACCAGCAAGAAACATGTAAAAAGTGTAATTAAGACACTATTTTAAAGAGCAAAAATACCACAGAACTTAAGAATAAGTCTTTAAAAAGATGTGCAAGACTGCTTTGAAGATAATTATAATGTGCTACTGTAAAAATTAAAGTGGATCTCAGTAGAAACATTTACAGTGGGCTTTCCGCATCCTTGGCTCCCATATCTGCAAATTCAACCAACTACAGATTGAAAATAGTCAAAAAATAAAAAAGATAACCATATAACAACAAGAAATAATACAAATAAAAACACTACAGTATAACAACAATTGACATTGCATTTACATTGTATTAGGTATTAGAAATAATCTAGAGATGATTTAAAGTATATGAGAGGATGTGTGTAGATTATATGCAAATACTGCACCATTTTATATTAGGGACTTAAGCATCTTCAGATCTTGGTATCCGAGGGGAATCCTGGAGCCAATTCCCCCATGGATACCAAGGGATGACTGTGTCATATTTTTGAATCAGGACACTCAATATCTTAAAGTTAGCAATTGTTCCAAAATTCATAGAATAAATCAGTACAATTCCAGTCAAAATCTCAACAAGGCCTTTTCTCCCTTTATTGAAAGATTAATTATAAAATCTATATGGAAGCATAAAGCACCAAGAAGAGCCAAGAAAATTTTGGCAAAGAAACAAAAAAGATTAGGAGCTCAGTTTATGACATAGCTTATTGAAAATCTACAGTAATGCAGATTGGGTAGTATTGATGCGAGTATAGATAAACAGAACAATGGAACAGAATACAAAACCCAGCAACAAATTAATTAATTAACATATGTTAATTAGATAGATGACAGAAGTAGTTGTAAATTATGTTTTCAAAGCACACTCATGTTTAGCTTTTTTCTGGGCATGCGTGCCACCATGCCCAGCTAATTTTCGTATTTTTTGTAGGTTTTCGCCATGTTGTCCAGGCTGAGTACAGTAAGTTTAAAAAATTAAATAGAAAACAAGTGAAAGGTATATGGATTGCCAAGGAAGAAGCAGAACTGCCATGGTTCACAAATTATATGACAGTCTACATGAAAAATCCTAGGAACTCTATAGTCTAATTATTAGAACTAATAATAAACTATAGTCTAATTATTAGAACTAATAATAAACTATAGTCTAATTATTAGAACACCTGGCTCCCTAGCACCCTCTGAAAAATAATTCTCTTATACCCTTCTCCATCACCCAGTAGCGACTAACAAGTCTTCTGTTACCATTACATTACATTGTACATACAAGTTCAATCTACTTAGTTTTAAAATGTTGCTTATTACTTTTATACACTTGTTTTCATTGTCTAATTTAAATATTTTTCTATCTGTGAAACTTGCTTAGGTTTTCTCAGTTACTTGTGCATCATACCTTTTCCCATTAGAAATAGTTTGAACAGCTTTTTTATTAGCTAGGGGTTTCAGGAATGGCCTTACCTGTCCACATCAAGACAGAGATGTATGTGGTATCCTTGGTCTTTTTCTCTATGTGGCAAGGAAGTCCTGTCACATTTGGAAGGCAGGAAGCAAGGTAAACAGAACACAAGAGTAAAATAAGAGAAATGAGGCTAGTCGTGGTGACTCACGCCTGCAATCCCAGCACTTTGGGAGGCCGAGGCGGCAGATCTCCTGAGGTCAGGAGTTTGAGACCAGCCTGGCCAACATGGCGAAACCCCGTCCCTATGAATAAAATACAAAAAATTAGCTGGGTGCGGTGGCACACGCCTGTAATCCAAGCTACTCAGGAGGCTGAGGCAGGAGAATCGCTTGAACCTGGGAGGCGGAGGTTGCGATGAGCTGAGATGGCACCACTGCACTCCAGCTGGGCAACAAAAGTGAAACTCCATCTCAAAACGAACAAACAAAAACAAGAGAAATGAGGTACTCTGCAATAAGAACAAGAGAAGACTAATATCTTTTTTTTTTTTTTTTTTTTTTTTGAGATGGAGTCTTGCTCTGTCACCCAGGCTGGAATGCAGTGGCGCGATCTCGATTCACTGCAAGCTCCCCCTCCCGGGTTCTCGCCATTCTTCTACCTCAGCCTCCCGAGTAGCTGGGACTACAGGTGCCCACCACAACGCCCGGCTAATTTTTGTATTTTTAGTGCAGACGGGGTTTCACCGTGTTAGTCAGGATGCTCTCGATCTCCTGACCTCGTGATACGCCCGCCTCGACCTCCCAAAGTGCTGGGATTACAGGGTGAGCCACCGCGCCCGGCCGAGAAGACTAATATCTTAAGGCACTTACTTCACAGAAAGCAGGTTTTCCCTGTAGTTCTATTATCCGAAAGATCCCTGTGCTGATCAAGTCCTTTGTTTGGGTATGTATTTACTGAGTAGAATTGTTCTTTCTGCACCGTAGAGTCCAGGAATTGGGCCAACTCTATCAGCAGGGATTAAAGTAAAGCATCTAAAGGGAAATTATCTTAGCTGAATCTTCCTTAGTTTGGTGATGTGTGGTTTTCAACAGAGTCCAACCAGATTACTGCCTACCCTCCAACTCAGCATAAAAGATGGAGCTCCTCAAAATCTTTTTGGTATTAAGCGGGATATTCTTCATACAAAACAATTACCCAACAGGCCAAACCAGATAGCGATTGGCATTATTATTAACAATAGGTACCATATGACTGAGCTCTCACTATATGCAAAGTACCCCCATCTCATCCCAGTGAATCTTCACCACACCACCACCAGCGCAGTGCTACTGTTATCCCATTTTATACCTGAGGCCACTGATGCCACATTAAGTATTGTGCTCACATTACTTAGAAAGGCGCATGGATTCCAACCAGGCTTGCAGACTCCACTATTCCTTACAGCTGATTCTTGAGAAGAAATGATGGATGATCCAAAAAGCCCAGAGGACATTTCTGGGTGGACATTCCCAGGACCCCGGGTAAGGGAAAAGCAGGGAAAGGTTCTGCCGTCTCTGAACTTGGTCATTCAACCTTCCTTCATGAGAGATTGCTTGGTCCATTTAGATGAGGTTGTCTGCCTCTGTGCAAAGGCGGTCATCCTCCTAATGACAGCACAAGGGAGGAGGAGAGGCAGGAGGGCCAGGAGATGGCTGCATGAGCTCCCATGGCTGTGATGGGCAGGTGTTTCCCCTAGGGCACAGGGCCAATGCCAGACAACCCTGTGACTCAGGGATGTGAGTCCTCCGACTAGTTGCCTCTTGTAGCTGGACCGTGCTGTTCTACCAGGAGCTGTGGGTCAGAAATCAGCTGGCCCAGGTTCTGATCCCAGCTCTGTCACCACCCGGATAATTATCACCTTTGAGTGAGCCATTTCACTTCTCTGAGCTTCAGTTTCCTCCTTAGTAAATGAGGATATTAGACTAGGCAAATTAAAAATTTCTAGTAATCTGATTCTTCCCTCAGGACTTTATTTTCATGTATCTTTCAGTTAATTTTAGTAGCAATTTTTCTTCTTCTTCCTCTTCCTCTTCTTCTTCTTCTTCTTCTTCTTCCTCTTCCTCTACTTCTTTTTTCTTTTTTTGACATGCTTTTGCTTTGTTGCCCAGGCTGGAGTGCAGTTGTGAGATCTCAGCTCACTACAACGTGTCCCCCTCCTGGGCTCAAGTGATCCTCCCACCCCAGCCTCCTGAGTTGCTGGGACGACAGGCATGCCACCATGCTCGGCTAATTTTTGTTTGTTTGTTTGTTTGTTTAGTAGAGACAGGGCCTCCCTATATTGCCCAAGCTGGTCTTGAACTCCTGGGCTCAAGCAATCTGCCCGCCTCAGCCTCCCAAAGTGCTGGGACTACAGGCATGAGGCACCATGCCTGGCTGATTTTAGTAGTAATTTTCAAACAGGGCTCCAGGAGGTGATTCAGAAGTTCTGCAAAGAATAAAGTATTCACCAATAAGTAAGGAACCCATTAAGAATATCTATTTATATATTATTATTTGAAATGAGATTTTACTTGAAAAAAGTGTGCTATTTCTATTCCATTTGAAAACCATGCAGTAGGCAACTCAAAGACAAGAAGAGCTTTTAAGACCTAATTGAATGACTTTATAATGCAGGAATTTCAGGCCAAGCGGGATGTATAGGGGAGGTCTCTCCCTTAAGGGACCCGCAATCTTGCTGCCTCCTGCACATCTCCTGCTCATCTAGAGGTCAGACCTCCAGTCCCCATATGCCTCAGTGGCCACCATTCCCCAGCAAGAGGCTTTCCACAAGCACAGGGCCTTGTGTTAATGGGAGTTACTGGCTGAACAGCAAGTTTGTCACCCCTGAGGGCTGTGGCTCTGCTACGCTTTTCTGGCACTTCAGTTGACACACATCTCTTCAAGAACATCTTATGAGAAGAGAAATACTATCACATTAAATGTTACATGTCAGTTGTGAGATGCATCCCAATTTCAGAAAATTAAAATGTGAGGAAAGATGAGTCATAGAACTCAAAAGCTGAGAAACAGCTTTCTTTGCTGAAGTCCCTGCTTTGCTATAAGAGAGACCAGGGACCATTATCTTTGTCATTTTTTCCCTGCACCCAGTCGTAAATCTGAGCCTGTTCCAGCAGCTCACAGCCTCTCACAATGTTCTTTGTGTTGGGGTGGGGTTGCTTGCTGGTAGAATGCTGCAAATTAGCTGTGCCACTCGATTAAGGGAAACTTTGCTCACAATGGTGCTTTGTGACATTTTCATCCCACTCCAGGTGAAGAAATTGACCTGCATTAATATGATGACTGTTTTTAGCACATGACTCTTTTCTTGTGCAAAGAACAGGAGCTCACGGTGGCTCCTTTGAACAGCCAGGAGTGATATTTCCACTCCTGCAATCAGTCAATCCAATACTCGAGGGTGGGAGGCACAGTCAGTTAATATTTACTTTCTACCTATCCCTGTGTTTACCTCCACAGAGCAGCCTCTGTAACAGGTGATTGATTCCTATCAGAGAAGAAAACAAGAAGAAAACGGTGGAAGAACTGAAGAGACATAGCCAGTGTTGATGAATATTTCCCTCCCTACTCCTAAACCTTCCATTTATTACCTCCACTGCAAAAACAGGCCTGAATAGTTTGAGGATTTTGTCTGGAATAAAAAAAGAAGATGCAACTCAAAATGGTTAAAATCATCAAGAAACAGGGGGATTCTGTATCTGGCTAATTTGGAGGCTCACCGATGATATCAAGCACACAGATTTCTTGTTGTTGTTTGAGACAGGGTCTCTTTCTATCGCCCAGGCTGGAGTGCAGTGGCGTGATCATAGCTCATGGCTGTCTCTATCTCCAGGCTCAAGTCTTCCTCCCACCTCAGCCAATGGCATAGCTGGGACTACAGGCACACACCATCATGCTCAGCTAATTTTTTAAATTATTATTTTTAGTAGAGATGAGGTCTCACTATGTTGCCTAGGCTGGTCTCAGACTCCTGGGTTCAAGTGATGCTCCTGCATCAGCCTCCCAAAGTGCTGGGATTACAGGTGTAAGCCACCATGCCTGGCCCTCAGATTGATTTAATCTTTCTCCTCCTCAGTCATCTTTAGCATTTCGAATATCATGCAGTAGAAAACTCTCAAAGACAAGATGAGCTTCCCTCTTAATCCCAATAAACTGCAGGATCAGCAGGCGTCATATCTTGAGAGAAGCAGAAAAGGGACCAACTTTTCCTTGAGTCTCTTTTACAGAGCTGAGAAGATTTTTTCCAGAATTTCATCCTTCCAGAGTATCCTCACTCACCAGAATTGGGTCACATGTTTATCAGTGAACAATCACTTCAGGAGGACATGACTACTGTAATTGGCTTAGGTCAGCTAAGATTCATCAGATCACACAGAGTAAAGGGAGACCTGAACAACATAGAGGCATGAGAAGGGGAACTGTCTGGTTATCAATTTCCAGTGCCTGCTACAAAGAGCTAGAGCCAACGTAATATCCCAAAATTCAGACACTGGCCTGGTTCCTGAAAGGACGTATTGCAAGTAGTTATACAAGTCTTGGCCTTTCTGCCCTCGTTGTGGTCAAATCTCCTGGGATCAAAGGAATTCCTCTGGAGACACCAGAGGTGCTGTGGGATAACCAGATGTTGTGCTGTCCTAAAAGACTCTGTCAGGGAGGCATCTCCTCTAACCCCCATATCCATCCTTCACCCTTTTTTCATTTTTCTAAAACACAGATCTGAGCAGATCACTCTCCTACTCAAAAAAATCAGGTAGCATTCCAACCTGTGCCCAAGCCAACTTCTCTTCATATTCCATATATTTTATATGTGAGTGACTGGGAATGTGTGTTACTTTTCAGTTTCCTTTGTCTTTGCTGTATCTTGAATTCCCTTCCCTACTTGCCTGCCTGATAAAATCCTACTCATCCTTCAAGACTCAAATAAAATGTCAAAAGTAACCGGCATCCCCTAATTTCCCCTTCATTTGCATCTCCACAACGATTGTTACCATGACTTTTAAGTCATTCCATTGCTATTACAGCCTCCTGACAAGTCTCTCTGCCTTTTCTTGCCTCCCTCCAATTCTAAGGCCACATGTCAGAATGATATTTCTAAAGCAATAATATAATCATGTCACTCTCTTGCTAATATCCTTTATTGGCTACCTACAGTGCACAGAATGCAGGTCTGTAACATGCTTCATCAAAGCCATGTTGATTAGGGTACCCTTTCACCTTATACTGGATGTTCTGTCGCAATGAACTATCTATAGTTTATGATTACAGTTTGTTCTTTCTCACTTCCAAGATTGTTGCAAATTATGTTGCCTATGCCTGAAATGCTTTCCCTCACCACCCCTGCAGCCTTCAGGTCTTAGCTGCCTGGTTTTATTCTTCTAAGTTTTGGTTAGTGCTCGCCTGTATGTTTTCAGAGCCCCATGGGTTTGCTCTAACATAACATCTAAGCTGCTGAGATTTCACAGATTTTCTGAGGTTCCCTCAGGACAAGGGCTGCTTTTTGTATATAGTTGTAATTCTGGCACAAAGAAAAGATTCAAATGTTTGTAAAAGACGATATTTGAGTTGATTCTTGTAGGATAAGTTGGAGCAACATAGGCCTTAAAAATACTGATTCTTTCACCCCTGTGCAATATTGATTAAGGCTCAGGCACAGTGGTGAAAACTGTTACAGCCCAATGAGTTCTTCTTGCCTGCTGTCCAGAAAAACCAATGCACTGAGAACAGCAGGTGTTGCAGCAAAGAGAGTTTAATAATCACAGGCTAGTCTAGTAGAAGGACAGGAGATAATTCTCAAATCCACCTCTCTGAGAATTCAAGGCTAGGGTTTTTCAATGACAGTTTGGTGGGCAGGTGGCTAGGGAATGAAGAATTCTTATTTGTTGGGTTGGAGATGACATCAAAGGGGGTCAAAACTGTCCACCTGAGCTGAGTCAGTTCTTGGGTGGAGGTCACAAGACCAGTTAAGTCAGTTTCTTGGGATGGGTTACTGGGTCTGGATGGTTCCAGCTGGTCCATCAGAATGCAAGGTCTGAAAAATACCTCAAACACCAGTCTTTGGTTTTACAATTATGATGCTATCTATAGGCGCAGTTGGGGAGGTTATAAATCTTATGACCTCCAGCCACATGATGCTGGAAACATAACTCTACCCTTGTGGCAAATTTGTTAATTTTACAAAGGCAGTTCTAGTTCCTGAGCAAGAAGGGGGTTCATTTTAGGAAGAGATGCTTATCGTTGTTTTAAACTATGAACTAAACTTTTCCCATAGTTAGCTTGGCTTATATCCAGGAATGAACATAGATGGTTAGCTTGTGAGGTTAGAAGGAAGACAGAGTCAGCTATGAAGATTTCTCTCACTGTCATACTTTTTGCAAGGGCAGTTTCAAAACTACAAGCCTTAACTTTTTCATGGAACTATCATTTTTAAAAGTTTCTAAAACTTTCAGCATTTGTGGACCATTTACTCTGTGTCCAAATTGCACAAATCACCAATAAATGCAAACATTTTCAAAAGATTCCTCACAATTTAAGAAATAAAACTAAATTATAATATGTTAATTTTTCATTGTTATTATTATTAATAGTTCCATATTGGTAAGAAGGATCATACTTTTTTTACCGTCTTTCATGGAAGGATCCACAGATAATTTGAGCCATTGGCCAGGTTTCTCTTTGTTCTATTAAATTACAACTGTTTTAACTCACAATGAAAATTTTGGGAGATAGTTAACAAGGTGGATCTTTCCAATGCTTCTGAGCAAATTATGGTGAGACTGCAGTAAGATGTCTCTCTCCATTCCGTTACAAAACTAGGCACTTGAGTTTGGATGTTTCAATTTGAGAGACAGTAGTGGATGAATTATTAAATCCAATCTGGGTGAGTTCAGCTTCACAAAGTACTTCATGTTTTTTTGTAGGCATGTTCTTAAATTTTTAAATATGTTCATTATGTAGGATCAGTTTATTTCCCCTGTGAGTGAAGAAAATCATCTAGGATTGAAAAAAATTGAAATGCACAGCAACCAAATCATCTGTGTCATAATTCAGTCTTTTAAAAGAAATCTTGATATCTCATCCTTAACATTAAAAAATCATTATATTTCAGCCCTGAAGTGATAGTTTTATGCTATTCAATATGTTGATAATATCATGCATATAATACTGAACAAGTCACTTGAAGTTAGAACTACCCTTTACTAGAGTAAGCATACATCCCTGGGACAGTCCCAGTTTATGTCTATTATCCCAATAAAATTAATAAAAGTGCCCCTTCTTACTCGCTGAAGTGTCCTTGATCAGACAATAAATCAGACAGTCTTCTCAATGCTTCCTGGCATTAACAGTATTATGTAATGTAGAAGTGTTTCTATATATGATTTCATATGAGTATTTTGAATAAAATTGAATTTCTATATATGGTCTCATGTGGGTATTTTTTCCTATGACAGTGTGAGAAGTAGAATTTTTTAAGTCATTGCCCATTTTCCCCCACATAGCATGCTAAATAGTTTTATTGTTGGTGGATATAATTTGATCATATTTATAATTTCCATTATTTGGTTCAACATCAAATCAAGACCAGGGATGACAGTATTGAATGCCAATGAATTCTGTAAATAAAAGAATGTGAGGCTAGGTAGTCAGGAAAAAATTCTTTTACTCTCATAAAAACCTCCTTCCTAGATGTCCACATCTGTCAACAGTGACCCAAGTTCATATCACCTCTCACAAAGGAGCTTTCAAATAATGAACACCTGCTCTTTAATAACATGAGAGTAGTGGAACTAATGCCATCAAGTGCTTCTTGTTCATGGATGAATAGGACGTGTGCCAAGGTGGATACTCTCAGCTTATCAGAGGTTCCATCCAACTGAAAAGAACACACATATACACACATGCATGCACACAACGTGAATGTGTGACAGTGAGTCCACATTATATGCTGTTGTCATTATGTGACTCCAGTGGTTCCATATGATAAGGGATTACCTAATATTTCATTCTGTTTCCTCTCAAGCACTGTATTTTAGTATCTATAGAAGTTTTATAAACTTCTTATCAACAGTGTGGCCTGTGTCTAACTTTGCAGTAAGAAATAAAACTGAATGATGTCTTAGTAATATTGGTCTCTGCCTTTAGTGACAAAATACATTGGTTCCCTCCTGAAATACATTATTCAGGGATTGTGCTAGAAAAATTTCATTAGTTTACTAGAGAGGTTACTCTTCTTTATTTGTAAATTTTGGGAAGTTTGGCTGGCTTCACACAACTGTTTGACAAAATTTCAGAACAGTGTATCAAGGAATAGGGATAAATAGATTATTAGTTCAGGAATATTCAATTTAATGGTTTTATCACTGGGCATACTTTCTTTCTGCATTTTCTTTTTTATGTTGCATGTATGAAATTATCCCATCTGCAGATCACCTTGAACCAGAGCATATAGATTCACATTCTATAGTTGCACAGAATTTCTAATCACCACTTACAATTATGACATTTTTCTGAGTTATTGTATTTATTATACTTTGTATCAATATTTTTCACTTCAGAAAGCCATTTTGAGCCTGTAGTCCATTTTTATTAGTTGGAGAAATAATAGAACTAATAATGTTAGATATAAGCTGACTTTTCTGGTAAAGCACAGTAGAAGCTTTAAGAATGAATTGGTTGTTAAGACTGTAACAGCCTTTCTATGAAAGTCATGATTTTACACTTCAGATGTGAGAGGCACATTGAACAAAAGAAAGGCTCATTGCTCTTTCTTGTAAATCTGCCAGGGGCTAGCAGTGTTCTGAGAGCACATTTTTAGAAAAGTGCCTCAAAGGGTAGGTCCACCTGTTGCCTTCATATTGATCTCTGGTCAACAGAAGGGCATAGTTTTCTCCTAAAACTACAGGACTGAAAGTCATTCTCCTGGGTGTAATGCCAAAATATCACTTTAGCACAGAGAAAATCATGTTCTCAAATGTGCTCCAGAAAAGATGTTCGTACAAGTTTCCTTGGTTACAATAGTGGTGCTTCCCAGTCCTTATGGCCTGAAAGCTCTCTCCACATTGCAAGAATGCAGAATGCTCTATCAAACAATGATATTAGTCTTTAGTAGCAATCAGAAACATTATAAAGCTTAGAACTCTAGGAGTATTTTGGCTACAAAATAATGACACTGGCCTCACAAAGCAATACATGAAAACCAATTTTGTTAAATTAATCTGTTTGTTTATTCATTCATGTAGTGATCCTTCAATTAACATTTATTGAATGATTATTTACTGAAACTTACTACAACTTCTGCCTTTATCCTCCCCACTCCACCCTATTTACCCCATTAATTAAATTTTTGTACCAGGTTCTGAGTCTCAGCTTTTAATGATTTTTTCTAAATTGAGGTGTAACTTACAGTGTTTGTACAGATTTTAAGTGTACTGTTCAAGTGGTTTTGACAAGTGTATTAAGAAGCAGAACAGTTCTATAAAATAAGTTTTAAATTGCAATTATAATAATTTAATATAACGATGGCTTTTGGATCATTTAACACCTATTTGGGCATATATTTTGATCTCTTAAACAGCATATTAGACATAGCTGAAGAGAGAATTACTGAACTAGAAGATAGATTTGAAAAAAATTACATAGGATATAGCATATATGCAAAGAAAAGAAACAGATAATATAAAAGACAAACTAAAAGATATAGAGGTTGTGTATTCAGAATATACTCAGGACTCTTACAACTCAATAATAAAAAGAATAACTCAATTTTAAAATGGGCAAGGGATTTAAACAGATATTTTCCCAAGAGACATACAAACGGCCAATAGGTGGGATTTGAACAGACATTTTTCCAAAAGAGATACACAACTGGCCAAAAACCTACATGAAAACATGTTCAACATTATTTAGTCATTAGAGAAATATACATTATACTCATAATAAGATACAACTCACTCTCCCACCACCACACACTAGGATGGCTATAATAAAAAAAAAAGTAGAAACAATAAGCATTAAGGAAGATGTAAGAATCTGGAACCCTCATACATTGCTGGTGGGAATGAAAATGATGTACTACAGTGAAAAAGAGTTTGACAGTTCCTCAAAAAGCTAAACATAGAGTTACCATAAACTCTTTATATAAACTTCTAGGTATATATCCAGGAAAAGTGAAAATATAAGTGCTCAAAAAAAAGTATACATGACAGTTTATAGTGGCATTATACATAATAGCAAAAAGTAGAAACAACCTAAGTGTCCATCACTGATAAATGGATAAACAAGATGTCACGTATCCACACAATGGAATATTATTCAGACATGAAAAGGAATGAAGTGCTGATACATGCTACAATATGGGTAAACCTCAAAAATATACTAAGTGAAAGAATACAATCACAAAAGATCACATATTACATGGTTCCATTTATAGAAAATATTCAGAATAGGCAAAGCTATAGAGTTAGAAAGTAGATTAGTGGCTGCCTAGAGCTGTACTAGGGGTAGGGAGTAAGGAGGAAAGGAGAATGACTGCCAATGAGTACAGGATTTCTTTTTGGGGTAATACAAATGTTCTATAATTAGATTGTGATGATAGTTGTACAACTCTGTGAATATATTTTTAAAAATCACCAAATTGTGATGGATGGAATGGATGGGTGGGTGGAATTTATATATTTCAATAAAACTGTTTTAAAAATATGACAGACAAGATTTAAAAAAAAAAAAGGAAATGATCACTTTCCTCACGCAATGTAAGAAACCATATCTTAGTTAAAATCCCCAAATTGCAAACAATAAAGGAAATGATTAATAAAATTAACTACACTGATAAATCTAACCGCCCTAAATTAAGATCTTCTGCTTATTGAAAGACATCTTAAAGAAAGTAAAAAGACGTGTCTGTTCATGTCCTTCGCCCACTTTTTGATGGGGTTGTTTGTTTTTTTCGTGTAAATTTGTTTGAGTTCATTGTAGATTCTGGATATTAGCCTTTTGTCAGATGAGTAGGTTGCGAAAATTTTCTCCCATTTTGTAGGTTGCCTGTTCACTCTGATGGTAGTTTCTTTTGCTGTGCAGAAGCTCTTTAGTTTAATGAGATCCCATTTGTCAATTTTGTCTTTTGTTGCCATTGCTTTTGGTGTTTCAGACATGAAGTCCTTGCCCATGCCTATGTCCTGAATGGTAATGCCTAGGTTTTCTTCTAGGGTTTTTATGGTTTTAGATCTAACATTTAAATCTTTAATCCATCTTGAATTGATTTTTGTATAAGGTGTAAGGAAGGGATCCAGTTTCAGCTTTCTACATATGGCTAGCCAGTTTTCCCAGCACCATTTATTAAATAGGGAATCCTTTCCCCATTGCTTGTTTTTGTCAGGTTTGTCAAAGATCAGATAGTTGTAGATATGTGGTGTTATTTCTGAGGGCTCTGTTCTGTTCCATTGATCTATATCTCTGTTTTGGTACCAGTACCATGCTGTTTTGGTTACTGTAGCCTTGTAGTATAGTTTGAAGTCAGATAGTGTGATGCCTCCAGCTTTGTTCTTTTGGCTTAGGATTGACTTGGCGATGCGGGCTCTTTTTTGGTTCCATATGAACTTGAAAGTAGTTTTTTCCAATTCTGTGAAGAAAGGCATTGGTAGCTTGATGGGGATGGCATTGAATCTGTAAATAACCTTGGACAGTATGGCCATTTTCACGATATTGATTCTTCCTACCCATGAGCATGGAATGTTCTTCCATTTGTTTGTATCCTCTTTTATTTCCTTGAGCAGTGGTTTGTAGTTCTCCTTGAAGAGGTCCTTCACATCCCTTGTAGGTTGGATTCCTAGGTATTTTATTCTCTTTGAAGCAATTGTGAATGGGAGTTCACTCATGATTTGGCTCTCTGTTTGTCTGCTGTTGGTGTATAAGAATGCTTGTGATTTTTTTTACATTGATTTTGTATCCTGAGACTTTGCTGAAGTTGCTTATCAGCTTAAGGAGATTTTGGGCTGAGATGATGGGGTTTTCTAGATATACAATCATGTCGTCTGCAAACAGGGACAATTTGACTTCCTCTTTTCCTAATTGAATACCCTTTATTTCCTTCTCCTGCCTGATTGCCCTGGCCAGAACTTCCAACACTATGTTGAATAGGAGTGGTGAGAGAGGGCATCCCTGTCTTGTGCCAGTTTTCAAAGGGAATGCTTCCAGTTTTTGCCCATTCAGTATGATATTGGCTGTGGGTTTGTCATAGATAGTTCTTATTATTTTGAAATATGTCCCATCAATACCTAATTTATTGAGAGTTTTTAGCATGAAGGGTTGTTGAATTTTGTCAAAGGCCTTTTCTGCATCTATTGAGATAATCATGTGGTTTTTGTCTTTGGTTCTGTTTATATGCTGGATTACATTTATTGATTTGCGTATATTGAACCAGCCTTGCGTCCCAGGGATGAAGCCCACTTGATCATGGTGGATAAGCTTTTTGATGTGCTGCTGGATTCAGTTTGCCAGTATTTTATTGTGGATTTTTGCATCAATGTTCATCAAGGATATTGGTCTAAAATTCTCTTTTTTGGTTGTGTCTCTGCCCGGCTTTGGTATCAGAATGATGCTGGCCTCTTAAAATGAGTTAGGGAGGATTCCCTCTTTTTCTATTGATTGGAATAGTTTCAGAAGGAATGGTACCAGTTCCTCCTTGTACCTCTGGTAGAATTCGGCTGTGAATCCATCTGGTCCTGGACTCTTTTTGGTTGGTAAGCTATTGATTATTGCCACAATTTCAGATCCTGTTATTGGTCTATTCAGAGATTCAACTTCTTCCTGGTTTAGCCTTGGGAGAGTGTATGTGTCGAGGAATTTATCCATTTCTTCTAGATTATCTAGTTTATTTGTGTAGAGGTGTTTGTAGTATTCGCTGATGGTAGTTTGTATTTCTGTGGGATTGGTGGTGATATCCACTTTATCATTTTTTATTGCATCTATTTGATTCTTCTCTCTTTTTTTCTTTATTATGAACAGACACTTCTCAAAAGAAGACATTTATGCAGCCAAAAAACACATGAAAAAATGCTCATCATCACTGGCCATCAGAGAAATGCAAATCAAAACCACAATGAAATACCATCTCACACCAGTTAGAATGGCAATCATTAAAAAGTCAGGAAACAACAGGTGCTGGAGAGGATGTGGAGAAATAGGAACACTTTTACACTGTTGGTGGGACTGTCAACTAGTTCAACCATTGTGGAAGTCAGTGTGGCGATTCCTCAGGGATCTCAAACTAGAAATACCATTTGACCCGGCCATCCCATTACTGGGTATATACCCAAAGGATTATAAATCATGCTGCTATAAAGACATATGCACACGTATGTTTATCACAGCATTATTCACAATAGCAAAGACTTGGAACCAACCCAAATGTCCAACAATGATAGACTGGATTAAGAAAATGTGGCACATATACACCATGGAATACTATGCAGCCATAAAAAATGATGAGTTCATGTCCTTTGTAGGGACATGGATGAAATTGGAAATCATCATTCTCAGTAAACTATCGCAAGAACAAAAAACCAAACACTGCATATTCTCACTCGTAGGCGGGAATTGAACAATGAGAACACATGGACACAGGAAGGGGAACATCACACTCTGGGGACTGTTGTGGGGTGGGGGGAGCGGGGAGGGATAGCATTGGGAGATATACCTAATGCTAGATGGTGAGTTAGTGGGTGCAGCACACCAGCATGGCACATGTATACATATGTTAATTAGAAAAGTAGAATATGGATTCTGAAAATATTGAAGGCCTAGTGGAGGATGATAAAAATAACTGCTTAGTGTAACAAGCCATGGTATTATGTGATTTTCTCCAGCAATATTAAGTAAACCTGTTAGGCTGTTATAAAAAGCAGCCCCCAAGTCTTAGTGGCTTAATGCAATACATTTTATTTTATTTCTTCCTCAAATCTCAGTCTAATGTGAGTGGATGTGGAGTAGGGCAAGGACGCTTGTGAAAAACTTTCAAATTGAAGCTATTGATTATTAATAGATATGCATATATGTGATAAAACTAAAGATAGGCAAGGAAACTGCAAATTTCAGGATAGCAGGATAATCATTACTTTTTGGAGGAGGGAAGACAATTTGATCATGTAGGGATACGCTAGGAGCTGAAGCCATTGGTTTTATTCTGTTTCTTAAGTTGGGTGACACAGGCATTCATTTCATTATTATTTATACTATTTAGATATATTAAACTTATCTGTGTGTGTCTCTGTGTCCAAATTTCCCCCTTTTGTAAGGACACCTGTCATACTGTAGGGCCCATGCTAATAACCTTATTTTAATTTAACTGCCTCTGTAAAGACCCTATCTCCAAATAAGGTCATATTCCGATGTGAGATACTAGGTGTTAGAATTTCAACCTAGCTTTCTTGGGAAGATACAGTTCAACTCAAAACAGATGGTGAGTTTATTTCCAACATCTTTAGCTTGAGATTTCTTTGAGACATTTAAGGAGGCAGTTTGATTTATTAATCTGGAATTTAGAGGAGAGGTGTGAGCACTAGGGGTGTAAAGTTGACAGTAATGAGGGTTCAGGTGATCATTGAGGCCATCAAACTAGGTGAGGTCATTTAAGAACGGAGCATTGGGTAAGAAGAGATGCCTGAGACCTGGACATTTATGAGAGGGATGAGCCCACCACTGACACTGAGAAGGAGAAGCCAAGGAAGCAGGAGAATGCAGTGGGACATAAGCCAAGAAGGGGTCTGTTTCCAGAAGGAAGGAGCAGTCAGTTGTGTAATATGCAACTAAGGTCAGTGAGATGAAGATTGAAAGCAGCTTCTGAATGACTTTAGGGGAGCTGTTGGGTGGGGGGGATAAAGTTGAAGCCAGGTGAGGGTAGGTGGGGTAGTGAGTGGGAGACAAGGAAGTGGCTGAGAGCCTGTGGACTGCTCTTGAAAGGGCTGGCTATGGAAGGGGAAGAGGCACAATGTGCGGGCTGGAGGTCCAGGTTGGGGGATGGGGTGGTCGTATTTGGTTTGTGTCTAAGATGGGAGAGGTTAGATCATGTTTAAATGTTGATAGAAACGATATAGAGGGCCGGGTACGGTGGCTCACGCCTGTAATCCCAGCACTTTGGGAGGCCGAGGTGGGTGGATCGCCTGAGGTCAGGAGTTCGAGACCAGTCTGGCCAACATAGTGAAACCTTGTCTCTACTAAAAATACAAAAAATTAACTGGGCATGGTGGCGGGCACCTGTAATCCCAGTTACTCAGGAGGCTGAGGCAGGAGAATCGCTTGAACCCGGGAGGCGGAAGTTGCAGTGAGTGGAGATCGTGCCATTGCACTCCAGCCTGGGCAACAAGAGTGAAGCGAAACTCTGTCTCCAAAAAAAAAAAAAAAAAAAAGAAAAAGAAAAAGAAAAAAAGAGAAAGAAACTATATAGGGGATTGAAGATATGAAAAAGGAGAACACATTGCTTATGGCTCTGAGAAAACAAAATAGACTTCAGAGTATGGGAAGAAGGAAGCTCTTCTATCTTAAAGGATGAAAAGGACAGAGTGTGGGTACAGATTTAGGTCATGTCTCCCAGGTAGCAGGAAGTTGAGAACATTCTTTTCTCACAACTCCTATTTTCTTGATGTGTAGGAGACAGAGTGACCTGCTGAGAGTGAGTGGCAGGGTCAATGGCTAAAGGACCATGGAGAAGGTTTGAAATCGTCATTATAATGAGTGGAACCATAAGTTAATTAGAAAAGTAGAATATGGATTCTGAAAATATTGAAGGCCTAGTGGAGGATGATAAAAATAACTGCTTAGTGTAACAAGCCATGGTATTATGTGATTTTCTCCAGCAATATTAAGTAAACCTGTTAGGCTGTTATAAAAAGCAGCCCCCAAGTCTTAGTGGCTTAATGCAATACATTTTATTTCTTCCTCAAATCTCAGTCTAATGTGAGTGGATGTGGAGTAGGGCAAGGACGTTCTGCTCCTGACAGCCATTCATGGGCCCGCCCAGGCTCTTTCCATCCAGGGGCTCTGCCCTTTTCTGGAGCTGTAGCGTCTCCCCTAGATCCAGCCAGATGATGGAGGAGAAATCATGCAGAGGGTCTTGAGATGTTTTAGGGACCAAGCCTGGAAGTAGCCTAGATCATTTCTGCCCATATACTATTGGCCAGAATTCAGTGACTTTCTGCTCCCCCTCTCTGCCCAGCTCCAACAAGGGCAGTTCAGAAATGGAGCCTATTGGGGTGCCAAAAAAGAGAAGGCAAATATTGGTAAGCAATTAGCTGTGTCTACCACGGGTGGATATTATTATATTGGAGGAACCTGTGGCTCAGAGAGGCTGTAGTTTGCCTAAAGACATACAGCTGGCAAGCAGCTGGGCTGGCATTTGAATCTAGGTCTTTGACTCCAGCACCTGAGCTCTTACCTACTATGAATGTAAGTAGATACGAACATATCAACTTTTGTTAAGCAGAATAAGAGACACAAATGGCATCGTATGGGGTGCTTACAATTAATCAGAAGGGCTGAGAACTGGCCAGGCATGGTGGTGCATGCCTTTAATCCCAGCATTTTGGGAGGCCAAGGCAGGGGGATGGCCTGAGCTCAGGAGTTTTAGACCAGCCTGGGCAACATGGTAAAACCCTGTCTCTACAAAAATTACAAAAATTAGCTGGGCACGGTGGTGCGCACCTGTAGTCCCAGCTACTCGGCAGGCTGAGGTGGGAGGATTACTTGAGCCCAGGAGTCCGAGGCTGCAGTGAGCCACACTTCAGCCCGGGCAATAGAGCAAGACCCTATCTCAAAAAAAAAGAATGACTGAGAACCAAGATCAGGCATGCAGTGCCCCAATGGGTAGAATTAGTGACCTTTAAAAGAGGACCCAGAAAGGGAGGGCTGCCTCACCTCTACCACCATCTGAGGAAACAACCACAAGCCACCATCTATGAACTGGGAAGTAGGCCCTCACCAGACACTGAATCTGCCTTAATCATGGACTTCTCAGCTTCCAGAACTCTGAGAAATAAATTGCTGTTGTTTATTGAAAAGAAAAAAAAGTGCAGCATAGTGCACTGGATACAGCGAGGACTCCAGAGCTAGGGTGGCCAGGTTTGAATCCCAGTTTAATTGCTCATTAGTTGTGTGTGTTTGGGAAAGTTATCTCTTTGAGCCTCAGTTTTTCTTATCTGTAAAATGGGTTAATAATACTTATCATATAAGTATGCAATTGTTGTATGAGGGTTGTATGAGGATTAAGTGATTTAGCATAGGAATACCTGCTGTGATTATTACCAGATGACTTTTGAGATGGGCATATAAGCATGGGTAGGATTCTGTGGCAGGGGAGGTGTAGGAGTGGAGGAAGCAATATTTTAAAAGGATAGGAATGGGAAAGTGAGGGGTGCTCAGAAAATAACTGATTTTCCAGTTTGGCCGAGGTAGTGGGATGCCCAGCTAAGGGGTGTCTTCCTAATTCCAAAGATAATATGGAACTTTTGAAGGTTTTGAGCAGGTATATGATAAGACTAGGGTTTTATTTTGGGAACTACAACTGGCAGCCATATAGTGTGAATTATAGTGGGAAAGACTGACTCTATACTCACTGAGTAACCTTCTTGATGGAAATTTTTTCTTAAGTAAGCTCTTATACTGGCAAGTAAATGTGTTGAGCAGCTGATAAAATATTCTAGTTTATTTTGCAGTCATATTTCTCAGGATAAATAATATAATCTCATGGTTTATAAATCAGTCTATCCATCCATCCATCCATCCATCCATCCATCCATCCATCCATTGATTGAGTTGCTTATTACCTTAAAATGCACCTCCTTCTACCTGGATGTAAGAATTTTAAACATATGCAAATATAGCAGTTAAATAAATAATAAATGAAAATTAAAAATGATATGGAAGAAATGAAAAGGTAATTATCTAGGATAAAGATCTAGAATAAAATGATAAATCCAACTGATCATCATTAGCTCTAGCATCCTGAAAGTCCAGGCATAAAGGAAATCTGAATTGTGCAGTTCTTATTGACAAATAAAAGAAAATGTATTTTTAAAGACATCAGTTTTTTCTCTCTGGAGTCAAATAGAAAATTAGCATATACTTTCTAGTGATGTTCAGTTTTTTAGACAATGAAAAATCAATCTTCATATAGTCATTTCTTTTTTTCTTTATTTTTTAAAAGTCTTTTGAGATAGGGTCTCACTCTGTTCCCCAGATTGGATTGCAGAAGCATGATCACAGCTCACTGCAGCCTTGATTTCCTGGGCTCAATTGATCCTCTCATCTCAGCCTCCCAAGTAGCTGGGATTATAGACGCATGCCACCATGCCCTGCTAAATTTTGTATTTTTGTATTTTTCTTTTTCTTTTTTGGTAGAGACAGGTTTTTGCCATGTTCCCCAGGCTGGTCTTGAACTCCTGGGCTCAAGTAATCCTCCTGCCTCGGCCTCCCAAGGTGTTGGGATTATAGGCATGAGCCACCATGCCAAGCCCATATAGTCATTTCTAACGACTAGCTGTCATGAGCAGTCCCTCAGAGCCCAGTAATTTCTCTGAATTTGTAGAGGAGATTTTCTGAATCTACAAAACCAAAGGCTTGTAAAGAATAACCATGGATGGCTGGGTGTGGTGGCTCAGGCCTGTAATCCCAGCACTTTGGGAGGCTGAGGCAGGCAGATCATTTGAGGCCAGTAGTTCAACACCGGCCTGGCCAACATGGTGTAACCCTGTCTCTACTAAAAATACAAAACAATTAGCTGGGCGTAGTGGCACACGCATGTAATCCCAGCTACTTTAGAGGCTGAGGGAGGAGAGTTGCTTGAACCCGGGAGGTGGAGGTTGCAGTAGCCGAGATGAGGCCACTGCACTCCAGCCTGGGTGACAGAGTAAGAGTCTGTCACCAAAAAAAAAAAAAAAAAAAAGAAGAAGAAATGGAATAACCATGGGTGTTTTGTCCTAAACACATAGATCAAAGGCATAGTAGCAATGAGAGGGCTATGTTTTGTCTGTCACAGAGGATGAAGTCCAGGAGGTATTCTTACCACAGAAATAGTCTAGCTAACTTTTTATTAGAAAAGTAGGTGATTTCAACCTACTTTTAAATATGACATATTTTAACATATAGAAAAGCACAGAAAGTAATAATGAACATCCATGTTTCCACTATCAATAATTCATATTCCCGTATTTTCATATTTGAATGTGTTTTTTTTTTCAAGAAAAGCTTGAGAGAGAGAGAGTGAAAGCCTCTTTTTCACTTCATCTGATTCCAGCTGTCTCCTTTTTCACTAGATGTCTTTCTTGTTTTACTGCAGACGTATGTATACATAAACAATATATGATATTAATTTGTATGAATTAGAACTTCACATAAATGGTGTCAAACTATAGGAATTATTCTGCAACATTTTCATCCACTATTATGTATTTGAGATTTATTCATCAATATCTACATATAGATGTAGTTCATTCACTATTCTATTATGAAAAAATATATATATTTCTGTTCTCCTATTAATGTATATATGAGTTGCTTCCAATTGTTCATTACTACAAATAATGCTGCACTATTATTATGTATAAGGAGCATCCTTATACGCATCTCCTTGAGCACGTGTGCAAGAGATTCTCTTAGGAATATATTCAGAAATGAAATTGCAGAATCTTGAGGTATGAATATTTAAAATTCTATTAGATATTATCTAACTGCTCTCTGAACTGGTTGAACTAATATATACTACCACCAGCAGAATATTAGAGATCTTGTTTTATTCTAGCTCCTGTTTTAAAGTAAAAGCCTTCTTTTCTTAAAAAAAAAAATTGCCATACTTTTTTTTTAAATAAAAATAATGTGTGAATTGGTAGCTCAATGTTTTGATTTCCAGGACCATTGATGAAGAATTTTGTCTTTTCAAACATTTATTGAGCATCAGGTATGCTCTTCTGGGAAATGCATGAACAAATCCTTTACCCATTTTTTACATCTGGTTATTTGATTTTTCCCTTATATGTCTGAGTGCCATATATGGTCTTCCTATCATCTAGTTTTGGATTACATGAGTTTTAAATACGTACTTCTCTCTGAGACTTTAAAAAAATATTGGTGGTGTCTTTGCCCTATAGAAGTTTTAAATGTACCAACCTGAAATCTGATATAAGACTAAACTCACCAAAATGATGCCTATATTCCACTTTTTGTTAGATAAACAGAATCCTACTTTTGTTATTTCATTATTTGTTTTAGAATAGGCTAAAGTTTGGGAGAACTCATTAGGATGGGTGGCAAAAGAAATGAGCCAGGCTTCAGGAATATCTCACACACAGCAGCCTGGGGAAGGGACCTCCTGCAGCTAAAGCAAAGGAGATCTCAAGTTCTTTGTTACCGGCAGGAAAAGAAATTGTCCAAAAATGTACACTCAGGCATAGGAGAAAACCTGAAACTGTCTTCAAATTATTTCATGTTCTAGAGAACATTAAAAAAAATTGTTTCTTTGAAGGCATATGGACTAGATAAGGAGGGCATAAATTTCATTTTTTTCCATGAACTTGTATTTCCTTTTTCTCAATGACAGGATGTACCATAGGGCCATGGTGTGTTATGTCCTCTCCCGACAGTGCCCCCACTCTGTTTAACTTCCCTTGACTAATATCCCTGAATCCACCACTCTAAAAAACTTTCCATCTTTTCCCAATAACAACCAGTTAGATGTTTTGATAGAAAAAAAAATTATTCCAATAATAAAAATTACAAAACTCCCAGGAATAGATTTAGAAAGAAATGTCCAGATGAGCTCTATTGAGGAACATAAAAGATTTTAATTACGGTAGAGAAATGCTGTTGTCCTGGATGAGAACAGTCATTATTGAAAAGATGTCCATTTTCCAAAATTAATAAAATGCCTAAGATAATTGCCAATAAGAATTCTAAAGCATCTTGGCAAAATAATTCAAAATTTATCCAAAGAATAAACTGAATAGTCAGAAAACTTCTAAAAACATGAGTAGGCCAGGCGCAATGGCTCCCACCAATAATCTCAACCTTTCGGGGGCCAAGGTGGGAAGATTGCTTGAGCCCAGGAGTTCAATACTGGCCTGAGCAACATAGCAAGACCCCATCTCTACAAAAGTAAATAAATAAATAAAATAAAACCAAGAGTAATAAATTATAACAGCCTTGCTAGATTTTTTTAATGTGCAAAATTGGACCAAAACACAAAGTTCAAAAGCACATACAAGAAATTATTAAATGATGAATATGACTTTAAAAATCAGTTTCAAAGGGATGGACAATATATGTTGTGAATAATTATCTAACCAATGTAAAGTTAGATCACTACTTTACAGAGTATGCCAGAATAGATTCCATATAAATTAAGGGATTAATTTTAAAAATGAAATCTAAAGGCCGGGCACGGTGGTTCACGCCTGTAATCCCACCACTTTGGGAGGCCAAGGCAGGCAGATGACGAGGTCAGGAGATTGAGATCATCCTGGCCAACATGGTGAAACCCCCTCTCTACTAAAAATACAAAAACAACATTAGCTGGGCGTGGTGGCGGGCGCCTGTAGTCCCAGCTACTTGAGAGGCTGAGGCAGGAGAATGGCATGAACCCAGGAGATGCAGCATGCAGTGAGCCAAGATCGCACCACTGCACTCCAGCCTGGGTGACAGAGCAAGACTCCATCTCAAGAAAAAAAAAAAAGAAATCTAAAATTATCAAAAGAATTTGGATTTTGATATTTATATATCCTTAAGAGGGCAGATGGCCTTCCTAAGAAAAACCAGAGAATATAATAGAAAAAAGTTAATAGAAATAATTACAAAGGTTCTTATTGGTCATGATGATGATGATGATGGTGGTGATGAGAAATACAGTTAAAAGAAAAATTACAATCTTTATCTTTAATATGCAGATAAGTCTTATGCCTAAAAGGACACATACTGAACAGCTGAAAAAATAGTCATGTAGAGAGAGGAAGGAAAAACATTCACTTCTTACTTTGCACATTTTTTAAAAAACAAGAAAATATGGTAAGATTATTGGCAATTTTTACCCTTTTCCTCCTGTATTTTCCAGGTTTTAATTTTTTGAATAATAAGCATGTGCTATTTTGTTTATCAGGCAAAAACTGCATGCTTTTAAAAGTACCTTTAAGGCCTTACAGTAAGCTAAAGGCTTACGTAACTGTAAGAAAGAAACACTTTTAAAAATTAATTTTAAAAAGACAATCATCCCAAATGAAAAATAAGCAAAGGACATGACTATGAGAAAGCAGTTCATAAAAGAAGTAAAAATGACCTATGGGCATAACAAAATATATTTCACGAGTAATCAAAGCAATACAAATTAAAATAATCATGAGATATCACAGTGGTCTGTGAAACTGGCAAAGATTAAAGAGAAAGAGAAATAATATTCAGAGCTGGTAGAGGTTTGAGGAAACTGCTAAGTAGCGGTAGTGGGAATACAAATTGCTACAATAAGGCAGTTTGACAAATATATTACATCTTAAAATGTGCTATCTTTTGACTCCAAAATTTTGTCTTTAACAATTTTTCCTAAAAAAAAATATCAAACAAGAACACAAAGACTATCAAAGTGTTATTTGTAATAGTGAAAACTGGAAAATGACTAAATGTTCATCAATAAGGGAGAGGTTAGCCTGGGTAAGGTGGCTTACACCTGTAATCTCAGCACTTTGGGAGGTCAAGGTGGGAAGATCACTTGAGGTCAGGAGTTCGAGTCCAGCCTGTGCAAGAAAGTGAAACCCTGTCTCTGCAAAAATAAATAAATAAATTAGCCAAGCATGCTGGTGTGGGCCTGTAGTCCCAGCTACTAGGGAAGCTGAGGCAGGAGGACCACTTGAGCCTGGGAGTTTGAGGCTGTAGCAAACTGTGATTGCACCACTGCAGTCAAGCCTGGGTGATAGAGCAAGACCCTGTCTCTGAAACATGAAAATAAAATAAAATAAAAAATACGGGAGAGTTTAAGTAAACAGTGATACCACTATAGAAATAGACTACTGTACAGACCTTAAATAATTATTTAGAATTATATTTATGCAACTGGAAATATGTCCACAGAAGAGTGGGAAATACTGGTTATAAAACAGAATTTATAACAATCACATTTTAAAAGTATGTGTGTGCACGTGTCTGCGTGTATGTGTGTGTATATGTGTGTGTGTATACAAAAGCAGAGAAAAAACTCTGGAAAGGAATGTCTTTCTCCTGCCCCACTCAATTTTTAAGGGAGCTTTTCTGGATGGTATACAGGTGATCTTCGAGTGGGTTTTCTTTATAATTCCTTTATTTGATCAAAAAGTTTTTAGTAAGCATACATTAGTTTATACTCAGAAAAAAAAATAGTGCTAAAAAAACCCCCACCATCTCATAAGCACATCACACCCTCTGGGGCATCCCAGATTCTACCCTGTTTGCTGTACATGTATTTAACTGTGAAGCATTATGGGTTCTATTCAGACAGACCTGTGATAGAATCCAAGCCCCAACTCATGAGATGGATGACTTTGGTTAAGGCTTAATTTCTCTAATGTTCAATTTACGTGGTTTAGGGATATGAAAACTATTTCAGAAGGTTATTAGAGGAGGCAATAAGGTGCTGAAAACATATGGGCTGCCCCTAACTTCTGTGAGGCCCAGGGGAGTATATAAATGATAGTCCTCATCTCATATGTTAAATGGAATATACTATTACTCTTCATAGGTATACCTTCATATATTAAGTAATCTTCATAGTGACAAAATTGAAAATTTTGGGTAAAGCTATGTTTTTTATGTACTTGAAAGGTGGCAAAATATCAACAGCTACTGAATTAAATTATTACTGCACATGTGTAGATGTTCTGATGATGAGTTGGTCATGTTCATATGACCAGAAAAAGAAAAATACATGTAATTAGTAAGTAATCAGACATTTATTGTCTAAAATTTAGTTTTCATGTCTTCATGCTTATTTCTGCAGGCGGTTACTACCTCATCTTGTTGCTATAATGAAGAATTTTACCTGATTTATGTTCTATTGAGAGTAAATATCTGAAGGATTAAAATGTAATTTTATTCAAAGTATACATAATTTGCATGTACCTTTCATTTTAAAAGTACAAGTGGAAATATTAAAATTTTGAATTGTTTTTATTTGTATCTTAAAAAGTTATTTTTCTCCTAAGATATTTTAAAGTATACATTAAATTAAAAGGCAAATACAAATTATAACAAATGACTAACAATTTTTAAAAAATAATTTCAACTTTTATTTTAGATTTGGGGTACATGTGCAGGTTTGTTATGTGGGTATATTGTGTAATGTGGAGGTTTGAGGTAGTTCCATCACCCAGGAAGTGAGCATGGTACCCAGTAGTTTTTCAACCCTTGCTCTCCTCCTTCCCTCCCACTCCTAGTAGTTACCACTGTCTATTGTTGCCATCTTTATGTCCATGAGTACCCAATGTTTATCTCTCATTTATAAGTGAGAACATGTAATATTTGGTTTTCTGTTCCTGAGTTAATTTGCTTAGGATAATAGCCTCCAGCTGCATCAGTATTGCTGCAAAAGACATGATTTTGTTCTTCTTTATGGCTGAGTAGTATTTCACGGTATATACATACCACATTTTCTTTATCCAATCCACCATTGATAGGCACCTGGGTTGATTCCACGTCTTTGCCATTGTTTGCAGTACGATGATGAACATACAACTATATGTGTATTTTTGGTAGAACGATTTACTTTCTTTTGGGTAATGGGATTACTGGGTTGAATGGCAGCTCCAAGTTCTTTGAGAAATCTCCAAACTGCTTTCCACAGTGGCTGAAGTAATTCACATTCCTACTAACAGTGTTCAAGTGTTTTTCTCCAAAGCCTCACCAGCATCTGGTGTTTTTTGGCTTTTTAATAATAGCCATTCTGACTGGTGTGAGATGGTATCTCACTGTGGTTTTGATTTGCATTTCTCTGATGATTAGTGATGCTGAGCACTTTTTTATATGTTTGTTGGCTGCTTGTATGTCTTCTTTTGAGAAGTATCTGTTCATAAAATGACTAACATTTTTAAAAATCAAATTTATTTAAATATGTCTAGATTTTCAATTTTTTAATACATGTAATCAAATCATATTAAATACTTTTATTAAAAATGACATCATTGCCAGGCATGGTGGCTCACGCCTGTAATCCCAGCACTTTGGGAGGCCGAGGTGGGCAGATCACCTGAGGTCAGGAGTTTGAGACCAGCCTGGACAACATGGTGAAACCCTATCTCTACTAAAAATACAAAAATTAGCCAGGCATGGTGGTGGGCACCTGTAATCCCAGCTACTCAGGAGGCTGAGGCAGGAGAATCGCTTGAACCCGGGAGGTGGAGGTTACAGTGAGCTGAGATCACGCCACTTTACTCCACCCTGGGTGACAGAGCAAGACTCCGTCTCAAAAAAAATAAAAAGGATGTAATTTGCAGTTCTAGTGCTTAATGT
Source organism: Homo sapiens (assembly GCF_000001405.40). Lineage (NCBI taxonomy): Eukaryota > Metazoa > Chordata > Mammalia > Primates > Hominidae > Homo > Homo sapiens. Next base: position 98,750,058 of record NC_000004.12, on the reverse strand, counting down.
CTATCAAGCTGCCAATACAGAGAATTGGTATCGTACTTTGAGCAGGCATTCTAAAAACTTTTGGTTTCATGATTCCTTTAAACTACAAAAATTACTGAGAACTCCAAATAGCCTTTGTTTACATGGAATACTTTATCGATATTTATATCTTAGAATTAATACTGGGAAGTTCCTAAAACACAAGAATACATTAATATAGACACCATTAGCTATCAGAGCAATAATGGCATAATGTGTCTTACAGCCTCTAGAAAACTCCACTGTACACCTATGAAACCATGAGAAAAAAAAGGCAAATACTGTCCTAAGAAAAAACAGTTCGATCTCACAGACCCTAAAAGGCTCTGGGGACTTGAGGAGTCCCTAGAACCACCAACCTAGAACCACATGCTACACATTTAAGAACAATATACATTGTTTAATACTGCAACATGACCTTTGTCCTCATGTGCCACTGTTGCAAATACTGTGCTAATCTGTGAATACTTTTGCATCCACCAAATGGAATCTGAAAAGAAGCAAGAAAGTGGGCACTCACCACTACTACTAAATGATACTTCATTATGCAAGAATCTACTGCATTAGAGCTACCTAACAGATGGCTCTGACAAGTTAATTTGTCTTTTCTCTTACTTAAGTACTTCCTCCACTTTCCCTAGGGACCCTGAGTGGTATTAGTTCCCAGAGCTGTGCCAGCTCTCATCATCATATTCCAAATGCTACTTTCTGGGTCTTCTCAGCCCCAGCCAGTAACTTTCCAGTATCTTCTAATTGGAAATTCAGTTATATTCCCCCTTCCTCAGGGTTTTCTTCCTCCCCTTTTTGTGGTGTCTATCCTAAACTCCTGGAGGCTTATGGAAAATCCCACTGAAGCCACCAGAGGAGGAAAATGGGTCCACTCTGGTCTCCTATCACAGCCCCCACCCCATCCCACGTCACCTGGACCAGCCTTGTTCTTGGTGCGCACAGCCCATGGTGCTTACTCCTACAGATGGTGAGAGCCCATCTTCATATGAGTGTCCATTCTGCTCCCACTTAGCACCACGGAGCTGAGGATGCCTCCAAGACTGCAGCCGCAACTTTCTCCCATCACTGACACAAGTCTCGTAATCCAGGTCTCCTACTTCTTGGATCTTCACTTTGACCCAAGCAATCCTGGAGCAGCACTGCTCCTCTCTTTCTCTCTCAGTTACCTGCAAAATCTTCTGGGGCACTTGGAAGCCACTAGGAACATGGGGTCAGCTATTGGCCCTCTGGTGGTTAGATCTTCCATACCATTTTCCTGTTGGCCTTCTCCAAACAGACATCAAATATCCAGATGAAGAACAGGACATGAGTTCTCTCTGCCTTGGATCTCTTCATGTTTCATGGGGCATCTGGTCACTCTTCCCCCAGGATGTATTCCAGGGTATAGAAGCACAGTACAGGGACTTCATGCTATAATTTATAATTTTCCTTGACTGCAAACTCTTTTCCCTCTCTCTGGCTCAAAGCTCTTTATTGGTCATGATGGCAGAGCAGATGAGGTACCTGCTCTGTATATTCACATACCCCCTGTAATCTCTCCAGTTTTATGCCAGAGCCCTTAGTGTTTTCCCTAAAAAGCTAAGGTTGTTTTTTTCTTTGCATCTCTACTCTTTCTATCCAGTCTCCACTGGAGCAAATGTAAGCACCATGTCTCTGGGCCTGATGAGAGTGGTCAAGGGGATGAACATCGGCTACCACATTACTATCTGCTGCCTACACTTTACTCACTAGATTTTGTGCTCTTTCCGCCTTTTTTTTTTGTGGTAAACATAATATGTTTTCAGCTGATTATTGCTTATTCATGAACATAGATCCTTTGTGGTTTGCAATACAGTCATTAAGATCGTTGTACTGTTCGGCTCCCTTGCAGTCACAGGAATGAATTTCATGCTGAAATAGGACCATGAGCCCAAGTGCTGGCTGAGGCCCACTGGGCTGGGCCTTCTGGCTTGCCACTTAAAAAAGGCTTGCTATGGCAAGGGTTTTAAGCTACCCGCCTGGTCTCCCCACAGTCCTTCCCTACTTCCTTGTTCTAGTCACTTTACAATTGCTCCCTCCGGAGCTTGGCTACTTTCCCTAAGGCTTTTTCAAAGGGCCTCTTATGTGCACATCCTCCTATCTTTTCACGCTGAGGATTACTTCAAAGGCTCAGCAGCCATGGGAAGGGAAGAATGACAATAAAATAAATCCCAACTGCAGAAAGGTTTGCTTTGGCAACTGCTTGATTGTTCTGTAGGTGGGGAGGTGCCTGCTCTGACCTCTGCAGCTCACTGGTCCTCACAGCTCATTACAGATGTTTTCCTTTGGTCTGGTTTCTTACTGTCCCTTCTGAGGCTCTGAGCCCCTACTTCTAGCAGGCTTATGTAAATTTCCCCAGGCCTCAGCTGCTCCTTCTTCCATTGATCCCTTTATCTGTTGCCAAGACTGATTCTCCTAATCTTGCTCTGAGCCTCCGTGTTTCCACTCAGGAGGGGAAAGTCTCAAACACTCTGAAGGTGGGGCACTCTGCTATTTTGCGCTGCAATTTATTTCAAGGTCACTGGGCAGGACTAGAGTGAGTGACCGGAAGACTGGCCTATCAGAGAACCGGCCTATCAGAGAGCCTGCCCATCCAGAGTGCTCAGAAAACACTTGTGGGCCTCAGTCTAAATCCTGAAACCCTACCTCCAGTATTGTTGCTTTGTGCAGGGGTTGCCAATTAAAAATAAAAAATAAAACGTTGTGTGAACCAAACCAATCACTGGCTGAATTCACCTGACTGATCCCCAGTTTAGGACCCTGGAAGACTTGCCTGAACTGGGAATCCTTAATTCTTTTTAAATAATGAGGGCCTTCTCTTGTAGTGTTTTTTTGCTTTTGAAAAAGCCTGAGTCATAAAGTCCAGGAATCTGGCCCCACAGCTGCCAGGATAAATGTCTGCTTAGACATCCACGGGGATGTCTGTCCTTCAGTTGAACATGGAGGTCTGGCTAAGTGAAATATTAAATCCTTCTCTTGACGAAATAGGGCCCAGAAAGCCTCCTTCTTTCGTTGCAGACCAGGCAGGTCCCTACTGACTGGATGGCTCTTTTGCTGCTACTACTATCAAGTGAATCCAGTGGATAGGGAGGTGAAAAGGCAGGACACCCATTGATCTTTTTGGTTCTTTCCAGAGGTTCCATATCCTTGGCTTGCCTCTCATGGCTGCTGCCTTTCCCTTCCCCACTGACTCACCCACACCATGAAATGTCAGTGCAGCTGGACAAACACAGAGTGCCCAAGTTAAAGCACTAAAGACCTTTCCTGGGGCCTCAAGCATGTTGATGATGAGAGATTGTTTCTTAAAAGAAAACAGTCCCACAGAGCCTATGCCACCTGCTATCAGACACTTCCTGCCTGTGTGATATAATTTGAGAGTTGGGCTGGGCACGGTGACTCATGCCTATAATCCCAACACTTTGGGAGGCTGAGGTAGGAGGATCATTTCAGCCCAGGAGACCAGCCTAGGTAACAAAGCAAGACCCTGTCTCTACCAAAAAAAAAAAAAAAAAAAAAATTAGCCAGGCACAGTGGCAGGTGGCAGGAGGTTGAGGAGGAAGGATTGCGGGAGCCCAGTAGTTTGAGGTACCTGTGAGCCATAATGGTGCCATTGCACTCCAGCCTGGGTGACAGAACAATACCCCAACTTGAAAAAGAAACAAAATTTAAAAAATTGAAAGCAATCTTTTATGATGCATTCTCTAAATTGCTCTGAATTCTTTAGGAGGTAAATTATTTTAGTTTTGTGTTTTGTTTGCACTAAGCTAACTTAAAAAGTACTAGGACAACAAATGACCCATGTGAAATTCTGTCCATGCAATATTAGATCAAGACATGGACTAATATGGCAATTTCCAGGAGTCCTGATCGTGTGTGTGCATGCGTGCACGCAAGCGCACTAAGAACTCATTGGAAATATAATGAGAGGTGAAAATTACACTCACCAAATTCCTTTCAGGGAAAGTACTGCATGTGGTTCAAAGAAATAAAGCTCTTATACAGCCACTTGGATTGAGAATTAGAACCTCTAAGAGGCACCCTTGAATAAAAATAGTTGGTCAACTAACTACGGTCTAAGGAAGATGAGTGCAATTAACACTAAGCTTTTGTTTCCCTTAGTGAGGTGCAGCCAAGGCAGGATTGCTGGGTCAACAGAGGAGATGCTGAGTCCTGGCATCCATGTCCTCCTGCTCCACCCATCTGCCCGAACATTTTGTCATCTCCCGCAAACATTAAGCTGAAAATCCTAGAATATTTTTAAAATATTAATTTGAAACAGTGTCAAAATGTTAGCTTGCCAAGGAGCTCGCACATGTTGGCTGAGACCCTGGACCTCAGGAGTCTGACCTCTTGGAGATTTGACTGGTTAATATCATGGAGGCAGCACTGCTCATCTGGAGAGTTTTTAAAACTAGGTGATTTGAGTGTGTCCTGGTTCCAGAGCGCCCTCTTGGGGAGTGGATAGTAGATTGGGAGATCTCAGAGAACATATGCTTTAGGGATAAAAGAGGAAACAGGACATATGTGCAGTTACTCAGTCAATCTTTACAGGTCATTGCATCTAATGGTACTAAACACCCTAGTTCTATTACCCCCGGTGTAAAAGTAGGTAGCTGGGCAGACATGAGCAGGGTAGGAGAGGTCCCCACAAGGAATGTCAGGTGACCATCAGGTGATGCTCAAGTTGTTGTTAACTGTCACTCTAAAATAATAATTGGACACAGCTGGCACCAGAGAAAGGCAGGCTCCCATTAGATAGAAAACACCTGAAGTGGGTGATCAGCGGCTTCCTGATAAGATCTCAGGAGCTGAGTAAGTGGACTCAAGCATGTGCCCTAAAAGGCAAAATGGTGGTGTTTAACTGGTATATGAACTTCTTCTAAGAATATTCGGCTGGTGTATTAGTCTGTTGTCATGCTTCTATGAATTATACCCAAGACTGGGTAATTTATAAACAAAAGGGATTTAAGTGACTCACAGTTCCACATGGCTGGGGAGGCCTCAGGAAACTTACAATCATGCCAGAAGGGGAAGCAAACACATCCTTCTTCACAGGGTAGCAGGAATCAGAAGTGCTGGCAGGGGAAAGCCAGATGCTTATAAAACCATCGGATCTCATGAGAAGTCACTATCATGAGAACAGCATGGGTAACCACCCCCATAATTCAATTACCTCCCACTGGGTCCCTCCCATGACACATGGGGATTATGGGAACAACAATTCAAGATGAGATTTGGGTGGGGACACAGCCAAACCATATGAACTGGTAAGGGAAAAACACCTCAAATGAACATGCACAAAACTTTGGTAAGCACACTGCACATGTAGCCCCTCCTAAGTCCTGGCAGGCCACCACATGCAGACAGCCTGCCCCAAGGAAAAAATCAAGGGAGAGACACAAACCCTGGAACCATGCCAATGTATAAACCTCCAAGTGAAGGGCTGAAAGTGCACTTGGATCTTTCAAGTTGCCTGCTTGGCCCTCTTCCAAGTATACTTTACTTCCTTTGGTTCCTGCTCTAAAACTTGCTTTGGTCTCTCAATCTGCCTTATGCCTCTCCAGTGAATTCTTTCCTCTGAGGAGCCAAGAATCGAGTTGCTGCAAACCCATACGGATTCACTGCTGCTAACACTGGCACCATCTCATTCTCACCAAGACCCATCTGAGATGAGTTGACTCCACATAAAGAGTCTCTGGGCCCCACACCTGAAGCTCCCACCAGTAGGAATTAGGAAGGCAGGTAGCTGTACTATAGGTAAATGGACGAGGTGGAGGAGAAAGGGCCTGCAGAATGAAATGACTTTTCAGAGATTCTGGAGAGGCATCTGGGCCATGGGTAAGGCCATCTGCAGAGAGGCTGAATATGATGGACCTCCTCTGTACCCAGAAGCTATGGTCTGAACATTTGTGTTCTCTCACCCACAATCTATTATTGAAACCTAATCACCAAAGCAATAATATTAAGAGGTGAGGGCTTTAGGAGGTGATTAGGTCATGAGGGCAGAGCCACATGAATGGGATTAGTGCTCTTATAAGAGAGGCTAGAGGGAACTTATTCTGCCCCTTCTGCCACGTGAAGACACAGCTGGAATGCATCATCTATAAGGAAGGGGCCCTCACAGGACACCGAATCCGCTGGAGTCTTGGTCTCAGAATTCTCAGCCTTCAGAACTGTGAGCAATAAGTTTCTACTGTTTATAAATGACTAGTCTAAGGTATTTTTGTTAGAGGAGCCCTAATGGAAGAAGATAGAGCTATTTGGTTGAAGTCTCTTGACCTAGAATGTAGCCATAAAAGAGCCACAAAAATCTCTTTAGGTCAAATTCATGTATTCTGCCCCATGTGGTTTGCCATCCCAAGCACCTAGCTCTACCCTGTAAGTCATTATTTATGTGCCCATCTTCTCTATTAACATGGGTTCTCATTTTGTTTGCCCTGTCTTTCCAGGAAAGGATAAGCTTCTTCCTTAAGTCTCGGGCTCAGAGTAGAGCTCCATGCACAGAGAGGGCTCAGGGAATGCTAGAAGCCTATGTTTACAACAAACTTGGTCTTGCAACTTCTTCTTCTCTACAGCTTATCCCAGGTCCCTTCCGCAGTGGAAGACCCTTTCGGGCTTTACTTGAAGTTTTCACTAAAATGAAAAGCAAATGTGGTTTATTACAATTGGTCTTTGTTTAGGCAAAATGAAGTATATTTTACCCTAATTAAAATGTTAAAATGGAAAATTTGGAGTCAACCTTAGACACTTTTAAAATAAGGGACTGTGCCTGTCCATGTGCCTGTGTGTGTGTGTGTGTGTGTGCTTGGTCCTCACTTAATGTCTCTAGTTGCTCATATGTTCTTGAACTCCAAATAAATATAAGGGAAATTATTTGACTTGGTCTGCATATGGAGTTGGGATTGTTCAATCTGGAGACATGAAGTCTAAGGGGCAATAGCCTGTGGAAAGTCATTGTTAAATAATAACTTTAAAAAGAAAATCAAAAACAGGCAGGGCACGGTGGCTCACACCTGTAATCCCAGCACTCTGGGAGGCCAAGGTGGGCAGATCATTTCAGGACAGTTTGGTCAACATGGCGAAGCCCCATCTCTACTAACACTACAAAAAAAATTAGCCAGGCATAGTGGTACATACCTGTAATCCCAGCTACTAGGGAGGCTGAGGCACAAGAATCACTTGAACCTGGGAGGCGGAGGTTGCAGTGAGCCAATATCATGCCACTGCACTCCAGTCTGGGCAACAGAGACAGAGTCTGTCTAAAAAAAAAAAAAAAAAAAAAAGAAAAACAGCTTAGATTGCTGCACGAGAGATTTTTATATTAACGAAAATCATTTAATGTTGGAATAGGTTACATCAAGAAGACATAGAATTTTCTCCAAGGGTCACTAAAATAAATCTTGTAAGTTACTACATAGTTTGGCACTGGTTCTAACTGAAGGAAGGTGGGACATCTTTCCCCACATTTTTAGCTGAAGAAAATAATCCTGATAATGGTTCCTCCAGCTTTAATTTAGTTTTTGATCTTCTATGCATTTATAACCAAGGGCAAACTGGTTCTACTAGACAAATCCTGCTTAATAATACATTTTCATGAGAAAAGATAGTGTGGACTAGTACAGAAAAAGAATTTTAGGCTGGGCGAGGTGGCTCACACATGTAATCCCAGCGCTTGGGAGGCTGAGACAGGCAGATCACCTGAGGTCGGGAGTTTGAGACCAGCCTGGGTAACATGGTGAAAGCTCCTCTCTACTAAAAATGCAAAGGAATTAGTGGAGTGTGGTGGAACAGGTCTGTAATCCCAGCTACTCGTGAGGCAGAGGCACAAGAATCGCTGGAACCCGGGAGGAGGAGGTTGCAGTGAGCAGAGATGGCGCCACTGCACTCTAGCCCGAGACTCCATCTAAAAAAAAAAAAAGAAAATCAAATGCATGTGTAATTTATGTATTATTATATTGAGATCAAATTTTTAAAAAATTGTGGAAAAGAATATGCCTCAGCATCCTTTAAACACTAGAAAATAATAATCTACAATAATCTTTTAGGGTTTTGTTTTTTTTTTTGAGACGGAGTCTCACTCTGTCACCAGGCTGTAGTGCAGTGGCGAAATCTCAGCTCACTGCAACCTCTGCCTCCTGGGTTCAAGCGATTCTCCCTCCTCAGCCTCCCAAGCAGCTGGGACTACTGGTGCGTGCCACCATACCAGGCTAATTTTTTGTATTTTTAGTACAGATGGGGTTTCACCGTGTTAGCCAGGATGGTCTTGATCTCCTGACGTCATGATCCACCCACCTCAGCCTCTCAAAGTGCTAGGATTACAGGCATGAACCACTGCCTGGCCACATCTTTTATCCATTTATTTCTAGTTCATAGTTTAAAAAGTTACAACTGCTATTGATTAAACATACACACACAAAAAAATACAAGATAAACGAAACACTAGGGAAAATCTTTGCAACATGTGAAAAATGCCTATTAAAATATATAAATGGTCTTTCAAATTTATTTTTACTTTTTAATTTTTTACTAGGCAAAGAACTTTATTAACCTTTGTTTCGAACTTTATTTCCCAGCTTCTGCAGCTTAATTAGCTAAAAAGAATGATTATGTATAAGCGAAAACTAAAAAGTGCTACAGTGTCCAAGGGGCTTGGGCTTAGAAGTATAGAGATCTAGATTTTATCAGATCCATGAACAAAAATTTCTTAAAAAGCAGTCATAATAGAAAATAGCAGCTCCCAGTAACTTCTTCAAGTTTTATCTTCTTCAGAAGTCGACTCAATTCAGCTTGCCTCATTCCTGGAAGCCTCATCAAAATTCTCCACAATTCTGGAACTCCATCATCATCATCCCCTCCAGTAGCAAGTGGTGCTTTTCCATCCACAGGTTGTTTGGGCAGAACTTCAGCCAGTCTCCTTAAACTAGTCAGACTGTCTGCACCAAGCTGGCTTAAGACACTGGGTAGCATTTCTGTCACCTGCTTTGCCTCAGCATGACCTGTTATGGTGAAAGTGTTCACTGCCAGCGATGCCTGAAATTTAGGGTTGTTAAAGTGGATCACTGTTCCTTGGTTTGTAAACATATTCACCTTTTCAATACCAGAGATATTGTTTACCTGTAACTTCTTTAAGGAGAATTGAAGCTTTTTATCATCGGCTGTGGCTGTTCTATGGAAGACCTTCTTCTTTCTGTGAGCAGTTCCTTTCCCACCAATGCGCACTTGTGCCTGCAGTTTGGCGAGTTTTCCTGGTTCATGATCATTTCTTTCATCTTGTTGGAGCAGATAAGGGGCTGCTAGGGGGACTAGGGTTGGTGCTCAGGGTATCTCGGGTGGACCAGCTAAGATTAGGCACACACATTCGGGGATGCAAGATGGCAGCTAGAGGGAGGATCTTTCAAACTTAAAAGAAGGAACTTACCGATCAGAGAACGGACAAAAGGCATAAATGGACAGTTCTCAGAAAAAGAATGTCAAAGGATGAATAAAAATATGAAAAAATATTCAGCCTCACTATTTATAAAAATTTGTTCCTTTACAAAGGTATAATTGACAAATACAAATTGTATATGATGTGACATTTTGGTATATGTATACATTGTGAAATGATTAAGTCAAGCTAATTAACATATCAATCACCTCTTATACCTTTTTTTGTGGTGAGAACATTTAAGATCTACTCTCAGCAATTTCAAGTGTGTAATACATTATTATTGTCATCATCATGCTATACAATAGATCTCCAAAACTTTTCATCCTATCTAACCAAAACTATGTACCCTTTGGCCAACATCCTTCTCACTCTTCTACCTGACCTCCAGCCCTTGGAAACTATTGTTCTACTCTCTGTTTTATAAGTTTGCTTTTTTGAATGAGATCACGTTCTTTGTGGGAACATGGATTGAGCTGGAGGCCATTAGCCTTAGCAAACTAACACAGGAACAGAAAACCAAATGCAGCGTGTTCTCCTTTCTAAGTAGGAGCTAAATGATGAGAACTCATAAACACAAAAACGGAAACAACAGACGCTGGGGCCTACTTAAGGGTGGAGGGTGGGAGGAGGGAGAGGAGCAGAAAAAATGACTATTGGATACTAGGCTTGGTAACTGGATGATGAAATAATCTGTACAACAAACTCCCATCACACGAGTTTACCTATATAACAAGCCTGCACATGTGCCCCCAAACCTAAGCTAAAATAAAAAAAAAAAAAAAAAAAAAAAAAAAAAGGAGCACGCTGCAATTCAAGACTCACTTCTCAAAAGAAAAAAAAGCCATGTTCTAAGGGAAGCTCAGACTTTCAGACTCTGTTCCTGGTTGTAATCAAATTATCTTTGTCTGTAAACAAACACCTTCTCCAGGGGAAGCTATAGATAGATCATATCATCACCGGTATGTCTCCACCTTTAATGACCAGTTGTTTCCATTCCTTAAAAAGTTTGCTTTTTTTAGATTCCACATAAAAGTGAGATTATGCCATATTTGTCTTTCTGGCTTATTTCCCTTGTCACCTATTTATCACAATCAGATTTCCTTCTTTTTTTAAGGGTGAATCATATTCCATTGTATATATACCATATTTTCTTCAGTCATCTGTTGACGGACACTTAGGTTGTTTCCACCTCTTGGCTATTGTGAATAGTGCTGCAATAAACATGGGAGTGCAGAGATCTCTTTGATATACTGATTTCATTTCATTTGGGTATATACCCAGGAACGAAATTGCTGGATCATATGGTAGTTCTATTTTTAATTTTTTTAATTATACTTTAAGTTCTGGAATACATGTGCAGAACATGCAGGTTTGTTACATAGGTATACACGTGCCATGGTGGTTTGCTGTACCCATTAACCCATCATCTACATTAGGTATTTCTCCTAATGCTATCCCTCCCCTAGGCCCCCACCCCCCGACAGGCCCTGGTGTGTGATGTTCCCCTCCTTGCGTCCATGTGTTCTCATTGTTCAATTCCTACTTATGAGTGAGAACATGTGGTGTATGGTTTTCTGTTCCTGTGTTAGTTTGCTGAGAATGATGGTTTCCAGCTTCATCCATGTCCCTGCAAAGGACATGAACTCATCCTTTTTTATGGCTGCATAGTATTCCATGGTATATATGTGCCACATTTTCTTTATCTATTTTTTATTTTTAAAGAACACTTTATACTGTTTTTCTATAATGGCTGTACTAATTTGCATTTCTACCAGCAGTATACAAGAGTTTCCTTTTCTCCACATCCTTTTCAACACTTGTTAACAGCCATTCTAACAGATACGAGGCAATATCTTATTGTACTTTTCTATTGCATTTCTCTTGTCATTCATAATGTTGAGCATTTTTAAAAATACCTGCTGGCCATTTGTATGTCTTCTTTCAAGAAATGTCTATTGCCTTAGTATATTCTCTGTTGCTACAACAGAATACCACAGACTGGGTAAATTATAAATAATAGAAGTTTGCTTGGCTCATGGTTCTGCAGGCTGACAAATCTAAGAGCATGGTGCTGGCATTTGATGACGGCTTTGTGCTTCAATATCCATGGTGAAACGGCAGAAGACAGAAGCAAGCACACAAGACTGAGAAAGCAAGAGGGGCCAGGCTCACTTTTATAACCACCTGCTCTCTTAATAACTGACTTACTCCCGTGACTACATTAATTCATCCATGAGGCTCTGCCATTATACCCAGTCACCTTTATTGGGCCCCATCTCTCTCTCTCAACATTGTTGCACTGGGGATTAAGTTTCCAACATGTGAATTTTGGGGAACACATTCAAAACATAGTATTTATTCAGGTCCTTTGACCATTTTTTTAATTGAGTTGTTTTCTTGCTCTTGAATTGTTTGAGTTTCTAATATATTTTTTATATTAACCTCTTATCAGATGTATTGTTTGCAAATATTTTCTTCAATTCTGTAGGATTTTTTTTACTCTGTTGATCATTTCCTTAGCTGTGCAGAAGTTTTTTTTTCTTCATTTGATGTAATCCCATTTGTCCATTTTTGCTTGTGTTTTCTGTGCTTTTGGAGCCATATCTAAAAAATCTTTGCCCAGACCAATGTCAAGAAGCTTTGTCTCCATATTGGTTTCTAGTAGTCTTACAGTTTCAGGTCTTACATTTAAGTCTTTAATCTGTTTTCAGTTGATTTTTGTATATGGTGTGAGATAAGGGTTCAGTTTTATTCTACTGCATGTGGATACCCAGTTTTCACAACACCACTTACTGAAGAGACAGTCCTTTCCCTACTGTGTGTTCTTACTATCTTTGCCAAAGGTCAATTGACTGTAAATGCATGGATTTATTTCTGGGCTCTCCATTCTATTCCATTGATCTATGGGTCTGTTTTTATGCCAGTAGCATGCTGTTTTGATTACTATCTCTTTGTTGTATATTTTGAAGTCAGGGAGTGAGATGTTTTCAGCTTTATTCTTTTTACTCCAGATTGCTTTGGCTACTTGGGATTTTTTTGTGGTTCCCTAAGAATTTTAAGATTGTTTCTTCTATTTGTGTGAAAAATGTCTTTGGAAACATGGAATCAACCCAAATGCCCATCGGTGATAGACTGGCTAAAGAAAATGTGGTACATATATACCACTGAATATTATGCAGCCATAAAAAGGAATGAGATCGTGTCCTTTGCAGGAACATGGATGGAGCTGGAAGCCATTCTCTTCAGCAAACTAACACAGGACAGAAAACCAAACATTGCATTGTTCTCACTTATAAGTGGGAGCTGAACAATAAGAACATGTGGACACATGTAGGGGAACAAAACACACTGGGGCCTGTCAGGGGGCGGGGTGGGGGAGTGAGAGCATTAGGAAAAATAGCTAATGCATGCTTGGCTTAATACCTACGTGATGGGTTGATAGGTGCAGCAAACCACCATGGCGCACGTTTACTTATGTAACAAACCTGCACATCCTGCACATGTACCCCAGAATTTAAAAATAAAAATTTAATTAAAAAAAAAGTCTTTGGAATTTTGATAGGGATTACAGTGAATCTGTAGATTGCTTTGGGTGGTATGATCAGTTTAACAATATTCTTCCAATCTGTAAACACAGGATATACTTTCATTTATTTGCATCTTGAATTTCTTTAATCACTATTTTATAGTTTTCAGTGTACAACTCTTTTACTTTCTTGATAACACTTTTTCCTAAGTATTATTTTCGATGCTATTGTAAATGGGATTGTTTTCTTATAGTTTGTTGTTACTATACAGAAATGTCACTGATTTTTATATGTTGATTTTTGTATCCTGCAACTTTACTTTGTTTATTAGTTCTGACCGTGTGTGTGTGTGTGTGTGTGTGTGTGTGTGTGTGTGTGTGAAGTCTTTAGTGTTTTTTCTTTCTTTCCCTCTTTCTTGCTCTCTCTTTCTCTCTCCTTCTTTTCTTTCTTTCCTTCTTTTATTTTATTTTATTTCCTCTTTCTTTCTGTCTGTGTGTCTGTCTCATTCTGTCACCCACCCGAGCTGGAGTGCTGTAGAGTGATCATGGCTCACTGTAGTCTCTATCTCCTGGGCCTAAGCAATCCTCCCACCTCAGCCTCCTGAGTAGTGGGGACTACAGGCATGTGCCTCCAAGCCTGGCCAATTTTATTTATTTATTTTTTAATTAAGACGGGTCTCACTGTGTTGCCCAGACTGGTCTTGAACTCTTGGGCTAAATTGATCCTTGTTCCTCAGCCTCCCAAAGTGCTGGGATCACAGGCATGAACCACCATGCCTGGCCAGGTTTCTATGCAAAAGACCATGTCATCTGCAACCAGAGACAATTTTACTTTTTGCTTTCCAATCTGGATGCCTTTTATTTCTTTTTCTTGCCCGATTTCTCTGGCTAAGACTTCCGGTACTATATTGAGTAGAAGCGGGGAGAGTGGGCCTCCCTGTCTTGTTCCTGATTTCAGAGGAAAAGTTTTCAGATTTTTATCATTGACTGTGATGTTAGCTGTAGGCTTGTCATACATGGCCTTTATCTTGTGGCGGTACACTGGGTCTGCTGGAGCCTGGGGTGGTGGGGACTGGTCTCAAGCCTGGGCCCACAGGGGCTGACCAGTGTCAGGGTCTGCAGGGGTGATCCTGGCCCTGGGTCTGTGGTAGTGGGCCTTGAGCTGCAGGGGCTGGCCTAGCAGCTGGGGCTGTGGGACCCAGTCTGGCACCAGGCTTCCCTGAGGTGGGCCTCGTGCTGGGATCTGAGACACAGTCCAGAGCTCACTTCCTTGCCCTCATGAAGGGTCTCTCTCTCAGTGTTGTGCTGCCCAGGCTTGAGGGAGGGGCAACACAGGAAATGTGAAACTGTCCTTTCTACCTTCTTCAAGGCATCTTTTCTTATTTTTATGCTGTACCCAGGTGCTATAACCTCTCACCTGCATTCTTTAACTCATGTGATGGTATTTTTGTGTGGGAATAGTTGTCCAAATTGATGTTTCTTGTGAGGGATGAATGCTAGAAAGTCTTATTCCACCATCTTGCTGGTGTTCCTCTAGAAGAAATTTTTAAAAGTATTTCAGTGAGCTACCATTTTCAAACCCAATACATTGACTAACAGTAAAAAGAATATGTCAGTGGCAAGAATATGGGAAAACTGGCATTATAGGAGAGAAAAAGTAATATCTTTTCCTCACCTATTGCAAGGTTCATGGGTGACATTCTTATAACAAAAGACAGATCACAAATATACAGCTAGGTAGAAAGAATAAGTTCTAATGTTTGATAACTAAGTAGGGTAACTGGGGTTAACAACAATAGTTGAACAACTATTTTTCAAAATAGTTAGGATTTGAAATGTGCCCAACACATAGCAATGATACTCAGGTGATGAATACCCTTAAATACCCTGACTTCATCATTACACATTCTTTGCACGTAACAAAATATCACACATACCCCATACATGTGTACAAATATAATGTATCCAAAAAACCAAAAACAAATCTAGGATATTAAAAAAGATAGATTAATAAGAGAAGATTACAATAAATTTATTTAATCAGTTTTATATGACACAGGATCTTTCTGTAATGAAGACCCAAAGACCCAGGGGAACTTAGTCTGTATATGTTTATGCTTAGGCTCAGTGAAGAGTGGACAGTGCATAAAAGTATCATTGGGCAAAAGGGGCTATAATCTAATGGTAATAAGCTGGTGGGGGGAGCTTAGCAAAGTCTATTTGTTCAGATTCTTCTTGGCTTCTTGTGTAACATTTCTTCCCTCTGAGTATAGGGAGGACACCTATTACTTGAAGGTCTTCAGGTGAAAGAAAGTCAGAGAGACCTTTCTGCTTCTGTGGTTTTCATGATTTCCTTCAGCTTAAAATACACAGTATGCCAATGTGCCACAGTTTGTGTTGTCAGTTTCTGAAATGGACAGCATTCATCTATCCGAAAGGCAGAAGCAAAATGGGTACCTTTCTGGATGGAAGTTAGGTGGTGTAAACCAACAAGCTTAAAATATACTTTGACCCGAGAATTTCACTTTTATGGATTTACATTATAGAAACAATTAGAAAACAATAAAATAAGATTTATGTAAAGATCACTATTCCATCATGATTTAAAATAGTGAAAAAATGGAAATAAATGCCTAAAGAGAAGACTGGTTATACTAATAATTTGATATCTATAGACTAAAACACTAGTTGCTAAAAATCACACTGCAGACGAATACTTATTGGCATGAAAAATGTTCAATTTATTGTTAAGGCTACACATTTTATGTGAGGTGTGACGTTATGAAATACATTCTTGTGTGTATGCTGCAGCATATACAACAAAGTTTTTCCTGATAGTGAAATTGATTTCTTTTGATTATCTTTTGCTGTTCCTTTCATTCCAGAAATTCCATTTGTCTGCACGGAGCATATATTACATAGTAGAAAGAAAAGATAATTTTTAGTAATGATAAAAAGGAACAAAGTAACCCCAATTCAGTACACTAGCCAACTAGTCAGAAATAGACTAGAGATCCCATAGTTATTTTAGACTATAAATTTAAACAGCTTTGAAATAAAAGGTAAGTTCTTGAGCTTACCACAAGGCCCTGTTCTCCCTTCCTCTTTGAGCTCTCTGTTATCTCTGCATCCCTTTCCAGGAGATGTGGGTGACTCTCCTCTGTTCCATGCACCAAGTGCTGGTCCTGATGGAGAGTTAAAGTCTTGACAACATAGCCAATCAAGCACAGGAGGCACCTTCAGCCACCTGCACAGAGATGACAGATTGCCCTACTTTAGGCCTTCACATTTTGGAAGCTCTATGTTTAAAATCTGTGCCTGCTTCCCTGCCCTGTTATTTATAGGTATTGCAGGCAGAACCTTTCATACTGTAGCAAATGAAGAATTATTAGAGTCAGTTAATTAATAGAATTTATATAACTAGCTGCAAGAAAAAATACTGAATGAGAAACTGCAAATCAACAAAGAAGTGCTTATTACTTGTAAAGAAACTGATTACTCAAAGTCAAGATATACATCAACTTTTAGAGGAGATTTCTCAGGTAAGAGGGAGGAAAACATCCCATTCTTTTCCTCTCCCTTGGAAGTGTTTTTTGTTTTGTTTTTTTTTTAAGGTTTTCCTAGAAGATATTTTTTAATTAGTAACTTCATCAAACGGTCAACAAGCATTGTCTTATTTGTTAGGGTCACTAGTTTGTGCCTTTGTATTCTATGGTCTGGGTACAAAGGATTCCCTAAAGCCACTTGCAATGATATGTTGTTATATACAGCAAAGGAGTACAATAGACGAAGAATAAACAGAGGAAGTTTTCTTCACTCTGAATTGTTTAGTGTTAAAATAGCACACTAAATAATAGCAGCTGGTCCTGCAGTGATAGGAATTTACACTTTTATGTTGTGCCCCATTTTCAGGTCTATGAGAAATCTGTGTGTAACTGGGAGATATGGACCTGGGTACTCTTCTGTTTGCTAGGCACTAGGGATGGCTGGCACAAAGTCCTCTGGAGTGTTACGTGGGGCTCCTGAAATCAGGGTTAAAAATTGCTAGCCTAAGTTATGCAAAAAATATATTCACAATAACAACTTGAGTTTGTTTAAGGAGGCAACATGTAAAAAGAAGAATCTGGAGCTAGCCCTGGTTCAGATCCTCACTTTCTTATTAGAAATGTAGCCTTAATCTCTACGAATTTCAGTCTTCTCAGCTGTAAAACTAGAATAAAATTATGTATAACAAAATATTTATAAAGTGCATTGAGTTTTATAATGCATTTTCAAATACATTAGCTTATTTATTCCTTGCAATTATCCCAGGAGGAAGATATTATCCCTAATTTACAGTTGAGGAAACTGAGGCTCAGAAATGGAAGTGCTTTGTCCTAAATCACACAGAATAGGGACACTTATCTTCTGATTCACAATCCTATGCCATTTCCACAAAATCATGTAAAAAAAATTGCTAAACAATCAATAGAAGAAATGGATTAAAAGAAAGATAGGTAAAATGCCCATCATCCAAGCACGCTCCTACTGTTGACTACACTTGTAGGTCCAGTCTGGCCTGTCATTTGCCCACCCCTGGGCTGCAATGCCTGTAAACTGAGCCATTCTCATAAACATCCCAGAGAAAAGTAGTAGTTAGCACACTGGTAAAGGCCTCTCTCTGCTTAACCCCAGCAGCAAGTCTGCCTGGACTGAGCTGAGAAGATGGTGGGAAGACTGCACAGGATGCCTTCTTCCTCCATGACCATGAAGGTGGCTCTCTACTTGCAGATGTGAATCAACTTAATCTAAATTGGTCAAATCAATTAGGAATCTCTGATTCTACCGGTAGGGAGCAGATTTTACACATCAGCAGTGGAAAATGCTCTCAATTAACTTGTGAACAGAAACTGGATATAACATGAAACTAAGGTTTTAATCTGAGCTACTGTGAAATTTAAACAAAGTAAGAACAGATTCCATGAAATTGACTCTGTCTTTGTGTACTTCTGGGCAGTTTCATGATGCTAGTCTGGATCATTAGCTCACTTTATTCCCTGTGGGGTCTTCTCACCCTCCACTGGATAACTTTTCCGAAAGCTCTGCCTGGTATTATAATTCAAAAGCTTTGAGAAACATGAAATTTGTGATCTGAGATTTTTCTAGTTATGTAATGATAACCCTCTCATTTCCATTGATAACCCTCTCATTTCCATTAAAAAATGTTCCAAAAAAACTTGAGGAATAAATTTTGTGACATGAGATCACATAAAGACTGGATTGTTCAAAGAATTAAGTGTTCATATCTCATGTCTAAAATTCCTCTACTAGAAATAATCCTCTAGATAGCGTCACAATCAAAAGCTTGAGTCTCAAAGTAAACGGAACCGGGTTTTAACCTCAGCTCTAACTGTGGGATCTCAGATGAGACATTTAACTTCTTTATGTGCTCGGTTTCCTCATCCGTAAAATAGTGACAATAATTGTACTTATAGAGTTATTATGAGGATTTAAATGAGATAATGTATATAACATGTTTAGTAACTCCTGGCAAATAGTTATTCAAGATTGTTACTATTGTCATGTTCATCAAGTTCTTATTCCCTCTCGTGTGCTAGACACTGCACTCACCATCAGGATTGCAGCTAAGGGTAGACATGGTTCTTCTCAGGAAGCCAAGCTGACTAGTGTCTGGCAAGTAGTAAGTGCTGAAGAACAATTAGCTTTTTTTTTTTTTGTCTCTGATAAAACAGACCTTTTTTTTTTTTACACTTTAAGTTTTAGGGTACATGTGCACAGCATGCAGGTTTGTTACATATACATGTGCCATGTTGGTGTGCTTTTGTTAATAAACAACACAATGAGAGGAGTTACTAAGGAACCCAACTTTAAGCAGGGGTCTTCACCACAAAATGAGCTTCCCACCTTAAAAGGTCAATTGATTTGGGGTCATATTCTTAATTTATAAAACATTCCAACGATTTCATTATAAAGACAATCATCAACAGAAAAACAGTTAAAGGCTTTGGACACAAAATTTGTAGAAGGAAATATAAATAGTGAAAAAATGAATGCATAAGGATGATGTACAAGTAAGTTTCCTATGCTTTCTAATTTTATGAATTTTTCCAAACTTTCTGAACATGTGTTACTTTAACAATTATTTTTAGATTATTATTTCCATAGAACTAGGACTTAAAATACCTATAAATGAAGAAGACAGGATCCTCCTCTACAATCCTCCAGTTATAAGCATCTGTTGAAGTTTTGTCATAATCTTGCTCCAAAAGAAAAGACCTGTAGGAGTTATTTCAAAAACTAACTCTTGGTAGTGCTTCTTGTAGGTAAAGAGAAAGTTAAATCCTCACTGTTAAACAAGGAAGGGAAAGAGAAGGTTTGGTTAATGGCCACAAGACTCTTCACTGACAGTCAACTAGGTAGGGATGTCAGTCATCATCCCTACCTAGAGATGATGAAGTCATCATGACTGCTTCCTAGAACGAGTCTTAATTCTATTAAAGTTTATCAGATAATTGCTTATCCATTTTTATCAGAGAATGCATATATTTCTTCCCAGAATGAGGTTGTAAATTAAATCAGACCCAGAAAGAGTTTGGGACAACTTTTCTTTCCACATCTTCCAATTTTCCTTTTCTTCCTCTAGTTCTTATTTCTATGATGGGTCTTCCTCCCTAGTGAGCTACCTGATCCAGAAACCTGGAAGTTAATCTCTCCTTTGCACTTTCAGGCCCAATCACCAAGTCCTGGGTCCCATTTGTTAAATAAATCTCTCAGTTCAGTTCCCTCCTTTCCAAAGCCCCCAACCACAACTTTAGTCTAGGCCCTAACCAGTTATTTCACCCTCGGACTCCTGGGATTATTTCCTAATCAGTTCCCAAGCCTCTGAGTCAAAACAGCCTGGACGAATATAAATTCATTTTTTCTATATTATCAAAAATATCCCTGACATTTATTACATATTTCTCGATTTCCCAATTATAAAAATTGTCACTTCATACTTCAGTCACATCTGTATTTAATATTATTTTTCACGAGTTCTTTTAAAAGATGACTTTTGGGCTATGCATAGCGGCTCACGTCTGCACACTCTCAGCACTTTGGGAGGCCAATGTGGGAGGGTCATTTGAGGCCAGGAGCTTAAGACCAGCCTAGGTAACATGGCAAGACCCCATCTCTACAAAAAGTAAAACAATTAGTTGGGCATGGTTGCACGAGCTTGTATTTCCAGCTACTCCAGAGGCTGAGGCAGGAGGCTTGCTTGAGCCCAGGAGTTTGAGGTTACAGTGAGCTGCAATTGTGCCACTGCACTCCAGCCTGGGTAGCAGCCTGGGTGGCAGAGTGAGACCCTGTGTTCCAAGTTAATCTTGGTTAAGAGATTCCTCATTCTCTGACTGATGAGATTCCCAAGGGGATTCAGGACAGCTGAGCTCCTTCTGGACTATCTGTCTTTAGGTAGATAAGGGGAGCTCAGAGAAAGCCTCTGCCTGCGTCTTCTGTTCCCCAAGTGCCCCCTAGTTTGAAGTAATCAGCATACCAAAGCAGCTGGCATATTCCGGGGTGGCATTTCTTGAACTCCTTCAGGCCAATAACTTTGTTTTTACTTACAACTAAAATCATCCTAATTGATATACTCTCTCTCCAGCTTCCCTCCCAATGCATAACCTGAATCCCAAAAATAAATTGAACATTTTATGGAAGCCCATAAAAGCAGAGGTTTTTGAGATTTTTCTAAGGAAAATAGGAACATCAGTTAAAGCACTTAATAACATTTATTAACCAAAACTAAATTATTGCTACAATCATAATGGCAAGGGAGTAACCAGAAATTTTGAGGTGCAGCTCTTGCAAAATACAAGGAAATTCACAGAGAAGGAGCAGGATGCTTGTTGCATATTAATGGCTCTTTCTGAGGTAGGAACCTGCAGTAAACCGCCTCCTGGCTATATGTGGCTTATCTGTAAGATGTTGTGAAATACTCCCTCTACCCCTAACCCCAGCTCCAACCTCCACCCCTTCCCTGAGCTTCATCCTAGATGCAGGGGCTAGCATGAGGTGGGGTTCTGTGATGAGGTGAGATGAGTGTTTTGCACATGACTTAGTAATTTTTAGGAGTTGAAAATTAAATTACTTTCAGGCCACCTCAAAATATCCCTGAGTCAAAACACCTGCATCCAAGTAGCAGCTTCAAAATGCCAGGTATTCTTTGCCTTTTTCTGGCTGGCCTTGCCTCATTAACTTAGTTTCCATTCAGCCTCCCGAGGAATTTTTATAAGATCTGATCTAATCATGAATTTGTTTAAAAATCCTTCTGGCTTCTGTTTTCCTTCCTCCCACCCCATCTGCTGGCTTCCTAGCTCTGGTTATATCAAGCTACACACAGTTGCCCAAATGAGCATGAGTCATGCCTCCATGCCTGTGCAAACCCCTTCCTCTGCTCAGAGGCTCATTTCCTGCACCCTGCCTGATGAAGCCCTTATCTCGGGTGGTATCCTCTGGGAAGTACTCCGTGTCTCGCAGGCAGGGGTTAGTTAGCCATTTCCTGCTCTGGGCTCCCACAGCATTCTGTGCTGATCCTCTAATATCACACTTATGCCTTCAGTGGAATTACTTACTCTCATATTTGTCTCTCTTGCTAGGCTGTGAGTTCCTCAAGGGCAGAAGATGTGTCTTCTTTATCTTTATAGCCCTTGAACTTGGCGTGGTACATCACAGGGCAAGTATTCAATAAATGTCGAATGAGTGAATGCACGGATGAATAAATGAATAATAAATTGATAAGAGAACCCAACTATAATAGGATGATAACACTGGGGCCTCTTTCATAGCTACACAATTTTCAATTTGTTCCTGTGAAATTTGATGTTGCTATGGTTTTCTACCTTCTACTTGAGGAAAAGGGAAGTTTGTGTTGTCCTTTTGGGTTTGGGAAGAAAGTTCTGATCTTTAGTCGTACTTGTATGTCATGATACGTCATTGCCTAAACTTTAAGGATTTCAATCTGATTTAGATGGAAATTTCCTGGATACTAAATGAGAGAATCCATGGAAAGTGCATGCCACACACAGGCATTAGAAACATTAGCTCTTATCAGCCGGACGTGGTGGCTCACACCTGCAGGCTCTTTTTTGGTTCCATATGAACTTGAAAGTAGTTTTTTCCAATTCTGTGAAGAAAGTCATTGGTAGCTTGATGGGGATGGCATTGAATCTATAAATTACTTTGGGCAGTATGGCCATTTTCACGATATTGATTCTTCCTATCCATGAGCATGGAATGTTCTTCCATTTGTTTGTGTCCTCTTTTATTTCCTTGAGCAGTGGTTTGTAATTCTCCTTGAAGAGGTCCTACACATCCCTTGTAAGTTGGATTCCTAGGTATTTTATTCTCTTTGAAGCAATTGTGAATGGGAGTTCACTCATGATTTGGCTCTCTGTTTGTCTGTTATTGGTGTATAGGAACGCTTGTGATTTTTGCACATTGATTTTGTATCCTGAGACTTTGCTGAAGTTGCTTATCAGCTTAAGGAGATTTTGGGCTGAGATGATGGGGTTTTCTAAATACAAAATCATGTCATCTGCAAACAGGGACAATTTGACTTCCTCTTTTCCTAATTGAATACCCTTTATTTCTTTCTCCTGCCTAATTGTCCTGGCCAGAACTTCCAACACTATGTTGAATAGGACTGGTGAGAGAGGGCATCCCTGTCTTGTGCCAGTTTTCAAAGGCAATGCTTCCAGTTTTTGCCCGTTCAGTATGATATTGGCTGTGGGTTTGTCATGAATAGCTCTTATTATTTTGAGATACATCCCATCAATACCTAATTTATTGAGAGTTTTAGCATGAAGGGCCGTTGAATTTTATCAAAGGCCTTTTCTGCATCTATTGGGATAATCATGTGGTTTTTGTCTTTGGTTCTGTTTATATGATGGATTACGTTTATTAATTTGCATATGTTGAACCAGCCTTGCATCCCAGGGATGAAGCCCACTTGATCATGGTGGATAAGCTTTTTGATGTGCTGCTGAATTCGGTTTGCCAGTATTTTATTGAGAATTTTTGCGTCAATGTTCATCAGGGATATTGGTCTAAAATTCTCTTTTTTTGTTGTGTCTCTGCCAGACTTTAGTATCAGGTTGATGCTGGTCTCATAAAATGAGTTAGGGAGGATTCCCTCTTTTTCTATTGATTGGAATAGTTTCAGAAGGAATGGTACCAGCTCCTCCTTGTACCTCTGGTAGAATTCGGCTGTGAATCCGTCTGGTCCTGCTGGACTTTCTTGGTTGGTAGGCTCTTAATTATTGCCTCAATTTCAGAGCCTATTATTGGTCTATTCAGGGATTCAACTTCTTCCTCGTTTAGTCTTGGGAGGGTGTATGTGTCGAGGAATTTATCCATTTCTTCTAGATTTTCTAGTTTATTTGTGTAGAGGTGTTTATAGTAGTCTCTGATGGTAGTTTGTATCTCTCTGGGATCAGTGGTGATATCCCCTTTATAATTTTTTATTGCATCTATTTGATTCTTCTCTCTTTTCTTGTTTATTAGTCTTGCTAGTGGTCTATCAATTTTGTTGATCTTTTCAAAAAATCAGCTCCTGGATTCATTGATTTTTTTGAAGGGTTTTTGTGTCTCTATCTCCTTCAGCTCTGCTCTGATCTTAGCTATTTCTTGCCTTCTGCTGGCTTTCGAATGTGTTTGCTCTTGTTTCTCTAGTTCTTTTAATTGTGATGTTAGGGTGTCAATTTTAGATCTTTCCTGCTTTCTCTTCTGGGCATTTAGTGCTATAAATTTCCCTCTACACGCTGCTTTAAATGTGTCCCAGAGATTCTGGTATGTTGTGTCTTTGTTCTCATTGGTTTCAAAGAACATCTTTATTTCTGCCTTCATTTTGTTATGTACCCAGTAGTCATTCAGCAGCAGGTTATTCAGTTTCCATGTAGTTGAGCAATTTTGAGCGAGTTTCTTAATCCTGAGTTTTAGTTTAATTGCACTGTGGTCTGAGAGACAGTTATAATTTCTATTCTTTTATATTTGCTGAGGAGTGTTTTACTTCCAACTATGTGGTCAATTTTGAAATAAGTGTGATGTGGTGCTGAGAAGAACGTATATTCTGTTGATTTGGGGTGGAGAGTTCTGTAGATGTCTATTAGGTCCACTTGGTGCAGAGCTGACTTCAATTCCTGGATATCCTTGTTAACTTTCTGTCTCGTTGATCTGTCTAATGTTGATAGTGGGGTGTTAACGTCTCCCATTATTATTGTGTGGGAGTCTAGGTCTGTTTGTAGGTCTCTAAGGACTTACTTTATGAATCTGGGTGCTCCTGTATTGGGTGCATATATATTTAGGATAGTTAGCTCTTCTTGTTGAATTGATCCCTTTACCATTATGTAATGGCCTTCTTTGTCTCTTTTGATCTTTGTTGGTTTAAAGTCTGTATTATCCGAGACTAGGATTGCAACCCCTGCCTTTTTTTGTTTTCCATTTGCTTGGTAGATCTTCCTCCATCCCTTTATTTTGAGCCTATGTGTGTCTCTGCAAGTGAGATGCGTTTCCTGAATACAGCACACTGATGGGTCTTGACTCTTTATCCAATTTGCCAGTCTGTGTCTTTTAATTGGAGCATTTAGCCCATTTACATTTAAGGTTCATATTGTTATGTGTGAATTTGATCCTGTCATTATGATGTTAGCTGGTTATTTTGCTCGTTAGTTGATGCAGTTTCTTCCTAGCCTTGATGGTCTTTACAATTTGGCATGTTTTTGCAGTGGCTGGTACTGGTTGCTCCTTTCCATGTTTAGTGCTTCCTTCAGGAGCTCTTGTAAGGCAGGCCTGGTGGTGACAAAATCTCTCAGCATTTGTTTGTCTGTAAAGGATTTTATTTCTCCTTCACTTACAAAGCTTAGTTTGGCTGGGTATGAAATTCTGGGTTGAAAATTCTTTAAGAATGTTGAATATTGGCCCCCACTCTCTTCTGGCTTGTAGAGTTTCCAGCAAGAGGTTCACTGTTAGTCTGATTGGCTTCCCTTTGTGGACAACCTGACCTTTCTCTCTAGCTGCCCTTAACATTTTTTCCTTCATTTCAATTTTAGTGAATCTGACAATTATGTGTCTTTGAGTTGCTCTTCTCAAGGAGTATCTTTGTTGTGTTCTCTGTATTTCCTGAATTTGAATATTGGCCTGCCTTGCTAGATTGGGGAAGTTCTCCTGGATAATATCCTGCAGAGTGTTTTCCAACTTGGTTCCATTCTCCCCGTCACTTTTAGGTACACCAATCAGATGTAGATTTGGTCCTTTCACATAGTCCCATATTTCTTGGAGGCTTTGTTCATTTCTTTATATTCTTTTTTCTCTAAACTTCCCTTCTCGCTTCATTTCATTCATTTGATCTTCCATCACTGATACCCTTTCTTCCAGTTGATCAAATCGGCTGTTGAAGCTTGTGCATGTGTCACGTAGTTCTTGTGCCTTGGTTTTCAGCTCCGTCAGGTCCTTTAAGAACTTCTCTGCATCAGTTATTCTAGTTAGCCATTCGTCTAATTTTTTTTCAAGGTTTTTAACTTCTTTAACATTGGTTCAAACTTCCTCCTTTAGCTCAGAGTAGCTTGATTGCCTGAAGCCTTCTTCTCTCAACTCATCAAAGTCATTCTCCGTCCAGCTTTGTTCCATTGCTGGTGAAGAGCTTCGTTCCTTTGGAGGAGGAGAGGCACTCTGATTTTTAGCATTTCCAGTTTTTCTGGTCTGTTTTTTCTCCATCTTTGTGGTTTTATCTACCTTTGGTCTTTGATGACGTTGACATACAGATGGGGTTTTGGTGTGGATGTCCTTTCTGTTTGTTAGTTTTCCTTCTAACAGTCAGGACCCTCAGCTGCAGGTCTGTTGGAGTTTGCTGAAGGTCCACTCCAGACCCTGTTTTCCTGGGTATCAGCAGCGGAGGCTGCAGAACAGCAGATATTGGTGAGCAGCAAATGTTGCTGCCTGATCGTTCCTCTGGAAGTTTTGTCTCAGAGGAGTACCTGGCTGTGTGAGGTGTCAGTTTGCTCCTACTGGGGTGTGCCTCCCAGTTAGGCTACTCGGGGGTCGGGGACCCACTTGAGGAGGCAGTCTATCCGTTCTCAGATCTCCAGCTGCGTACTGGGAGAACCACTACTCTCTTCAAAGCTGTCAGACAGAGACATTTAATTCTGCAGAGGATTCTGCTGCCTTTTGTTTGGCTGTACCCTGCCCCCAGAGGTGGAGTCTAGAGAGGCAGGCAGGCCTCCTTGAGCTGTGGTGGGCTCCACCCAGTTGGAGCTTCCCCACCGCTTTGTTTACCTACTCAAGCCTCGGCAATGGCGGGTGCCCCTCCCCCAGCCTTGCTGCTGCCTTGCAGTTTGATCTCATACTGCCGTGCTAGCAATGAGAGAGGCTCCGTGGGTGTAGGACCCTCCGAGCCAGGTGCAGGATATAATCTCCTGGTGTGCCGTTTGCTAAGACCGTTGGAAAAGCACAGTATTAGGGTGGGAGTGACCCGATTTTCCAGGTGCCGTCTGTCATCCCTTTCTTTGACTAGGAAAGGGAATTCCCTGACCCCTTGTACTTCCCTGGTGAGGCGATGCCTTGCCCTGCTTCGGCTCACGCTTGGTGCGCTGCACCCACTGTCCTGCACCCACTTTCCGACACTCCCCAGTGAGATGAACCCGGTACCTTTGTTGGAAATGCAGAAATCACCCGTCTTCTGCGTCGCTCATGCTGGGAGCTGTAGACTGGAGCTCTTCCTATTCGGCCATCCAACAAAAATTATTTTAATTACATAAACGTAAACACATTTTAATCATAATATATAAACACGTGTATGTGTGTGCATGTGTGTGTGTGTGTGTGTGTGCTTTAATAAAACCATGTGAAGGTGAGTGTTTGGGGGTTTTGTTTTGCAAAGCCCTCTTTCCGCTTCCCCTGGTGCACATATGGCTGGATTTTGTCTTGATAGGGTAATGATATACAAACAAGCAAGAAACCATTTAAGAATAGAATTGATTCTTTCATAATGTCTGTTTCTAACCAGACCTGACAAATGAGGAGCACTCAGATCTAGGTTGTAAAAATAAAATTAAATTTTTGTACTGATTACGTGTAATACCATTGAAGCAGAATATTTTGATGTGACTGTTTAAACATTTCCCTGTCAGTATGTAAAAACGTGTTTGTTACAATCAGATGTGGCAGGTTTCTCTCCCATCTATTCTCTTGTTTTCTGGGCCATAACAAACTAGATTAATGAAACAGCAGTCCTGGTAAGAGTAAGTAAAAGAGACTCTTTTAAAAAAAAAGGATAAGACTCTTTAAAAAAAAGTAAGTAAAAGAGACTCTTTAAAAACAACAACAACAAACAACTCTGTCAAGTGGTGGCAATTCTGGAAGTCTTTGATAAGGCAGAGGAAAAAGATGGAGATGCTAAGTAGTCTACCCCTTAAGACATTTTAGTACCAGACTATATTGGACTTAACTAAGGAGTTACACAAGGCCTGGGCTCAGTGGACATTTCTGCCCCATCTCTAAGATTTAACCAGGTTACCTGTTTTGTATACTAATAATTTTAAAAGTTGAGTTGTTAATATTTTAAAAGTACATTGACATATGCATGTACATTTAGAAACATACAGTTTGGAGATACTTTTGTTTTATATAAATGTCACATATTTTCAGCAGCTTGTTTATAATTTTATAATATTCATATGTGATTGCTTTATTTTTGAATAGCATCCCTCCTTGCACTAGGCTCTCAGTGAGCAGAATCTGTGTTTGACTCACTGTTGTATGCAGAGTCCCTAGAACATAGCAGGTAATCAAATATTTGATGAATGAATAAACTAGAGATGGCCTGATGATAAAATAAATTTATACTGACTAAGCACTTCATACACTGTCCAGTATTTAGTCAGCATTGAAAACATATTTATTCTTTGTACTGTTATTTATTCAGCATACACCTTCTCTACAATAAATCCCTCCTGTGCCAGTTTTACACCTAATCTATCTACGAAGCTCATCTGCAGCGTCTGTTTTTGGGGAGCCTTCCCTGAATGCCCCTTTTGGACTGGGGGTCCCACTCAGGTACTCTCATAGCATGTTGTGTTTCTCTCTATCACAAGATTTGCCAGTAATGTGTCTCTTTCCTCCCCAGATTGTCAGCTCCCAAGGGCAAGGACATGTCATATTAGGCTTGGAATCTCCAGTGCCTGGAACGCTCTTTGAAACATAGCAGGTGTTCAATAGATGTGTAATGAATCTTATTAAATCTCAGTTTCCCTTAGATTTGTTGCAACATGGTTTCTATTAGTCCATTTATGAAATTTGGGAAATAACTAGCTTTATTAATAGCTTTTGCAAACCACCTCTTAGAGTTGTGTGACTTTGGCATATGGCTAATATTCATTTTGTGTTGAAACTTTCTAGCTTCAGAATGAAAGATGATATATTCTGGTCACCTTGTACTCCTCTTTGGGAAATCTGTTCTCTCCTATACACTGACTAAACCTATTAATTTGGCTTTTGAGAAATCAAATACATGGAGACATAGAGTTGAAAGGGATTTCCTCCTCCAGTGACTTGCCTAAACTACCCATAACTAATGGTTGCTGAGCACATTTTCAAAGCTCTCCGGTGTTGGTAATGACAGAGTTTAATCACCTTTGCAGCTGTGTTCTGCCTTAGGTCAAAGATAATTCTCTGGTTGCATTCTAATCCCATTTTGTCTGGTTTTCATCTCTATAGAGACAGAGAAAAGCCAGCTAGCATCCTCCTCAAAATAAACCATCCTGTTCTTGAAGAAAGTTATTAAATCAGTCCTTGGCCTATAATTTTCAAGGTGAAGGTAGTTCAACTTCTTTCACCTTTCCTCCTAGGTCTTATCCTTCATCATCTGAATGGTTTCTGTCATTTCTCTCTGGATCTTTTCCAACTTCTCTGCCACTCTCTAGAAATTCAGAAACCACAACTTGACTCAACATTAATAAGCGGCTGACCAAAGTTAAATATAGAAAAAATTATAGGTTCTCAGCTTTGTGTGTCGTGCTCTGTCAGTACATGTCATGGTAGGAGAATGCCATTAATCTAGACATTACTAAAGCATCATTTGTGATATCCTAAAACAAGGTTGAATAAGGATTTACCACTTTAAAAATAATCTTCTCCATAAATACAATAAACAGAAGCACAGGAAGATATTTAAAATGCTTACAACAATATACTATTTCAGGAATTTGTAAGTGAAAAATAACCAATATCACACATTATAAGCTGTTTTCAACTTTTCACTAGACCAGTTTGCCTAAGGAATTCTTTTAACGATTGGTTTAGTAAATCAGATTGTATTTCTGTGGGTATTTGAAAATGATACTGCATTTTGACACTGAAATCATTTTGTTCATTAGAGCTTTTATTAATTCAATTGCCTTCCAAGTTTCTCAAATTTAGTATTTTTCTGTATTTTAAAAATAATAATGACATATTTTTAAAATCGCTGTTTTTTTTAATTTTAACTTTTTTAGAGACAGAAACAGTCTTGCTCTGTCATTCAGGCTGAAATGTAGAGATATAATCATAGATCACTGCAGCCTCAAACTCCTGGGCTCAAGTGATCCTCCTGCCCCAGTCTGTTGGGTAGCTAGGACTACAGGTGCATGCCACCACATGCAGCTAATTTTTAAATTTTTTGTAGACATGGGTCTCACTATGTTGCCTGGGCTGCTCTTGAACTACTGGCCTCAAGTGATCCTCCCACTTCAGCCTCCCAAAGTGCTGGGATTGCAGGCATGAGCCACCACACCCAGCCAATAACTGTATTTTCTTTTTTTTTTTTTATTATTATTATACTTTAAGTTTTAGGGTACATGTGCACAATGTGCAGGTTAGTTACATATGTATACATGTGCCATGCTGGTGCGCTGCACCCACTAACTCGTCATCTAGCATTAGGTATATCTTCCAATGCTATCCCTCCCCCCTCCCCCCACCCCACAACAGTCCCCAGAGTGTGATGTTCCCCTTCCTGTGTCCATGTGTTCTCATTGTTCAATTCCCGCCTATGAGTGAGAATATGCAGTGTTTGGTTTTTTGTTCTTGCGATAGTTTACTGAGAATGATGATTTCCAATTTCATCCATGTCCCTACAAAGGACATGAACTCATCATTTTTTATGGCTGCATAGTATTCCACGGTGTATATGTGCCACATTTTCTTAATCCAGTCTATCATTGTTGGACATTTGGGTTGGTTCCAAGTCTTTGCTATTGTGAATAATGCCACAATAAACATATGTGTGCATGCGTCTTTATAGCAGCATGATTTATAGTTCTTTGGGTATATACCCAGTAATGGGATGGCTGGTTCAAATGGTATTTCTAGTTTGAGATCCCTGAGGAATCACCACACTGACTTCCACAATGGTTGAACTAGTTTACAGTCCCACCAACAGTGTAAAAGTGTTCCTATTTCTCCACATCCTCTCCAGCACCTGTTGTTTCCTGATTTTTTAATGATTGCCATTCTAACTGGTGTGAGATGGTATCTCATTGTGGTTTTGATTTGCATTTCTCTGATGGCCAGTGATGGTTAGCATTTTTTCATGTGTTTTTTGGCTGCATAAATGTCTTCTTTTGAGAAGTGTCTGTTCATGTCCTTCGCCCACTTTTTGATGGGGTTGTTTGTTTTTTTCTTGTAAATTTGTTTGAGTTCATTGTAGATTCTGGATATTAGCCCTTTGTCAGATGAGTAGGTTGCGAAAATTTTCTCCCATTTTGTAGGTTGCCTGTTCACTCTGATGGTAGTTTCTTTTGCTGTGCAGAAGCTCTTTAGTTTAATTAGATCCCATTTGTCAATTTTGGCTTTTGTTGCAATAACAGTATTTTCTAATTGATTTTTTTTCTATTTCCTTTTAAGTTTTTATTTGTGAAACGCTGCTCCCCAGAATAGATTTTCACATTCTCTGTTCCCATTTTACCTGGAAATATGATGTAGTGCAATAGTGTTGCTAGTAGTTGTTGGCACCTCTCTGAAAAGAAGGTTGGCTCTTAAGGTGTCCCTGGTTTCCTTTCCATGTTCAGTTGCTCCTCATCTACTTTTGACTTTTCCAGCTGCCAAGTGGATGAGAAATGGGTTCAGAGACAACAACCCTCTGTTCTATAAGATTGCTAAATTTCACTATTAATTTGTAAGTTTTGACCTCAGTTTCTTTTGTTCTTCCAAGGACTAGCTGTACTTCCCCAAGTAGTTCTTTTAGCAAACTCCTTCCTATTCTTTTAAAAACATTTGTATATATCATATTGAAAAGACTTTATTTGGATTCATGAAATAATTTGTTTAGTTATTTTTTTCCTAAGTCAGTTAGATTCTGTTAAGTTTAGATTCTCTTTTATTTAATAGTTTTCCTAAAAGCCAAATTGCATACAAGGACTTGGATGCAGATATTCTGTTTGAGAGGTTATCTCAAAGATTAAGAAGGAGGGAAAGGGTCTGGGTGCGGTGGCTCATGCTTATAATCCCAGCACTTTGAAAGGCCGAGGCCGGTAGATCACCTGGGGTCAGGAGCTCGAGACCAGCCTGGCCAACATAGTAAAACCTGGTCTCTACTGAAAATACAAAAACTAACCGGGCATGATGGTGGGTGCCTGTGATCCCAGCTACTAGGGAGGCTGAGGCAGGAGAATCACTTGAACCAGGGAGGCAGAGGTTGCAGTGAGCTGAGATTGCACCACTGCACTCCAGCCTGGGTGACACAGCGAGACTTAGTCTCAAAAAAAAAAAAAAAAAAAAAAGGAAAAGGAAGAGTGAGAAAGGGAAGGAGGAAAAGCAAATATAGTACATTACCAAGGTCTAGCCATGGACAGTGGGGATTCAATTTCACCCAGAGCTCTGAGAAGCATATGGTGTTCCTCCCAGGACTGTCCCCTGAACGACAGGAGGCCAGAGCATGTGTCCATCAGTTCCCATCCTTCCTTACTTGAGGATTGCTCTGAGAGATGTTAAGTCTCTGACATTTCTGGTCTTCCTTGTGCATAGGCAGATGCTTGTGGCAGGCATTGGGACAGGCCCTGAGGCTGAAAATGGAAAGATATCCCAGGCAGGTACCTGAGGGGAGGCCTAAGACTGCACAGAACTGTCCATTACCGTTGCTCTGCGATTAAAAGTGAGATGAGGGAATGTGGCATGGAGCACAGATACCTTACCTTAAGCTTTCATATTGTAAACATATATGATTCATAAGAGCCCTCAGAACAAGTAGAGCTCATGATTGGCCTCCTTGTGAACAACTAATTACACTGAAAATTGGAATTTGGGAGCAATTTCTAATCTCTTTGGAATTAAAAAAAAATCAGCTTTAATAAGAATCCATATCAGTACCAGGTTACTTACATCAGCAAAGCCATGGAAATAAATCTCCTTTTTCTCCTCCCCCAGAGTTACCATAAAAAGCAAGACTCAGGCAGAAACCAAATACAGCTTTCCAAAGAGACCCTGGGAAAGAACCCGAGAGTAAACTACACCAAACAACAGGGGCTCCAGGACCCAAGGAGCCCACAGGGGCTCAGCTTGGTGTCCTGAGCCCCTGTTGATTCATGCGTCTGGGGCATCGTTTTTATTTGAGAAGGAATATTTTATTACATCACACAGTGAGAATAATGTTTATTAGAAAAGATGTTAGATTTATTTATATAATTAAAGGAAATCAACCAGACAGTGCTAGTGATTTAGAGTGTCATTATGTGTAAAGAGGGATGGTCAGTGCTTCAATTTATTCTTAGAAAGTATTTCTCAAACCCTTTTGACCATGATTGACCCAGAAGAAGACATACATTTTACACAATGACTCAGGAGACACATATATACATATATAACTGATAGAAAAGTTCCACAAGATAATCCTTCCTACATGCTGTGCTTTGTACTCTGATATTTTCTATTCTATTTATTCTATCTTATTTGTTCTATTCTTTTTTTAAAATGCTAGTCTAGACTCACTAGATTGTTTCTATGACCTACTAGTAGGTCACAAACTGCAGTTGGAAAAACACTTCCCTAGGGCACCATAGCTTTGCACTCAGTTCCACAACTGATTTGTTTCCTTCCATGTCATAAATCAATGTACATATAATTTATTGCCTACTATCACCATGGAATTGTTTTCTTATCCAGCCTTTTTTCCCTACCAAATCTTTTTCCTTCAACTAAGAGTGTCATAGTATAGGAGCTGCAGTTTTGGACACCTTGGAAACATTTCTAAATCCTTTGGTACTTCACTCTAAAAAGGACAAGTGATAAGACTTACAAAAGAGCATCCTGGAGTAGGACGGTTCAAGGTGCAAGAAACAGACATCCCATCATCAGCTATCCTAAATAATACAGAAATACACTATCCCACAATGAGAGAGTTCATAGACAGGCTTGGTTGCTTCAGTGGCTCAGTGATGTCACCTAGGACCCTGGTTCCTTCCATCTCTCGGCTCTGCCAACCTCCCTGTTGGTTCATTCTTAGGCTGGTAACAAGATAATTGCAGATGCTCCGGGTATCACATTCAGGCACAACTACATCTAAAGGGGGGAAAAAAAGAGTGACTCTCTTCTACCAGTGGTTCTTTTATGGAGAAGCTCCCAGAAGATGCCTTGTCATATCCTGTTGGCTATAACCAGGACACATGCCTATTCCTAAATCAATAACTGGTAAGGAAGATATTACCTTTCAACAAACGAGTTTATGGAGAAGAAAGAGATACCTACAAAATTAAGTCAAAAATCTTTGAAGTTATCATTGACTCTCCCATTTTTTTTTCATATTCCTCATCTAATTTGTCATCAAGTCCTGATGATTCTACTTCTAAATATATCCAGAATCAGACTACTACCCACTGTGTCCATTGCTACCACCCTGGTCCTAGTCACCATAATCTTCCACTTGGATATTATTGCTATATAGTCTCCAAATTGGCTTCCTTCCATTCTCCACACTGCTCCTCAGAGTACTCTCTTCTCAACACAGAGTAACCTTGCTACTCAAACAACATTATCAGGAGCCTGTCTCTCCCCACCTCTCCACAGTGCTTGTCTCCACATTGCCCATATTCAGACATACTGTCACTAAATGGGACAGCAATGAACATCAGGACTCCAACTAACATCTTATTATCTTAGCAACCTGCTGGAAAGAGATCCTATCCCAAAAGTCTAGCCACATTTCCAACCACATGTTGTAAAACATGGCCCCCACAAATTATTGAGCTGAGTGTCAATTTTCTTTTCTGTAAGTTGTGGATAATAATAATAATACATATTTCACAGACCACTGTAAGGAAATTTTGATTGATGTATCTAAAGGCAACTTGTATAGAATTTGGCCAAAAGTAGCCACTTAATATTTATTCATTGTTAATTTTCAGATATAGGTGAGTTGATTGTAGTTACTGCTTTAGAGAGCTATTAGAAATCAACATCATTTATCAATGCTTAAGAGTAGCACTCTTTGTATGTTATCTTGTGCTTTGATTGTTTTATGAGAATAATTTCTTCAGTTATATTGCCAAGTTTTCCCTGTGAAATAAGGTAGATAAGAGATGGTTTTAAAATTTGGAAAACCTAGATTCAGAGCCTGGTTCTGCCAATAAAACGTGTGGGATCTTATGCAACCAAATTACTTTCTATGAGACTCAACTTACTTATTCATAAAATGAGGATAGTGATACTTACCTTACTGGGGTTACTGGAAGGATTAAATGAGATGATATTTATTATTTACCTGGCACCATGTCAGGTTTAATAGACAGGGACCATTGTTATTATCAGCCTAGCATGATGTCCCCCACACAGTGACTACTCAGTAAATGCATACTTGGGATTAGATTAGACACACATTCCAGACCATCAGGTTTGGTGGTTCACACCTGAACTCTTGGGGCAGTTCTGCCTCCATAGGTATTTCTACAAACTCATTCTTCTTAAGAATTTCCTTGGACACAGAGTTCTGCACAGTCAGGTGTACAAGACACTTCTTTGGTTTAATAACTACCCAAAAAAAGATTTATTTTATCATAGTTTTTCTTAAGCTAAATTTTATTTCACATCAATAATTATTCTTGTATGTCATTTCCATCCTATACTAATCTTTTTTCTCAAGACTATTTCAAAGGGGCTATGGGGCAAAGAGGAGTCAGGAGAGAGTGCACCTGTGCCCTGACTTCTCCTAAACATTTGGTTTAGGAGAGATGTGTGTGTGGATCGAGTGTGGAAGGGGATAACCAGGTAGAGAAACAGCACTGATATTTTGGCACCAGTTGGTGATATTACCATCTTCATTCAGTAGGTTTCTCTTTTTGTCCGTGATATGATTTGGCTCTGTGTCTCCACCCAAATCCCAAATCTCATGTTTAATTGTCATTCCTATTGTTGGGGGAGGGACCTGGTGGGAGGTGATTGGATCATAGGAGTAGATTTCTCTCTTGTTCTCATGATAGTGGATAGTGAGTGAGTTCTCATGAGATCTGATAATTTAAAAGTGTGTGGCACTTCCCCCTTCACTCTCTTCCTCCTGCTCCACCTAAGACATGCTTGCTTCCCCTCACCTTCCACCATGGTTGTAAGTTTCATGAGGCCTCCCAGCTATGCTTCCTGTATAGCCTGCAGAACTGTGAGTCAATTAAACCTCTTTTCTCCATAAATTACCCAGTCTCCAGTAGTTCTTTATAGCAGTGTGAGAACAGAATAATATAGCCCACTTTTGGCTTATTACAAAAAAATATTTGTTGAGCTCATTTAATATACTGGGCTGCCTGGTTGATTTAGAGCAATGCAGAGGCTGCAAGGCA
The DNA here is from genome assembly GCF_000001405.40 of Homo sapiens. NCBI lineage: Eukaryota > Metazoa > Chordata > Mammalia > Primates > Hominidae > Homo > Homo sapiens. The sequence continues at coordinate 98,714,231 of NC_000004.12, read as the reverse complement.
CAGCCTAGGCCCTGAAGAAACATAAGAGCTGTTAGAGAGACGGTTGCAGAGTGGATGTGGGTGGAAGGGATTCTAGTGGAAGAAAACTTGAAGGAAGAGTGCTGGGGGCTACAGCAGAAAGGGGAGTATAAGAGAGAAGGCTGGAGAGTAAGTTGGGACCATATCATGGGTCCAGGAGTTAGAATTTTCATGTCACAAATCCTATCACAAGGGGCATCAGAAAGCAACTATTACCTCACCATGCCACCCTGGATGTCTCCATGGTGATGCTGGGCAAAGAGGCCAAGCAGAGGCTGCAGTAGCTTTTCAAGGGCAGTCAATTTTCCATCTGCTGGGGCTTTATTCATCTCATGACTTACCTGGAACTAAAGAAGGGTATAGAGCCTGGGATGTCTGAACCAATCGTTTTGAGCCTGCTTTGGAGATAAAGGACTATTTGATCATCTGGATTTGGAAGCCATCAATGGACAGGAACAACATGGAGCTGTGCGCTCTGATGGGGATAAGAAATGGGGCCTCATTCAAATGTTCCCTAATCGGCCAGGCATGGTGGCTTACACCTGTAATCCCAGCACTTTGGGAGGTCAAGGCAGGTGGATCACTTGAGCCCAGGATTAGAGATCAGCCTGGGTAGCAAGGCAAAACCCCAACTCTACAAAATATACAAAAATTAGCTGAGCCTATAGTTCCAGTTACTCAAGAGGCTGAGGTGGGAGGATTGCTTGAGCCTGGGAGGTTGAGGCTGCAGTGAGCTGTGATGGCACCACTGCACTCAGGCACCTAGCCTGAGTGACAGAGCAAGACCCTATCTCAAATAAATAAATAAATATATTTCGTGGTTGAATGGCACAGGACTCTTCATAGAGGCATATGTGGCAGAGTGGAAGCTCTACTGACTTTATGTATCAAAATGAATGTTTTTAACAATGAAAAAAAACATATCTACCTAGACTCTCCACCTTTGGCTAATAAAGAATTATCCCTATTTGGCTAAAGAAGGAATAAGGTTTGGAGAGGTTAAGCGACTTTCTCAAGGTCACACAGTTTCCACAGACCCTTTTTGGCATGAAGCAGATCCCAGAACCACCCCTTTAATATGTCTGTGTTCTAAAAGGGGAGTCAATGTGAGTTACAAAAGATTTTCATAACCTAGTTGACCAACGAACTTCATAAATAATGACAACTACAAATATTTTGGTATTTATTTTAATCTATTTTCACTCAGCTTAGGAAATAATAATTTAAATAGAGGATCTGCTTAGATTTTATTTATTCATGAAGCAACCACTACATAGAAAGCACAAGGCTAGGGCTCTTCAGTGAAGAATAAACAGTGCAAGCTTTCTCTTCTACCAGTCATTTTCATCCTAAAATGTGTTCTGTGCTCCATCAAGGTAATAAAGCCAATCCATTTTGACACTGAGTTATCCATTATCCAATGCAAAGCAAGTTTTAATATAAGAAAAAACAATACATATCAGACGGCTCAGTGGCAAAAAGATAAATGTAGGAATCTGACTGTTAAGGATCCAAGCTCCATCATTTCCTAGTCACTTGGCCTTCAGCCGATGATTTAACCTCTCTACTTACTTTTTTATAAACAGGTCATGATAATGGAAGGCTTCATAGCACTTTTTTTTTTTTTTGGAGATGGAGTCTTGCTCTGTCCTCCAGGCTGGAGTGCAGTGGTGTGATCTTGGCTCACTGCAACCTCTGCCTCCTGGGTTCAACTGATTCCCCTGCCTCAGCCTCCTGAGTAGCTGGGACAAGCATGCGCCACCACACCCAGCTAATTTTTGTAGCTTTAGTAGAGACTAGGTTTCACCATGTTGGCCAGGCTGGTCTCAAATTCCTGACCTCAAGTAATCCACCTGCCTCGGCCTCCCAAAGTGTTGGGATTATAGGCATGAGCCACCATGCCCAGCTGCATTTTGACAATATTGTATAAAACAACATACATAAAGCACTTAGCAATGTTCAGTCACCTAGCAAGCACTTAATCAATATGTGTTCCCTTCTCCTCTCACTGTAAAACATAAGCTTCAAGTAATCTCTCTTTATTGTGATAACACTTCTCTATAATCTTCCCCTTTGCAATCAATTACTAAAATGACCATATTAACTTTCTGAAGTTTTAGGTTATACTTTTTATCTTTTTTCACAGAATAATGGTTAACTTAATCTAAGCTACTTGCCTTTTATTTTACTAGTAGCCGCATGGCACATAGGGTGTAACTTAAAGCAATATAGAGCCTAATATTAAATGCTCATTTCATGTAGTATTCTTTTAAATGAATCAAATCCCCTAATTTGTTAGATTATTTTAAAACCAGCTAAGCAAACACATAGTCTTGGCACTCTATAGATTCCTGCTTACATCACCTATCCTTGAACATATTAGAATTCAGATTTTTTAAGTTTCTGTTTCTAATTGTGGTTTCCTTCAAAGGAATATTAAGTTCCTTCACATAAGGCACATACTACATAAATAAGTTATGCCCACTTGCAGAATGCTGCTCATACAAGAACCACAAGAATCCTACCAGAAAAGATAACAAAATTTCTCTAACCCTTGGAACAAGCAATATTTGTGGCATAGAAAAGGGGTGGCAAATAAGGAAACAGAACTTACTGAATCCCATTCAAGTCTCAGCCAAAGGAATTAGAAAACTGTAACCTTGATGGTACAAGCAAGATTTGCCTTTATTTCTCAAATAACAGTAAAGGAAACCATGAACAGTGGGAGGGTTCCTTCTATTTTCCCAAATAGAGTTCTCTTTCCTTTGGAAATAGAAGGGATATAGGAAGGCCATCACATGACTTTACAAATAACAAACTGAATTACTTTACAGCCAGTTTTACTACCACGAAAATGAGAGGTTTTTTTCCCAAATGTGGCTAATGATGGGTGTGTTGGGCTAGGACAACTTAATTTCTAATTCCAGAACTAACACACATATGCTTGGTTTCCCTCATCCTGGCTTTTCTGATGCTGCCATAAATTATGTTAATAGTACATTTTCTTCTTTGAGAGGAATAACAGAGTGACTGTTTATAGTTCGTTTTTTTATTATTTTGTTAGTTTTAATATATTTGACCAGAGAGGAATCTGCCAGACATAATAATATGTAACCAAGTCAACATGCATCCTGAAGCTGGAAGTTCCTTCAGGGCAAGGAACATTCTTGAAATTTTTTTCACATCCTTTAGGGCCGTAGCTAGTGGATATGGGTGAGGTGTCCATAGACCACGGCATTGAAAAGAGATTCAGGGCTGGGAAGATGGCAAAGTAGGAAAGACCAGAAATCTATCTCCCTATCTACACAACAATTACACTGGAGGAATTTGTCTAGTAACTATTTTAGGTCTCTAGAGTATATTGAAGGCTTACGTATTACAGGGGAAGACATGTGTGGTAAATTGTAGTTAATTTTGGTAAATTTAAGTTCTTAGCACAATAGCAGCTACCCATCCTCTATCCCTAGCCCCATGGCAGGCAGCTGTGCATGTGTTCTTGAAGTAGTTTGCACATACTTTACAGGAGCCAGGATGGGCAAAAAGAACACTGTTCTCCAAATATCAGGCATCTGTGTAATGATTGCTGATTGCTACTTCTGATCACAGAAGGTCCCACAAAGAGGTAAGTGGCCATTGTTATTGTACCTCCCACCATTGTTGCAAGCCCCTCCAGCTCAAGCTGAAGTGACTCCAGAGGATTTAAAGGGCTGCCATCATTTTACCCAACCCTTTTATTTTTCTGTTTTTCTCCTTTTGGGAGATAGACATTAAAGACTAGGACATTCAAAAGCAACTGTATACATGAGATAAATTAGAGAGTGATTGTGCTTGTCCAGGGAAAGGTACAGACTTAGAAAAGATTTGAGAAGATCCTAAGTTTATACCTCAGGTTGATCCTTGGCACAGGGACAACCGTCTACAACAATAAAAGCAAACAAAAACAATCAACAAAACAATAACACAAGAGAGTAAACCCTGGAAAAAAGGAAGAACCATATTTCCAGAGCTACTATATTAATACATTTGAATGCCCACTTTTCAACAAAAAACTACAAGGCATACAGAGAAACAAGAAAGTTTGGCTCACTCAAAAGAAATAAACTAACAAAAGTTATCCTTGATAAAGACTTAAACAAAACTTTAAAACATTGCCTTAAAGATGCTAAAAGTACTAAAAGAAGATTTAGAGAAAGTAAAAAAAAAAGTATGAACAAAATAAAAGTATCAATAAAGAGAAGAAATCTAAAAGGAAACCAAAAAGAAATTCTGGAGCTGAAAAGTACAATAAGTGAAGTGAAAAATTTACTAGTATGATTTGAAGGCAGATTTGAGTAGGCAGAGGAAAGAATCAGAAAACTTGAAGATAGAACAGTTAAAATTATTAAGTCTGAGGGACAGAAAGAAACAAGATTTTGAAAAAAGTGAACAGAGCCTACAGGGCCTGTGGGATACTATCACGCAGACAACCATATGCATTTTAGAAGTCCCAGAAGGAGAAGGAAGAGAGAATATTTGATAAAATAATGGCTGAAAATTTCCAAATTTGATTAAAGACATAAATATAAATATCCGAGGAGATAAACAAACTCTAAGTAAGATAAACTCAAAGAGACCCACACTGAGACACACTATAATCCAACTTTTGAAAGACAAACACAGAAAATCTGAAGGCAGCAAGAAAGAAGTGATTCATCACATATGGGAGATCCTCAATAAAATTATCTGCAGACTTCAGAGACTTTGGAGGCTAGAAGGCAGTGGGCTGATATATCAAAACTACTAAAAGAAAAGAAAAAAACTTGTTAACCAAGAATTCTATTTTGAGCACAACTAAGCTGAAGAAGTTTATTGCCACTGGACCAGACCTGAAAGAAATGTTCAAGAGACTCCTGCAGGGTGAAATGAAAGAACACTAAACAATAACTTGAAGCCATATGAAGAAAGGAAGATCTCAATAAAGGTGAATAAATGAGTGATTTAAAAAGCTACTATTATTGTGACAAAGATTTATAACTCCACTTTTTGTTTTCTACACGATTTAAGAGTCTAATGTATATATATTTAAAAGTATTAGCCCTGGCCGGGGATGGCGGCTCATGCCTGTAATCCTAGCACTTTGGAAGGCCGAGGCAGGCAGATCATCTGAGGTCGGGAGTTTAAGACGAGACTGACCAACATGGAGAAACCCCATCTCTACTAAAAATACAAAATTAGCTGGGTGTGGTGGCGCATGCCTGTAATCCCAGCTACTTGGGAGGCTGAGGCAGGAGAATCACTTGAACCCGGGAGGCAGAGGTTGTGGTAAGCCGTGATCGTGCCATTGCACTCCAGCCTGGGCAACAAGAGCGAAACTCCATCTAAAAAAAAAAAAAAGTATTAGTCTAAAAGCTAGTATTATTGTAACTTTGGTTGCAACTCCACGTTTTGTTTTCTACATAATTTAAGAGACTAATGCACTTAAAAGAATTATTTATTTGGAAGGCATACAATGTATAAAGGTATAATTTTGTGACATCAGTAAGAAACAGGTGGGGACAAAGATATAAAAGAGCAGAGTTTTGTATATTATTGAAGTTAAGCTGGTATAAATTCAGATTAGAATCCTAGAATTTTAGGCTATTAAATGTGATCCCTATAGTAACCATAAAACATAGGTATAGAATAGAATATGTGCAAAAGTAAATAAGAAATAAATGTCTACATTTTACTATTAAAAAATCAAACACAAAAGATGACAGTACTGCAGGAAATGAAGGACAAAAAAACTATAAGGCATATAAAAAACAAATATCAAAATGCTATAAGTCCTTCTTTATCAATAATTACTTAAATATAGATGGATTAAATGATCCAGTCGAAAGACAAAGATTGGCAGAATGGATAAAAATGCATGATCCAAATATGCGCTGTTTATAAGAGATTCACTTTAAATCCAAAGATAGAAATAGGTTTAACATAAAAGGACGGAAAAAGATATTCCATGAAAATAGTAACCAAAAGGTGGCTTTACTAATATCAGAAAAAATAGACTTTATATCAAAGAAGGTTATAAGAACAAAGAAGGACATTATACGTTAATAAATGGTTTGATACAGCAGGAAGATAATTATAGACATTTACATACTTAATAACAGACCATCAAATATAGGAAGCAAAAACTGACAGAATTGAAGGGAGAAATAGACAGAATAACTCAATGATATAGGTGCAATTATTCACATTTCAGAAATAGGAAAACTGTGGCTTAGAAAGAAAGACAAAGTCATTTGCCCAAAGTTGTGCAGCTAGTAAATGATGAAGCCAGGGTTTGGATTCAAGAATTTTGATTCTTGAATGTAGACTTAATTACTTAATTACTATAGTGTATCTCTTCCTTGAAAGAAAAAAAAAGTACAATTTTTGCTTTATTCCCCTAAAGTTTCAGTATTTTGTGCTCAAAAGTCTTGTCACCTCGATTTTTTTAAGAACCATCTTGTGGACTTCTATGAGCCTGAAAAGTTGTCTCAAAGTCCTTTAATTATGAAAAATCCATGTTTGAGGATGCAATTCTGTGACTCTCTTCAACAAGGTTCTTTGACTTAGCTATCTTGTTTTATTTAACTAAACATCTCCAATGTAATACTCTGCTTCAGCTTCTCCTAAATGTCCCATAAACTGTGATAATCATTAGGGCAGAAGCAGGAAGAAAACTCATGATCTTAAGATTATTTTCTTTGTAACATGTGATGAATCAGACTTGCAAAGTTCAAAGCACAAAAACTCCTAATGAATGCTAATTCTGTGGAAGATGTGCATATCACTCTCTTTCAAAAACAAAACTTTTTTTAGGTGTTCTGTTTGTGGCAGATTTTCCAAGTTTAGACTTGTATTCTCATTCTTCATCACTATGTGGATAGAACCCAATTATTAGGTCATAAATACAGTGAGAATCTAATATCTATCAATGACATGCAACAAGTCATTTAATTCTTTGTGTCTAGGATGGTTAATTTCAGGTGTCAATTTGACTGGATTCAGGGACATGCAGATAACTTCTGATGAAGCATTGTTTCTAGATATGTCTGTGAGGGTGTTCCAGAAGAGACTGGCATTTGAATAACTGGACTAGGAAGATCCCTCCTCACCCAGTGCAGGCCCATACCATCCAGTTGACTGAGGGCCTGACAGAACAAAAAGGCAGAAGAAAGGCAAATTTGCTCACTCTCTCTTCTGGAACTGGGACACCCATCTTCTCCTGCCCTTGGACATCAGAACTCCCGGGCCTTTGGACTCCAGGACTTGCACCAGATACTCCCCAATTTTCAAGCTGTCAGCTTAGGACTGAGAGTTACACCGTTGGCTCCCCTGGTCCTCAGGCCCTTGGATTTGGACTGAGCCATGCTACCATCTTCCCTTGTTCTTCAGCTTGCAGACAGGATATTGTGGGACTTCTCAGCCTCCATAATCAAGTGAACCAATTCCCGAAGTAAATCCCTTCTGATATATCTATATCTCTGTCTATCTATCTGTTTATCTATCTCGCTCTCTCTCTATCTATATTCTATTGGCTCTATTTCTTTAGAGAACTATGACTAATACAGGTTCTGAGTGCTTTCACTTTTAAAATGAAGTTTGGTATAAGGCCACCTTCAAACCTATTCTCTACCCTTTCCCTTCTACTCAATGTTCTGGGGTCCTATGGACTACATCAACAGGTTTTCTTGCCCTCTGACTTCCAGTCGGGTTCATCCAATGGGAGGCATCAGCAACAGAAGACCAGAAGAAGGTACACTTACTTGACCAGATACCTCCTTGTTAGCAGTAAATGCACAGCAACATTTCTCTACCAAAGATCGCTGCATCTTGTACAACCACAGCTCTTCAAGTTCCAATGACCACTTCCTCCCCTTCCCCTCAAACAGTAGTAGTGGCTTCCTGCCTATCTTAACCTTATCTTCACCCTGACTGATACAGAAGATATGAGTTTAAGTAAACTCTAGAGTTTACCTTTTTGATATGTCCTAGAAAGGTATTCTCTGCTGGGAGATCACATTATTATAATGCTTAGCCAATAAATGATACTCTGAGAAGAGCCAGTATGTATAAATGAGAGGACACCAGACTGGGAGGCAGGAGATCAACAGGGCTACTAAGTAGTTAGATAACTTTCTTCCTGATATGGTTTGGCTGTGTCCGCACCCAAATCTCATCTTGAATTATAGTTCCCATAATCCCCAGGTGTCATGAGAAGGACCTGGTACGTAATTGAATCATGGGTGTATTAGTCCATTTTCACACTGCTGATAAAGACATACCTGAGACTGGGCAATTTACAAAAGAAAGAGGTTTAATTGGACTTACAGTTCCACATGGCTGGAGAAGCCTCACAATCATGGTGGAAGGCAAGGAGGAGCAAGTCACATCTTACATGGATGGGCAGCAGGCAAAGACAGAATGAGGATGACGCAAAAGCAGAAACCCCTTATAAAGCCATCAGCTCTCATGTGACTTATTCACTACCACAAGAACAGTGTGGGTGAAACTTCTGCCATGATTAAATTATCTCCAACTGGGTCCCTCTCACAACACATCGAAATTATGGGAGTATAATTCAAGATGAGATTTGGGTGGGGACACACAGCCAAAACATATCATTCCACCCCTTACCCCTCTCAAATCTCATGTCCTTACATTTCAAAACCAATCATGGCCTCCCAATAGTCCCCCAAAGTCTTAACTTATTTCAGCATTAACTCAAAAGGCCACAGTCCAACATCTTATCTGAGACAAGGCAAGTCTCTTCTGCCTATGAGTCTGTAAAATCGAAAGTAAGGTAGTTATTTCCTAGATACAATGGAGATACAGACATTGGGTAAATACAACAGTTCCAAATGGGAGAAATTGGCCAAAACAAAGGGGTTACAGGGCCCATGCAAGTCCAAAATTCAATAGGACAATCAAATTTTAAAGCTCCAAAATGATCTCCTTTGACTCCAGGTCTTACATCCAGGTCATGTTGATGCAAGAGGTGGTTTCCCATGGTCTTGGGCAGCTCCATCCTTGTGTTTTCAGGGTACAGCCTCCCTACCCAAGCTGCTTTCATGGGCTGGAATTGAGTGTCTGCAGCTTTCCCAGGGACATGGTGCAGCTGTAGGTGGATCTACCATTCTGGGGTCTGGAAGATGGTGGTCCTCTTCTCACAGCTCCACTAGGTGGTGCCCCTGCAGGGACTCTGTGTGGGAGCTCCAACCCCACATTTCCCTTCTGCACTGCCCTAGCAGAGGTTCTCCAGGAGAGCCCCATCCCTGCGGTAAACTTCTGCCTGGACATCCAGGCATTTCCATACATCCTCTGAAATCTAGGTGGAGGTTCCCAAACCTCAATTATTGACTTCTGTGCACCCACAGGCTCAACACCATGCGGAAGCTGACAACGCTTGTGGCTTGCACCCTCTGAAGCCATGGTCCAAGCTCTACATTGGCCCCTTTCAGCCATGGCTAGAGTGGCTAGGACACAGGGAACCAAGTGTCTAGACTGCATACAGCCCAGGAATCCTGGGCCCTGCCCACAAAACCATTTTTTCCTTCTATACCTCTGGGTCTGTGATGGGAGAGACTGCCACAAAAGTCTCTGACATGCCCTGGAGACATTTTCCCCATTGTCTCGGTGATTAACATTTGGCTCCTCATTACTTATGCAAATATCTGCAGGCAGCTTGAATTTTTCCTCATAAAATGGGATTTTCTTTTCTATCACATTGTCAGGCTGCAAATTTTCCAAACTTTTATACTCTGCTTCCCTTTTAAAACTGAATGCCTTTAACAGTACCCAAGTCACCTCTTGAATGCTTTGCTGCTTAGAAATGTCTTCTGCCAAATACCCTAAATCATGTCTCTCAAGTTTAAAGTTTCACAAATCTCTAGGGCAGGGGCAAAATACCACCAGTCTTTTTGCTAAAATGTAAGTAAACAAGAGTCACCTTTGCTCCAGTTCCCAACAAGTTCCTCATCTCCATTTGAGACCACCTCAGCCTGGATTTCATTGTCCATATCATCAGTATTTTTTGTCAAAGCCATTAAATAAGTCTCTGGGAAGTTCCAAACTTTCCCACATTTTCCTGTCTTCTTCCGAGCCCTCCAAAATGTTCTGACCTCTGCCTGTTACCCAGTGCCAAAATTGCTTCCACATTTTTGGGTATCTTTTCAGCAATGCCCCACTCTATTGGTACCAATTTACTGTATTAGTTGATTTTCATGCTGTTGATAAAGACATACCTGAGACTGGGCAATTTACAAAAGAAAGGATTAATTAGACTTACAGTTCCACATGGCTGGGAAAACCTCACAATCATGGCAGAAGGCAGGGAGGAGCAAGTCTCATTTTACATGGATGGCAGCAGGCAAACACAGTGAGGAAGACGCAAAAGAGGAAACCCCTGAAGAAACCATCAGATCTCATGAGACTTATTCACTACCTGAGAACAGTATGGGGGAAACTTCCCCATGATTAAGTTACCTCCCACCAGGTCCCTCCCACAACACATGGGAATTATGTAAGTAAAATTCAAGATGAGATTTGGGTGGGGACACAGAGTCAAACCATATCAATGGGGGTGATTTCCCCCATGCTATTCCTGTGATAGTAAGTTCTCACGAGATATGAGACAGGTTTTATAAGAGGATTCCCCCTTCACTGTGCACTCATTCTTCTCTATCCTGCTGCCATGTGAGAAAGGATGTGTTTGCTTCCCCTTCTTCCATGATTGTAAGTTTCCTGAGGCCTCCCCAACCATGCTGAACTATGAGATAATTAAACCTCTTTCCTTTGTAAATTACCCAGTCTCAGGCAGTTCTTTATAGCAGTGTGAGAATGGACTAATACACTGCCTTTCCTTCTTTTAAAACTGTGGTAAAATACACATAACATAAAATTTACCATTTTAACCATTTTCAAGTATATAGTTCAGTGGTATTAAGTATTGCATACCATCACCACCATCTATATAACTTTTTTCATTTTACAAAACTAAAACTCTGTACCCGTTAAACAATAACTCCTCATTCTCCCTCCCCTCAGCTCCTGGGAACCACTGTTCTACTTTATGTCTTTATAAATTTTCCTACTGTAGGTACCTCATGTAAGTGGAATGACATATTATTGCTTTTATGCAACTGGCTTATTTCACTTAGCATAATGTCCTCTAGGTTCATCCTTGAGGGTGTGTCAGAATTTCCTTTTTAAGGCAAAATAATATTGCATTGTATGTATATATCACATTTTGCTTACCCAATCATTTGTTGATGGATACTGGGTTGCTTCCACTTTTTGTCTATTTTGAATAATGCCGCTATAAACATGGGGGTACAAATAGATTTTCAAGACCCTAGTTTCAATTCTTTTAGATATATACCAAGAAGTGGAATTTCTAGATCATATGGTAATTCTATTTTTAATTTTTTGAGGAACCACCATATTGTTTTCCACAGCAGCTGCACCATTTTACTTTCCCACCAGCAGGGTTCCAATGTCTCTACATCCTCACCAATGCTTGTTATTTTCTGTTTTTTAAATGGTAGCCATCCTATAGGTAAACAATTTCAACAAAGTTGTTTCATTTAACACCTATTCCTCCATTCATGGAATGAGGCTCTGGGAATACAAGAAACAGACCCTGCTTTAGTGGAACAGACAAAAGCAACAAAAGAGAAATAAAATATTTACAAATCATGATAAATGCTATGAAGGAAATAAGGAGATGAGGCTGATGATAATGGGAACTACTTTGAAAACTTTTTATGAAGCCACATTTAGATAAATGGAAGGAAAAGATTGTAGAAATGGGCAGTCACATGGGGCAAAGAACATGCAAGGCCTTGGGGCTAGAAAGAGCTGGGGTGTTCCAACTGCAGAGAGAACAACAGTGGGACTGGAAAGAGTGTAGCAGGAGGGTATAAGGATGGAGAGAAAGGCAGGGGCCTTGGTGTTCAGGGCCTTATGAGCCATTTTTCAGATCTGGGGTTTATTCAATGTTCTGTAGGAAGTCAGTGAAGAGTTTTATTTGGGAGAATGGCATGTTCTGAACTCTGGACTAAACACAGACCTTTTAAGCCTCGGTTTAATAAATGTCTTCTCAAGAGCTCCTTTGCAGCTTCAAGTCTGCAGATCAGAAGTTCAACAAGGCTTCAGAGGTTCCTAGAAGCCTTGTTGCACAGTGGTTAAGAACTCATGCTCTGAGGTCAGGCATACTTGGATTCAAATCCCAGCTCTACTGCCTACTAGCTATGTGACTTTCAGCAAGTCACCCAAGCCCTCAGATTTTCAGTTTCTTCCACAGGAAAATGAGAGAATAATGGTGCTTTCCTTACCAAACTGGTTAAGCATAAAATGAGAAAATGTATACGAATTCCTTAACACGGTGCCTAGTGCACACTAAAGTCTAAAAACCCTCAGCCATTATGATTACCAGAGCAGCAAGGGATGCTGAAGGCATTGGCACTGCGGCATAGACAACATAGTTTAAAGGAAAATGTATGGATTTTGGAGTTAAAAAACTCATATTCATTCATTCATTCAGCAAGCTTTTACTAAGGGCCTATTATGTCCTTACTTCTGAAAACATGAGAACACTGTCCTGGCTTTCAAGAATCAACAGCACAAACACATCTAATTATAACACAGTGTGCTAAGTGCAGTGGGAGATGTATGGATAGGGTATCATAAGTGCAAAGAGAAGGGGCACCCAACCAAGACTGGGGATAGGGAGTTAGGGAAGGTCCCTAAAGCAAGTGACAACTGAGCCAATTTTTATAGGATAAATTGTGTGTGAAGTGAAGGGCATCTACACAGAGAGGACCACATGAGCTCCGGCATGGAGGCAAGCAGCAGCAGAGTGCGAGGGGAACGAGAGGCAAGTAGAGGAGGAGGCTAGTATGTTAAGTGTTGTGAGCCAGCTAAGTGGCTGAGGAGGGCTAGACAGGTCTCAGATCAGAGAGGCCTTTTATAATAGGCTAAGGAACTTGGAGTTTACCCTGTAGGCAATGGTTAACTATTAGAACATTTCTAGCACCAGAACACCGTGTCCAGATTTGAGTTTTGCATAGTTCGTTCTGTTACATACATGGGAAATCGGTGTAACTGGGGAAAAAGTGAAAGAAAGGAGAACAGGTAGGAGGCAACTGCAGTAAACGAGTCAAGAAAGAGACAGTGTGAATCTGAATTAGGACATTGGACATAAGGATGGAGGAGATGAGGCAGATTTTTAAGTATTTTTAGAAGAGTAAATTGGCAGGACACGATGAGTTATCAGATGTAGAAGTGCTAAGAAACAGAGAGGAGTCAGGGATGACTAGAAGCTATTGACTTGGGTGCCTGGCTGGATGGCACACACAGAAACTAGAACGAGAGCTTGAAGTGGATTCTGTGCTGCTCTGCTTCAAGACAGAAGCCATCATTTCCCCAGCCTCCAGGAAGGATGGTTGCTGATGGCTCACAGCTGAGCCCTCTGTAGCCCAGGGGAGCTGCTTTGCTCAAGGTTATACTCCCATGACAGGGAGAGCCCACATTCAATGGCTGGTTGATGTAGGGGCGCAAAAGCCAGGCTGCTTTCCTTAATTCAGGAAAACTCTGATGGGCCATTCCAGCCCCAGAGCTCCAAGGGAGGAGCTGATAAATGGTGTCCCATTGATAAATATCTTGTACACAGATATGTGCTTCAGAGTGTTTCTTAGAGGACCAGACCTTAGATGGGAAGACATTCAAGTTTTGGGTGAATTGAGCTGGATATATCTGTAAGACTTTCAGGTTGAGGTATCCAGCTGGCTTTTTAGATACCTAAACCTAAAGCTCCAGGGAGAATTATGATCTGGAAATACAAGATTTTGGAGTTATCAGCACACCAGTAGTATTTGTCTATAATCCTTTACCTGTAGTTTCCAAATTCAAAAGAAAATCTAAAAAGCCAAAGTTTTTTTAAAAACTTATTTGGTGGCAAAGCCTGATCAGATTTGAGCCCCTTTGACTCCAAAATATGACCTGAACATATGAGAGGAGTATTTGCAGCCCCTTTGAAAAATCCTACTTAGTGTGAATATTTCTGTGTTTCGCTACAGAAATATCCATTTGTTTAACTATGGGTGCTGTCCCAAACTCTACTGGGACCAGTACGTAATTTTTACTATATGTTATATTACCTTTCCAAAATCTAAAAATCCTAAACCCTGAAGCCATCTGGCTCCAAGAGTTTCTGATAAAATATCTGTAATTGGGAGCATGAAAAAGAATAAGATTACCTAGGGAGAAAGTATAGACAAAATGCAAGCAATAGAGAGATAACAGCAGCATTTTGGACTAGACACAGGAGGGGTGACCAATCAAAGACAGAGAAGGAATATTCATAAGGTATGGCCAATCAGGAGAGTGCAGAGTCCTGGAGGCCTAGAGAACAGAGAGCTTTAAGGAGGAGGATGATCCATGGACTCAAGTGCAGCAGGGGTTTAAGAGCTTGGAAGTAGAACTTATCCTCCAGAGTTGGCAATTGGTGGTTGATGGATGATCATGGTGAGAGAAGTTCTGAGGAAAAGTGGGAAGAGAATGCAATACACTCCAATGCAGTGGATTGTGAAGTGAATGGGAAATGAGGAGAGAGATTATATAGTTGTTAGATGGAGAAGGGTATGTGGTTTTAGGCTGAAGAAAGCCTTGGGTGTGTTTATAGGGAGACAGGGAGAAGCAAAGAATGAGAGGCTGAAGATAAAGCAGAAAGTGAGGCAGGCTAATGAGATAAGATCCAGGGAGAGGCAGAGACAACTCAGGAGTGCATGAGGTTGGGATCCAAGTACAAGTACAGATGGGGATGTTGGGGTCTGGTCTTGACCTGAGGAGGAACTCCTTATCTTCTAAGATTGGGAGAAAAGGGATCAGAAAGGGGTTAGATAGAGAAAATGGATAGGTAGTGTAAACCAAGTATCTGAGATAGATCTCAATCAGTTTAGAGGTTTGTTTTGCCAAGGTGAAGAACCATAGCCCGTGACACAGCCTCTGGAGTTCCTGAGAACATGTGCCCAAGGTGGTTGGGCTACCACTTGGTTATATACATTGTTGTGAGACAGAAGTTACAGGCAAAGACATAAATCAATATATTTAAGGTTTACATTGGTTTGACTTGGAAAAGTGGGACATCTAGAAGTGGGGGCTTCCAGGTCACAGGTGGATTCAAAGATTTCCTGATTAGCAATTGGTCCAAAGAATTAAGCTCTGCCTGAAGAATTGGAGTCAGCTTGAGTTAAGATAAAGGGATTTGTATCACTGATCATTAGAGAAATGCAAATCAAAACCACGGTGAGATACCATCTCACGCCAGTCAAAATGGCAATTACTAAAAAGTCAAGAAACAACAGATGCTAGCAAAGCTGCAGAGAGATAGGAATGCTTTTACACTATTGGTGGAAGTGTAAATCAGTTCAACCATTGTGGAAGACAGTGTGGTTATTCCTCAAAGACCTAGACCAGAAACACCATTTGACCCAGCAATCCCATTACTGGGTATATACCCAAAGGAATATAGATCATTCTATTATAAAGATACATGCACTTGTATATTTATTGCAACACTATTCACAATAGCAAAGACATGGAATCAACCCAAATGCCCATCAATGATAGAATGGATAAGGAAAATGTGGTACACATACACCATGGAATACTACGCAGCCATAAAAAGGGGTGAGTTCATGTCCTTTGCAGGAACATGGATGGAGCTGGAAGCCATTATCCTCAGTAAACTAATTCAGGAACAGAAAAACAAACACCACATGTTCTCACTCATAGTGAGAGCTGAACGATAAGAACACATGGACACAGAAATGGGAATAACACACACTGGGGCCTGTGGGGTCGGGGAGAGCATCAGGAAAAGTAGCTAACACAGGCTGGGCTTATTACTCAGATGATGGATTGATAGGTGCAGCAAACCACCATGGCCCACATTTACCTATGTAACAAACCTGCACATCCTGCACATTTACCCCAGAGCTTTAAATAAATAAATAAATAATTATCAGAAAACATTCCCTTGAACTCTCTGGAACAGGTCCTCTTAGATCTTATTACCCAGGTATTAAAAGTAGAAAAAGAGAAGCTGAGAGTATCCACCTAGACAACAGCAAAGCTGGATTATCTTTGTATCATTCTTAAGAATAATAAAAAGAACTACAACCCATAAAAAAAGATAAAGGGGGTTGTGGAAGCCAAGGTTCTTGTCATGTTTATGTCACCTCCAGATAACAGGCTTCAGAGAGAATAGATGGCGAAGGTCTCTTATCAGATCTTAAAAAGGGATGGAGATTCTCTATAGAATGCAAGAATTTCCCCCACAAGAGACAGCTTTGCAGGGCCATTTCAAAATATGTCAGAGAAATATATTTAGGGGCAAAATACTTTGATCTTTTTTTCAGGGCCTGCTATCTGCTGTGACAGACTGCCACAATTACTACTTGAGACCCTCATTACAGCAGTTACTACTGTTACTACTTGAGACCGACATTACGAGACTGAACGAAGGGGGACGAATGAATGCAGAAATTAAGACTTAAAAGAAACTGTTTTAAAGAAAGGGGCCAGGGGACGAAGAAGAGGGCTCCTTGCTTCTAGTGAGCAAAGGCAGCAGCCATGAGCTTCTACAGCCCTTCGTATTTATTGGGTAGCAAGAGCAGGGAGAAGGAGGTAACTATTGGTCAGCTGCTTGATTGATCACATTATTGCTAACAGGCTTCAGATGTGCCTAATCACAAGAAATACTTGTGCCTGGGTTGTGACTGCCCTCAGCATTCCTTCTGGATGGCAGACAGTTTGTCTGTTTGCCAACATTCTGCACTTATGAGAACAGTTTGCTGTTTACTCATATAGCCTCCAGTGGTATACTGAGTTGATCAAGACCCTCACTCTGTCGGCCTCCAACAATCTGCCATGTGATGCTCTACCAGAGTCAGTTTGGAATTTTGTATCTTATTGCTACAAAGAGTCTTTCGCAGTCTTAAGGTCTCTCTTTTAATGTTAATGCTGGTCAGTTGCCTAAACTCCAAAGAGAGAAGTGTATAATGAGGCATGTCCAACTCCTCCCCTTCCTGTCATGGCCTGAACTAGTTTTTCAGGTTTCTTTAGGAGCCCTTTGGCCAAGAGGGGAGTCCATTCAGTCATTTGGGGGCTTAGAATTTTATTTTTGGTTTACAGCAGGAGAACATGAAGTTGAGGCTGATTGTCTGCTGACCTCCGTTTTCTCACTGAAGCAGATTAGCTCATCGGCTAAGAGTAAATGGGATGCAAGTTGAAAAGAGATTCAGGGAAAGAAGTGAAAGTTTGGTGTCAAGAGAGGGAGCTAAGGAAAATTAGAAAGATGAACAATTGGTGGCCCAAAGTTAGAGAACATGCAGTGACATTAACTGACACCGCGGTGTGATTTTTTTCTTCCCCTAGCTCTCAGCTTGATGCACAGAGATGTTAATTAAACAAAATAAAATATCTAACCATTAAAAGTTGTCACAGAGAGAATTTAATGACAAAGAAAATGCTTAAGATATTTGTGCCAGTTACTATTGGTACCTTCCTCAGAACCCCATGGCATTCATCTCTGTGCAGAGCTCTGTTGCTGAAAGGCTGCTTGCTGTGAAGACCTGAAACTCTCTGCCTGAGGCTTTCCACTGGCCAGTATGCTAGAAATCAAAGCCAGGGAACTTCTCCATTCCCAGGGCAATTAATGCTCCCTCTTCCCACTCCCCAGCCTGACCAATTATTAATGGGAAATTGATGGTTGAACACCTTAGTTTTCGCAGCCTTCCATTGGGACAATTTGAGATGTTTTTTATATTCAAATTTTTCTAGATTTCTCCAGCAGAACTCAGCTCCTGCTGCAACACAGTGCCAACTGGATTAACTACATACAATTTATTGGCTTTCTTTCTGTGGTGATTTTTTTTTAATAGGCTTCAAGTTCTACAGCGCTCCTCCCATGAAGTGGTAGGATCTATGTCTCTTCCCTCATGGGCTTGCAACTGCTTTCATAGAAAACGATGGCAGAAGTGACACTGTATGATTTTCAAGGATAGACCATAAAAGGCCATTGGCTTCCATCTACTTCTCTTGGGCGCTCACTCTTGGGGAAACTAGTCACAGACTAAGAAGTCTCACTAAACAGAAGTTGCTATGCTGGGGTGCCCCATGCAAAGATCTGGATCCCCTGCCAGCTATGGGAATGGCCATCTTGAACATCCAGCCCAACAGAGCTTTCAGATGCCTGCAGCCCTGGTGGACTTCTATAGCTGAGCCCTTCTTGAGTTCCTGATGCACCAAATCTTATGCAAAATAACACTGTGGTTGTTTTGTATCACTCAGGAGTAATTTGTTACACAGCTATAATGACTGTAACATTTCCCTTCCTTATATCTCTTTTCCACTTTCCTACTGGTGTTTCCTGGGATAGTTTTAAAGATAAATTATGTGCTCTTGAATTTTTTTTTCTTTTTTGAGACATGGTCTCACTCCAGTTGCCCAGGCTGTAGTGCAGTGGCGTGATCTCAGCTCACTGCAGCCTCAACCTCCCAGGCTCAGGTGATTCTCTCACCTCAGCCTCCCAAGTAGCTAGGACTACAAGCACACATGACCATGCCCGGTTAATTTTTTTGTATTTTTAATAGAGATGGCGTTTCGCCATGTTGCCCAGGCTGGTCTCAAACTCCTGGACTCAAGCAATCTGCCCGCCTCAGCCTCCCAAAGTGCTGGTATTATAGGTGTGATTGCGCCCAGCCTGGAATCCTTATTTCAGAATTTGTTCCTGGAGAATTCAAACTGAGAAAAACTATGTTACAAAATAATAGTTACAATATAACCTCAAAAATGAAAAAATACTAGAGAAAAAATAAATATAAAAATGTTAACCCAGTTAATTTCTAAATTGGAAAAATAAGGTTGATTCTTACTTTTAATATTCTTGGTGTATATTTTCCAAAGGTATAAAATATGTATGTATTACTTTTATCAGAAAGAAGTGGTTTTATGAAACATGAAAAAATGAGTAATGTTTTATGAAAAGATTTTTCTATGAAATTTAAAATTTAACAGTTTCCATAGTTAAGGTGAAATTTGTCTTCTAAAGTTTTTTTATGGTAGAAGTCCTGTTTTTAGCTTACTGGGCCCTACCTGCCTCCCTTGGACAGAGTTATTCCAGTATCATGTGACCCACACTCACCAATCACAGCAGACTGAACCAGGGAGCACCACATCTGAGTCCCCCAAAAAATCAATCCATAATGTGGCCAAAATTCCATCAGCTTCTCTCTAGAATTTGACAGAAGAAATGCAGTGCCTGTGATTACATGACCATGAAAATTACATATTCAAGGCCCCTGGCTGGCTCGCACCACATGCAAGTTGAAGTTGTATGGAGGGGCAGAAACCATGAGAAATAGAGGATGCTGATCTGCCATGGAGAATGGGGCAAATGCAGGGAGAGAAACGATGAAGAATTCTCTCTCTCTGTGTGTGTGCGCTGCCCGTGCATGCTTGCATGCTTGGAGAGAGAGAAAGATAGATGCCCGTCCAGTTCCTATGAGGCTTGGTTATACTTCTCACACTTCATTAACCTGAGAATCTCTCATACCTCTTCATAATCCCCTTTTACTTGACCTTGTTTGGGTGATGTCTGTTCTTTGTAACCAACAGAAACTGATCTGAACAAGTTCATTTCTGAAACCTAAAAAAGCTGAAATAATTCTAATGCTGATATGAATATTAACACAAATGCTTAACAACAAGGAAGTATTATTCATGTCCCCATTTCACAATGAGGCCAGTGCAGCATAAGAATATTTGGCACCGACCGTCCCACAGCTGGCAAGTGCAGGGCAGGATTCTCACACGGGCAGTCTTGCTCCAGGGGCGGAGCCCTTCACCTGGATGCAGATGGCGTCCCACCCTCATCTTTGTGATTCCTCACGCTGTAGGCTGGAGGCCTCAGGTGTGGCTCTTCTGTGATGACTGGTTACAGGGTGTTGAGGAGAACCAGTGTCAAGACTCCTATCCTGCACAGCAAGTCAGAGGCCACATTAAGAAACTAACGTGCCTAGGTGAATGATTGGCGAAACCAGCCCGGACGTTTGATTCCTCCTCCCAACATTTACATTTTTCAGCCATATTTATTAATTTTCTACCCATAATCTGACTAGCAAACACAAGATAACTCAAGTACATCGAGAATAAGAGGGAACTACAAACTGTAAAATACCCTAGGCTGAAAGGTGGAGGAAAGCTGAGTGGGATGCAGCTTGCCTCAGCAGGCTAAAGTGAGATCACAGCCCCAGTTTAAGGGAGCTAGGTGGGGAGACATCAGTGCTTTCACCAACAATCTTGAATTTGACCCTTCCCACAATCCTGTGAAGTGAATATTATTAAATTTATTTTATTTTATTGTTTTGAAACAGAGTCTCGCTCTGTTGCCCAGGCGGGAGTGCAGTAGCACCATCTCAGCTCACTGCAACCTCTGCCTCCTGGGTTCAAGCGATTCTCCTGCCTCAGCTTCCTGAGTAACTGGGACTACAGGTGCCTGGCTAATTTTTTGTTATTGTTGTTTTTAGTAGAGACAGGGTTTTGCCATGTTGGCCAGGCTGGTCTCGAACTCCTGACCTCAGGTGATCCACCCACCTTGGCCTCCCAAAGTGCTGGGATTACAGGCATGAGACACTGCACCTAGCCTAAATATTTTTTAGAAATGGGAAATGTGGGGCTCGGAGAGGGCAAGTGACTTGCTGCAGGACACACAGCAAATAGTGGCAGAATCAGATTCTAAATCTCATACAGTTTTCATCTCAGGATACTACCTCTTCAGTACGGTCTAGTCTATATTTGATTTTTCCCTACCACTTAACCCCCAGATTAATAACACTGTGAGCTGGAATAGCAAATCTAACTCTAACAATATTAATACTTGGCCTCAAATTATGCCATCTAGTGACCATACTAGCCTTACTCAGTAACATATAAGGCTAGTTACATCAGTTTCTCACATAGACACATATTTTCTGAACTCAACTGCTACCAATTTTCAAATTTCTAAATTGAGAGCCACAGCTCTCCAAATCGGATGTTAACAGAGCTTCCCTACACATAAGTTGCCGAGCAAACCCATCATTATATTCTGGTTCTTACACACACACCAAACAAGAAAGGGCATAGTAGGCAAGGAGGTTGATGAATTCATATCCAATAACACTTATTCTATAACTAGTTAGAATCATTTATTTTTGCAGGGTAATCATAATACTTCATCTGGAAGCTAAATTTTTCTTTGCAGATAACAGAAATAGAATCTCAAAAATATGTAACATGAAAGGGTGAAGATAGAAATTTCTCTCCAAGATTTATAATGAGGGGATAGGTAATCCACATAAATAACGAGCCCAGCATTTTTATAGACTAAATGAGGCCAGTCATTTGTAAAGATATTTCATTTCGTACTTCAGCAGCTCTCTGGGCCTTTAAAAATGCAGTGCACAGCCACGAGTTAATGCTTGTACAGGACTGCATACCTTTTAATCCAGCCGGAGAGTCAGCCCTGAAAGCAATGCATTTAACAGGAAACATCAGTGGCTCACGAATGTTCAGGAAGAGAGCCTGCTGACATGAACGTTCAGGAAAGAGAGTGCAAAAAGAGCCTTTCTGATTTTTTTTTTTTTTTTTTTTTTTTTTGGCAGACGGTGATAATGAAGGGAAAAGATTGGCTTGAGGACTGTGGGGGAAGGGGATCCACTAGCCCCTTAGAATATGGTTTCCACATTCCCATCGCTGCAATCTGCTTTAAGGCTGAAGAGTTTCTGAAGTTCTCTGATATCCACAGCCAGCTCAATTCACATAAGCGCAAATTTTAAGAGCCGCATTTTGGGCCTTCGGTAACATGGCTCTCACCCCTGAACTCTCAAGACCCTAACAATACTGAGAATTTACTTGGGAATGGGTAATTATGTGGAATAAGTATGAAATACTGGGAAAAGCATGAATTTAGCTACAGAGAGCCTTGCATGGAGATCCTGACTGCACAACTTACTAGCTGTGTGGTGATGGGTAGGACGCTTGAACTTCCCAAGCCTGTGTCCTCATCTCTAAAGTTCACTCAACAAATACTTATTCAACACCCACCATGAGCCACCATGAGCTGTTCTAGGTGCTGGGAATACAGAGCCCTGCCCTCATGGAGTATCCAGTCAGAGCTTAAATCCTCACAGCAAAGTGTCCCTGGAGAATTGTGAGGATCGGAGCTTCTGTCAGGGAGTTCCTGGAGCATTGTAGGAGGGCTTAACAGACATCAGCTCCTTCTCTATGAGAAGTTGATACATTCTTGAGGGTCCACTTGAGAATTCCTGGAGCCCTCAATGGGCAGAGTCAGAGCAGTTACCAGGGCACTCATGACCAAATATGGAGCTTAGATATCTCCTGTTTCCCGAGAAGGCTGCAACCAGCTCTGGAATCTCTGCATTATCAAACTTTAGACACCTGACCTTGTCATGAAATGTGGCAAACTCCACCTGGCTCTACGAGGTGAGCTATTTAGAGTTGCATCTCTTGACCCAGGCGACCAGGTATAGATTACTGAATTTCAAAATTCATTTGTCCATCTGTTCTCAGGAATTCAGAGTCAATCCATTCATATACCTACTTTGTAGCAGCCACTGGGTTGGGGAACATTAGGGACAAGTTAGGCTTGACCCTGTTGGAGCCTACTGTCTAATGGTTTGTTTGTGTAGGAGGTGGGAGGGTGGCTGATAAACAGGTACTATAAGAGTGCCTATTCAGGCACATAGACCCTAAGTCATACTGCCTGGGTTCAAATGCCTCAGTTTCTTCGTCTGTCAACTGGGAGAACCCTGATAGGACTGTTGTAGGCATTAAATAAACAAATATATAATCAAATCACTGGGATGCCATGTTGGTGATTACAGCAGTGTTGAGTCTTATTAAAGGCGGCATCAGTGTGATCTAAGGGCTTAGGGAATGGTCTCTGAGAGAATGTCGCTTAAGCTGTGACCTAAAGAATAAATAGAAGGAAAGTTGGGTGGCTTCTATTCCAGGTAGGGGAACTGTCAAGTGGTGGCATTAAGGGGAAACAATGGAGACATTTTTATTGTTGTTGTTTTGCAGAAACACTGTTGTGAGTTGAGTCCCCTCCCTGTACTGGCACTATGCTGGACAATGCAGGTACAGAGGTGGTGATCTTGCCACCATTCCCTCCAGGTGAGATAATGACAGATGAGGCAGCAAGTGTGATTGGGTGATCCAGACACCAAGAGAGCAGCATGAACAGATGGCTATAGGGGCACCAGCAAGCAGCAGTTGATTGCTTGGGGGCATGATTTAGCAAGGGGTTCACGGAGGAGGTGATGCTAGAAAGGTGAGGTGTGGTCATGAGGCAGGGAGGCAGAGAAGGGCATTTCATTGTAGGCCAACGGATCAGGGTGGGCAAAGGCCCAGAAATATGGTGCAGCTAGGCGCATTTGAGGAGGAGTGAGGAGTTTCGGGTGACTAGAGTGCATAGTTCCCAGCAGCGGCAAAGGGAGGTGTGGGAGAGATGTGGCTGGAGCGTGAGGGGGGCTTGGTCATCCTGGAGGGCCTTGGAAACCAAGCCAAAAGTTTAGATTTCATCCTGAAGAGCATTTAGAAATAGCTGTCTGGCAGCAGCATGGAGGGATGAATTGGAGGTGAGTGGGACAAGAAACTGAGAGGAATTAGGAGATAGCTGCCAAAGTCCAAGCAAGATAATAGGAGGGATCGAACCATGATTAGGACATGCAGAGCAAAGAAGAGGGAATGAAACCCAGAGGTATCTCCTATAGCACTGAGTAACTGGTGGATCAAGGGAGGTCCTGATGGGGTGACTGAATGAATAGTGGATTAATACACAGCATAGAGCAGGGTCTCAATGACCATGGGTGGGCTGGACAAGTGCAAGCAGAGAGAATGCATGCCTTCCAAAGGGCACAGCTGTGCTCAGCTCCACCTGATCACTAATGGTTACTGCAATGGTTATCTATTGCTGGGTAACAAATTACCCCAACACGTATTGACTTAAAACACAAACATATTTTCTCACAGTTTTTGTGGGCCAGGAATCCAGGCATGGTTTAACTGGGTCCTCTAATCCATGGTCTCTCACAAGACAATAATAAAGGTGTCAGCTGTGTCTGTGGTCTTGGCTTAAGGTTCAACTGAGGGAGGATCTACTTCTGAACTCATTCATGTGGTTGTTGGCAGGCCTCAGGTCCCTGGTGGCTGGTGGCTGATGGAATTGGTTCCTTTTCATATGGGTCTCTCCTTAAGGCAGCTCATAATAGGGCAGTCAGCGCCTCTCCAGAGCAAGCGAGGAAGAAAGATGGAAGGCAGTCTTTTTGTAACCCAATCTCAGAAGTGACATCCTATCATTGTTGCTGGATTCTGTTAATTAGAAGTGAGCCAAGTTCACCACACACTCAAGGGGAGGAGATTTGACAAAGGCATGCAAACCAGGAGGTAAGCATCATTGGAAACCACCTTAGTGACTACACTACAATATTCGTCTTTGAGAATACAACTCAGTGTTGGGACTGCCTGATTTTTCAAGAAAAATTGGAGATCTGATTTTTATGTGAAATCTTCCAATTTGAAAATACTGGCCCTTAATCCCAACAATTTTTTTTATATGCATTTGGTCAAATAAAACTCTCTCAAGCATGACCCATGGGAGACCATTATGAATCCTCTGGTACAGGGACCAGAGAAATAGGAGCAGAATTAGAGGAGAGGGAGCAGAGGTTAGGATGTTTGCCTCGTTCTTTACTTGAGGAAGTTGGGAGAGCCAAGTCATTGTTAAAATGATGGGAGCTTGAAAAAGATGAATGCCAATCATTCAATCCAGATAACTGTATTCGTATAAATTCTACAGTCATGTTGGTAAAGATGACTTGTTTTCATTAAAGAGAAGCCTTTGATCTCTGATCTGACAGCTGCACATCTATATAAAATGAGACACTTTGACATCTGCAGCTCTGATCTCAATTGGACAGGTGGTTTCCTGCACACTAATGGAACAGAAAGACAATTGAGCATTATTAGATAAGAGAGAATGTTCTCACACACAGGAAAACAGCTTTTTCCTTTGAAAAAAAACATGATAAAGAACAGAAAATGACTGACAGAATCAGAGCTTCCTAACTGTCAGAAGAGCTGTTTCAGCTACACTCTGGCCTCTGTTAGGGGAGATTAGGATCGTTTTCAGAAAAGTATTGAACATACCTTAGCATTAGCTGACTCAGGGAGGAATTTGCTGGTAAAATAAGCCTGTTCTCGGAG
Source organism: Homo sapiens (assembly GCF_000001405.40). Taxonomy (NCBI): domain Eukaryota; kingdom Metazoa; phylum Chordata; class Mammalia; order Primates; family Hominidae; genus Homo; species Homo sapiens. Next base: position 98,688,872 of record NC_000004.12, on the reverse strand, counting down.
TGTGCCAAAGAGCTAAGATGCAGCTTGGGTTTTTCATAAACAAAGCAAACACTTTAGTGAAGCCTAATTTATACACATTCACTGAAAAGTTTAGTAAGCAGGAAAACTTCTTAGTGGAAAACCTTTTTTGCGTCTTCATTCAGCAAATACTTATGGAGTACACACATGGCTAGATGATGGAGATACTGTAGGAAAGACAGCCAAGGTCACTCTGCCCCAGTGCCTTACAGACTAGAGGACAAGGCGGATATGGAATAATGATAACAAAACAAAACTCTGAGTCACGTTTTGTCAGAGGAAGTAGAGGTGCCATGGGAGCTTCACCCCAAGGTGACCTATCTCAAGCCAGTGACTTGGGGAAGGCATCCAGAGAACTCAAAGATGAGTAAGAATTGCCCAGTTCAAAGTGGTGAGGTGGTGGGGTATTGGGAGAGGCTTTGGGCTATTTACTGCTTAAGTGGTAACACAGGAAATATTTTTTACGTATTTCACATTCAGCATTGGATTTTCTCTTCAACACTCAAATTATTATAGTACATCCTGAAAAAAAAGTCAGCTCACATTTGTACTAGAACTATAAAGTAGAAAATAAGCATTTCTTAGGATATTAATAACAGTGGGTTCTTTTGCCTAGAAAGCAAATCCTATATTTTTATCTCATTTCTCTTGTCACATAGAAGAAGCTATGTAAAGCCAGAAGATGAGCACACATGATAGATGAGGTTGTAGAGAAACCTTATGAGCTGCTGCTGGAATGTAAAATGGTGCAGGCACTTTGGAAAACAGCCTGGCAGTTTCTCAAACAGGCAGAGAGTTGCCACATGACCCAACAATTCCACTGTTAGGTACATACACAAGAGAAATGGAAACATATGTCTATACAAAAACCTCGACATGAATGTTTATTCAAAATATCCACAATAGTCCCAAAGTGAAAACAACCCAAATGTCCTTCAGCTGCTGAATGGATAAGCAAAATGTGGCATAGCCACACAATAGAATATTATTCAGCTATAAAAAGAAATGAAGTACCGATAGACACTGCAGCATGGATGGACCTTGAAAACACGATGCTAAGTGCAATAAGTCACAAAAGTCGCATTTTCATTTATAGAAAATGTCCAGAATAGGAAAATCTATAGATACAGAAAGTAGATTAGTGGTTGCATGGGCTGGGCGATGAACAGGAGAATGGATGAGAGTCAGAGCTCAAGGGTACAAGGTTGCTTTCTGAGCTGAAGGAAACGTTCTAAAATTGTGGTGATGATTGTACATATCTGGGAATATGCTAAAAACCACTAAATTGCATACTTTAAATGGGTGACTCTTCAGGCACGTGAACAGCTCAATGAAGCTGTTGAAGCAAGCACACAAGCACCCCGTCCTTCCTAGCTAGGTAGTAGAGCCCGCTAGCACAGGTGGGTGTGGGGTTTGGCTCCTGATGCCAAAGCACAGCCCTGCTCTTCCAGGGAAGGTTCTTTGGTCTTTGCCTTCTTTTCTTTCTATTCATTTTTTTCTTCATCCTCAATAAACATCAGGAATACTTAGGTGTTATATTTTTTCCTTCTTTTTAAATCTTTATTTACTAGCCTCTGGTAATGTATTAGAGGTGCAATATCTTTAATTTTGTTTGGAATTGTGATGCTTTACCCTCTATACCATACCTAAGACCTTCATTTTCAAATGTTTACCACTGTTTTTAACCATCCCCATGTATCATTTCAGCCTTTTCCCCAGGACTTTAAGCTTGCCAGTTCTGCATTAATCTATGAGACTCAGCTTCGTGGAGTAGCTGATAACTCATGAGCCAGCCTTGATCCCATTAACTCTTCTCTCCAGGGGCCCAGGAATGGGACTGAGGTTAGACATTACTGATATGATTATCTCAACTGAACCAGTGACAGCAAACATTTTAGATGCCAGAAGAGCTGTTGGGTGAAAATTAATATTGGTGTTTATACACAGACATGGTCTGAGAGTTGCAAATAAAAAGAAAAATTAAAATTTACAAAACCACACAATTATTTGGCCACACAATCCTGTTCCCCCTTTTAATACAATAAAATTAAAAATTTTCCAACTGGCTTATTCAGCAACTTGGCAAGTCATTGCAAGTTAGAGAATTTCAAATGTCATACACGTTAGGTTTTTTAAATGTATCTTATTTGTGGACGCAAATTTACCTTTCTACAAAAGTAACACATAGCTTAATATTAAATTGTTTGCATTATATAAACACACATGAGATTGGTGGTGGAAAGTCAGCCAAGAGTAAATGAGGAGTTCATGGGAAAATCTGCTTACTTCAAAAATGTGCTGGAGCTAATTTGCAAAGAGAAGAACCCACATGTGGATTATTGAGGGTTAGCTGTGTAATCCCCAAAGAGCAAAACACTGGTTACTGATTCCTATTGAGAGAGAGAGAGAGATTTACTGCCTGTTTCTGTGCTTGAGGCATTTTACATATATTATCCCAAATATTTACGATACACTTACAAGGTAGACATTATTAGCCTCATTTTCTAGATGAGGAAACTGAGGTCCAGAGAAGCTAAGTGGCCCAAAGCCATAGAGATATAATAGATGGAGCCAAGACTTGATAGACTTGGACTTATCCGCCACACAACATTGTACCTTTTGTTCATTCATTCATCTATTCATTCATTATTGTAGTATACAAACAACTGCCTTGATTGTGCAACAGCATCTGTGTATCATAATTAGCAAAACAAAGAAAGAACAGGATAGTGGTTAATGTCTTGATTGTAAATAGTTTTAATGGAAAAGCATAAAAAGGATAGGATTACTTAGCAGAGAGTAACATCTACATAAAAACATAATTTTAAAAATCAAACATCTCCAGTCAATAGCGGACAGTCTGCCAGAAGATCTGTTAGGTCTTGAAGTCAATTGCAGCAGTGGCATCTGTCTCTTTGTGCACGCTGAGCTGCTTTAGATGTTAGTCTAAGAAAGAGTGATTTTTTTCTTTGATATGTAAAGTTCAAAGAAGCTTTGTTATACAACAAGTTGAATAATAGCATGCAGGTGAAAAGAATTCTGGGTTGACTGGTAAACTGTGGCCCCCACCCAAATTGCAAATATTTGCGCAAAATCAGGAAAGCACAAAATGGCAAAGGAGCAATGAAAGGAAATGAGCCTCTCAGGAATCTGGAAATGGACTTTGATGCCCTTTGATTTTATTGTGGAATCAGCAGTTTAAATCAGGCCAAGACAAATAATAACAAAAATAGTAGTATTTTATCTCTTGATTGTGTGTTCAGGCTAGATAGTCACTCAACTCATGCAAAACAGAACACTCGAAGTTCTTAAGAGGAGCGATTTTACCAATAATCTTCATTATTATTATTAATTTTAAGGAGAGGAGCCATTCTCACCCCCCTCATTCTCACATTACCATGTTGGAAAACCTCTCCGGAAGGCTACACATTGGCAATATTCCAAAAATGTCCCTTGCAGTAGAGTAGGAAGGAGCCGGGAAGGCTGCTGACCACTGTGCCTCCCCCAATTCTGTTTTAGGCTAGGGAAATGTGGTAGACAGTATAATGGCCCTTCAAAGATGTCCACATTTCAATCTCTAGAACCCATGAATATGCTACCTCACGTGGCAAAAGGGACTTTGCAGAAGTGATTAAGGACCTTGAGATGGAGAGATTATCTTGGATTAGCCTGGCAGGCCCAATCTAATCACGAGTCCTGAAAAGTGAAGAACCTTTCCCAGCTGTGGTTAGAAAAAGTTGTGACAATGGAAGAAGGGTCAGAGTGATCCTATGTTGCTGACGTGAAGATGGAGAGTAAGGGCCATGAGTGTGGGCATCCTTCAGAAGCCAGGAAAGGCAAGGAAAGGAATTCCCTGCCTAGAGCCTCCAGAAAGGAGTGCAGCCCTGCTGACAGCTCGATTTTAGCCCAGCCAGATCGATGTTCGACTTCCGGTATAAGAACTATAAAACAATATATTTGTGTTGTTTAAAGCCACCAAGTTTATAGTAATTTCTTACAACAGCAACAGAAAACTAATACAGGAGAGACCAAGTCAAGGCAGTTAAAGAGCCTGAGGCTTTTCATCAGCATGTCCTTTCTCCCTGCTGCTCCATGTTAAACCAGGCGATGGGTACGTCGTGGTTAGGGAGGACACCTAAGTAATTTTTGACCAAAATCAAAGCCTGTTAAATTCCTTGTTACTTTTACTGATCTGTTAGATTGTGATTTTGTTTTTATATTCACTAAAGGATATGAATTGTATATTAATGTCTTTGATATCATTTCTTTGCCTTTCCTCTATCTGAAGACCTACATTTAATTATTAATCAAAAGAGCACCACCTCTTTTACTATAAAGAAATCTACCCTATAGCCAAGGGCGATTTTTACCTTAACACTGGTGGCTTCAGTTGGACCAAACAATGTAAAACCAAACAGTATTCGCTAGGCCCACAAACTAATATTATCATTATTATCACTATGACAAATAACAAAACTTGGGCATATTCAAATATATTTATCACTATTTCTCAAAACAACCCTTGTGCACATTCTATTTATAAACAAATTAATTAAAAGCATTTGGTCTTAGGCCCACATATGAATAAGGTATAAAGTAATAACTCAAATTAACTTTCAAAGGGTAGGTCCTCAATCACAGACCTTTCTGGATTTAACAAAACCAGGTCATCTGACTCTCTTTGTTACATAAGCCAGGCTAACATCTCCTCTTTGAAGATTATCTTCTATCCTTTTATGTCAGAAGTGGAAGAGTCAGAAAAAAATGCTTGTATTTTACACTCACAACTTATTTCCATCCATATTACCACTTTCCAACTCTTATAACCATTCCTCTCTCATTTACTCACTCTCTTTCCCACTCATCACAGCCTCCCCTTACCCCAGAGGGATGGTCTAAATTTCATTCCCTATTGCCAAAGCCTAAATGATAAAAAATTAAATATATAAAGAACTTACCTGGCTGGGCACAGTGGCTCACACCTGTAATCCCAACACTTTGGGAGGCCGAGGCAGGTGGATCACCTGAGCTCAGGAGGTCGAGACCAACCTGGCCAACATGGTGAAACCCCATCTTTACTAAAAATACAAAAAATTAGCCAGGCATGGTGTTGGGCACATATAATCCCAGCTACTCAGGAGGCTGAGGCAGGAGAATCGCTTGAACCCGGGAGGTTGGGGTTGCAGTGAGCTGAGACTGCGCCATTGCACTCCAGCCTGGGTAACAAGAGCAAAACTCCTTCTCAAAAAAAACACAAACAAACTGTGACAAAGCTTCAGATCATTCATTTAGCATTGTGAAAGGCAGGTTACTCTGACGTATGAATGAAGGTTAAGCTTCAGGCCGCTCTCATGGTGGGTCGTGTCATGCCTGGGCTCCTTACAAGGTCCTAGGAAGTATCCTGACACATGCATTCACATACTTGTAGATTTTTGTAAAATTTGCAAAAGTAAATATTTTTATCTTTTCTTTCTTTTTTTTTCTTTTTCGTTCTTTTTTTTTTTTTTAAGAAATAAGGTTTTGCTCTGTGGCCCATGCTGGAGTGCAGTGCCATGGTCATAGCTCACTGCAGCCTTAAACACCTTGCTCTGCCTCCCAAGTCACTTGGATTATAGGCTTGAGCCACTGCACCTGGCTCAAAAGTAAAATATTTTTATTGCAATTGGTTATGACCCTTGTCTCTTTCCACTTTGACTTCCCATCTATTACATTGCAGTCAGGTGGTATTACTGGGGACGTAAGTGTTTTGGGGAGCTGGCTAAGAGGAAGTTGAATTGGGGAATATATTAAATAAATTGTGGTTTTAGCAGGATATATTTATGAGGGTCAAGTGACTTCCTTACATAGTTAAGCTATTACTGGCTGATCTGGCATAGAAATGGCTTCTGGATTCTCCTCCTGCCCTTGAGCCAACATTACCAGGCATGATGTTGAAAGGACTAGGGCCAGAGGCCATATCAGGATAAGAACCTGCCCTGTAGTAGGAGTATGTGGGGAGAGAGATAAGCAAGGTCTGCAATGTGCAGAGCCAGAAGCAATTCTGTGGAAAATTCCTTCGAACATCAGACATGTAAACTTGTAAACAAAGAATTCAATTCTCATCAATGCCCCATCAAGACAGAAATTCTCTCCTGTTTAGGAATGTACATTATACATAATTATAAACCCAAAATACATTTTCATGAAAATCATCTAAAGTAGATTTTATCAGAATTCTTGGGTTTCTGATGCATAATCCTGTAGCAGTGAACACATCTATGTGTGAGGTTGCATGTTTTATGCATCCCATCTATCAATAATAAAACACAAATTTAGACCAACCATGCTAGAGGAAGGCTGTTTTCTATCTTTAGAAAGCTGTGTTACAAAATTGATGTTAAAGAGGTGATCAAAGAATATGCAGCCAAAATATGCAGAAAAATATATTATAAAAAGCTGTCAGAGAATTAAAAAAAAATTGGGTTCTAGATGTATGGGTATTCATAGTATTTATCATCTTTCTAATGTTTGTAATTTATTTTTTATTTCTTTTTATTCTAAATAAATATTTACTTTTGTATCTAATTTTATATTTATAATTTTATACTCTTTTTCTTAAAGAGAAGATTAAATAAACTTCAAGCCTCCCAAAAGCTAGATCCTCTCCTCCTGCATCCAATTCTAATCACTGATTACCCAAATTTGTCAATTCATGGTAAAGGCCTTCATTGCCCATTGGCAGTCTCTGGTTTGCTCGGTTATCTTTCTTTGTTTTAAATTAGAGACAGGGTCTCTGTCTGCCACCCAGGCTAGAATGCAATTGCAAGATCCCAGCTCACTATGGCCTTGAATTCTTGGACTTAACGAGATCCCCCTGCCTCAGCCTCCAGTGTAGGTAGGGCTACAGGCACATGCCACCATGGCGGGCTATTTTTTTTTTAATTTTTTGTACAGAAGGGGTCTCACTATGTTGCCCAGGCTGGTCTCAAACTCCTGACCTCAAGCAATCCTCTCACCTTGGCTTATCAAAGTACTGGGATTACAGACATGCCACCGCCTGCTTCATTATCTTTAATGTCTAAAACCACAGGGAAAATAAGAGAAAACAAACAAAACATCATGATACTTTCGAGAGTGAGATTTATATCTGAGCACGTGTCAAACATCAATTACCACCCAAGTCATTTGTAAATCTCTGCTTCCAGTGGAACCCAACTTAAGAAACATACCTGTATTGGTTTAATAGGGCTAACACAACAAAGTACCACAAACTGGGTGGCTTAACCTACAAGTGTATTGTCTCTGTCTGGAGGGCAGAAGTCGGAGATCAAGGAGTTGGCAGGGCTGGTTCCTTCTGAGGACATGAGGGAGAATCTGTTCAGTGCCTCTCTCCTAGCTTCTGGTGGTTGCTGGCAATCGGTGTTGCTTAGCTTATAGTTGCATGACCCCGATCTCTGCCTTCTCTTCACATGGCATTCACAGGGAGAACAGTCAACTGGAGTCGGGACCACTTTAATGATTTCATCTTAACTTGTCTACATCTGCACAAGCCCTGTTTCCAAATAAGGTCACATTTCTGAGGTACTAGGGCTTGAGACTTCAACATATCTTTTTTGGGGGGACACAATTCAACCCATAACAATGCCTTCATTTTTTTTGTACTTTCCTTCTATAAAAGCAAGTAATGATAGTACTCACTATTGATGAGAATACAATATGCAGTAAAGTGGTCATTCCCATTGCTATTGGAAATGTCAATTAAAACATTAGAAACAATTTAAGTTCATTTTAAGATGTAAATTCCAGAAAGTCAGGGACCTTGTCTGTTTTCCTCACCACTGTTATCTCAGCTGCAAAAACACAGCTTATCACACAACACACACTCAATGAATACTTGTTTTGAATTGATGTATTATCTTGAAATGCCTATACTAAATGGTTATGGTTTGGCATTGTTAGAATAACTAGACAGAAGAAAGTGATGTTAAATACCATACTCTTTACTAAATAGATGGGAAGTTTCCTCTCAGCCTAAGTATCTATTCAAAAGAATAATTTAGGTCTTTATAGAAATAATAGAATGTGTTTGCTGGAATTCATACAATGGTATAAAACCTATAGTTAATATTTAACTCTATAGAAAATATATGTATATTGTGTATTCAGTAAACTACAAATAGTTAAGTTTCCATTTCTGTCCCCAGTAAGGAATTGGTAAAAATGATTACCTTAGGTAAATATCTTTCACCTTTAAAAGTTCATTAAAAATTTCAAATCTCTTAGAAACCCCCAAATGAATTATCTGATCCCCTGATTAGGTTAGGTTCTCCTGTCACTCACTCTCACAGATTTCAAAACTTCTTTGTTGTTAGTACTTATCAATTTGAACTTAAATAATTTTTTTTATTGTTTTAAGGCCTAGCTTTGCTGCTATTATACAATCCATGAAAGCACACTTTTCTTGTCTTTTTCACTAAGGTAATTTAACCTCCAATATTTGCTTAGTGTCTAGCATATATTTGCTGCTCAATAAATATTTGCTACGTCAACACATAAATTACTGAAAGAATGAATGAGTGAATAAATGAATGCATGCTTGGAGTGTGAAGTCTGAGCCTGATTCCCCTGCTTTGGACTTTACCTAAGTTCTGCTGATGATCTTCCTCAAGAGCCTTGTCCTAAGGCAGTATTTTCAGGAATGTCATTTTCTTTCATTTTTCACCCTAATTTCTCTGCAGAAATTCTGTCTTTGAGTTTGCTCAAAATAATAGCCTATATCGATTTTATTGCAAAGGAGACATTGTTTTCCTTCAATAAACTCTGCAAGAATGCCTATTGCTGCTTGTTTGTTATCAGAGGAAGCTTCCCTTTCTATTTGCATGATCCTGTAGTTTTCCAGCCCTTTAATCTGGTTCTCCATGTTCCCTGGTCAGCGGCCTGTAGGTTGTGCCCACATTGTGTGGATGGAAGCTAAATTCTTCTTCTTTTGGTGGGCGAAGTAACTTACTGATTGGGGTCAGGGCTACAAAGAGATCCCCACTGGGCAAAAGAATGCATGCAGTGAAGCTTCCTTTGTAACGTTATTAGAAATTATTTTCTGGCTCCAACAGGAAAGGCTGTTTTCTAATTTAACCATTTCAGGTCCACTGTATCTGCAAAACTTTCATTTCCATTTGTAGGTAATTATAAATAATGGGATATATATTTTTATTTATTTTTATGAAAAGCTTTATATTTCTTTAAGATAGTCTACAAGTGGAGATGCCAAGTCACCCACTGAATACAGACTTTTCTTTTTGAGGGATCTTGATACAAATTCAAATTGCTTGTCTAAATTTATATCATCAGTACAAAAGAGAGTCCCCTTAACTGAACCTTTCCCAAGGATGTATATTATTATTTTTAAAAACAAATCTTTAGGGCTGGGTGCAGTGGCTCACACTGGTAATCCAGCATTTTGGGATGCCGAGGTGGGAGGACTCGTTGAGGTCAGGAGTTCAAGACCAGCCTGGGCAACATAGCAGACCCCATTTCTACAAAAAAACCCACATTGTTTTAAATTATCAGGGAGTGGTGGCATGTGCCTGTAGTCCCAGCTACTCAGGAGGCTGAGGTGGGAAGATCTCTTGAACCAAGAAATTTAAGAATGCAGTGAGCTATGATTGTGCCACTGCACTCTAGCCTAAGTAACAGAGTGAGACCCTGTGTCAAAAACAAAACCAAAACAACAAAAAAACTAATCTTTAGTAATAGTATTAGTGAAAAATGAGCACGATTTTTTTGTGTTGTTTCTTTGGTTACTATCAAGGATCAACATGCTTGCATATATGTGTTGACTGGGTGAATTTTCTCTTTTGGGTAATGATCTCTTTCATAAATATTATATTGGCCAGCTATCAACAGGGACCCTACCAGTTTTCGTATCTGTTTGCCTGAGGTCTTTATGTAGAAACTATATTAACTTTGACATTTTATGGAAAACATTTTTCCATTTTAATATTTGTCTAATAGTTGTTTTGTGTATAGAATTTCTCATTTTTATAGATCTGCTGGTCTTTATAGTTTTTTCTGTTATTTCTAGTATAGGAAAACTTCCCCCTTGTAGAAGTTTTATAAATAAATATCCATGTTTTCTTCAAATGTTTCTACTGTTAAATTTTTAAATATTTAAATGTTTAACCAATCTAGAATTCACTTTGGTGTGTGGAATAAAGTGAGAAATCAAAGTTTTTGTATTTCTAGGCATTCATCTCATCACCATTTATTGAATAATTTGTTCCTGCTCAAGGGTTTAATAAGCTTCCTATGGCATAATAGATTCTTATGTAAAATAGAGTCAATTTATGAATCTCAAAAACAAAATGTCCTAGACAAATTTTTCTTCAAGCATGTGCTACATGTTATTAATTTGCTACAAGGGCTCCAGGAAAGTGACAGAAACATGTGTGACCCGTATAAAAGTGGAGGGGTTATACAGTGAGAGACAGAAGGCTTGCATAAGTAAGCAGTTTTTTTAAAAAAATTAGAAAGATTCCATTTTTATTTTACAAAGTCATGAAAATATCATGTTCATATCAGCTGTGAAAAAGGAACAATGTGACAGAATGATCCATTATCCTAGGTGTGAATTATACTTTTCAGGTATGTTTTAGAATCCTTTTGTCAGTTAACAAAAATAAACCACAAATGCTTTGATACGGATTATATTAAACCACTTTCTTGGCCTCTAAGACTCTGTGCTCTCCAGGTTCTCTCCTATTTCATTAGTTGCCTTCTTTCAGTCTTCTCTGCTGGATCTTCTTTCTTGTCCCAAATTCTTCATGTTGGTGAGCCCCAGGATTCTCTCTGCATTCTCTCCGTCGATGACCTCATCCAATCCTCTGGCTGTACATTCCATCTATCTGTTGATGGCCCAACATGTTTCTATGAGTTTCATGATCTTTTAGCAACTGCCTACTCAACATCACCACTTCCACTTGGAGTCTAACAGACATTTCAAACTTAACATGTGTTAAGACTCCTGGTTTCAATCTCCAGCTCCTGCTCCTTTCCCAGTCTTCCCCAGTGAAGCAATTAGCACCGTGATCTAACCAGTAACTTCAGGACAAAAATCAAGGGACCAACCTGGATTCCTCCCATGGTCCCACCCTTCATACCCAACCCATCAGCAAATCTTTTATGTCTATCTCCAAAATCTATCTGAAATCTACTTCTGGTTCTTTCCACCCCTACTATACAAGTACAAGCCCATCTTTTCCAGACTGAATTACTGAAATAACCTCCTAACTGTTCTTACTGCTCTATTTTCCCCTCACCTGTACCCTGTCTATTCTCAGCATCAAGACCAGACAGCTCTTTAAAAAAAACCTTATTAGATCACATCCTCACCTGGTCAAAACAGCTACCACAAGACTTACACCCCAAAGTCCTGTTCTACAAGGGCCTGCACAATCTGCCCTCACATTACCTCCATCTTCATCTCCCACAGGTCTCCACTTTACGCACTCTGCTTTAGCAACACTGTATTTCTTTTCTTTTCTTTCTTTTCTTTTTTTTTTTTTTTTTTTTTTTTTGAGATAGAGTTTTGCTCTTGCTGCCCAGGCTGGAGTGCAGTGGTGTGATCTCGGCTCACCGCAACCTCTGCCTCCCAGGTTCAAGCGAGTCTCCTACCTCAGCCTCCCGAGTAGCTGGGATTACAGACATGCACCACCATACCCGGCTAATTTTTTTGTATTTTTAGTAGAGACGGGGTTTTTCCATATTGGTCAGGCTGGTCTTGAGCTCCTGACCTCAGGTGATCCTCCCGCCTCGGCCTCCCAAAGTGCTGGGATTACAGGCATGAGCCACCGTGCCCAGTGCAACACTACATTTCTTGCAGTTTCTAGACTATATCAGGCTGGTAGCATGTTGGGGCCTTTGCATTTGCTGTTCCCTCTGCAAGAAATACTGCTCTCCCAGATAGCCACACGGCTCTCTCCTACACTTTATTCAAGTATCTGTTCCAATGTTACTCCCTCAAAGACCTTCCCTGACCACATCCCCCTTCTTTCATTCTCTATCCCTTAACCCTATTTTATTTTTATTCAATGCACATATCGTTACCTGACACTATACTATATTAAGGCTTTATTTGTTTGTTGTGCCAACTCCTCAAGAATTGAAACACCAGGAGGGCAGAGCCTTTGTGTTGTTCATGACTGTATCCCTAGTACCTAGCATTTTGCTTGGTATACAGTGGGTGCTCAATAAATACTTGTTGAATGTCTTGGTTAAACCTACATTATTTGGAAAATATTTAAATATTTATATCAACATCTTTCTGCCCAGGAACATAGTGTATTTTTCCATTTTCTCAAACTTTAATAAATATATCTTAATAAAATTTTGTTCTTTTCTTTGACTATTTGAAAGACATTATGCATTAAAGCTACTTCTAGATGTTTTATATATTTTTTCTTCTTACTACCATATGAGCTTTTTTTTAAAACCATCTCAAATCTGTTTTAGAAAAGGTAAACTATATATATATATACATACATATACATACATTTAAAAGTTTCTAGCTGATTATTACAATTATATTGGAATGCTTTTGATTTCTGCCTATCTTACTTTCAGCCCCTTGTGTTTAAACAATTTTCAAGTTATTTATTTGGACTTATAGTCATACAATAACTGTCACAAAATAAGTATCATTTTATCTCTTCTTTGTTAATAGTATATCTTTTGTATCATGTGTTATTGCATTGATCACAGCTTTCAGAACTATATTAAACAATATTCCTTTTTTGTGCATATTTTAATGGGAATATAACTAATGTTTTGCTATTAAATATAATGATGGCTATTGGTTTTAATCGAATACTTTTTCTTATATTTAGTAAGTATTTTTTCTACTTCTCCTCTTAAAATAATAGTATCAGGGATTGCTGTTGATTCTTACCAAATATGTTTTAAGCATGTATAGAAGCAAGTCTATTCTTTTGTATTTGACATAATGATTGGATGTATTATGTTAATGGCTTTCCTATTATTTGATAACTTCTACCTCTCTGAAATAAGCTAGCTGACTGTGGTGAATTATTTCTTTATTTACTACATTTGCAACTTGATAATATTTATTTTGGAAGGTTTTCAGCTTTTTTTTTTTTTTGAGACGAGGTCTCTGTCAGCCAGGCTGGAGTGCAGGGGTGCAATCTTGGCTCACTGCCTTGACCTCCCCAGGCTCAGATGATCTTCCCACCTTAGCCTCTTGAGTAGCCAGGACTATGGGTGCATGCCACCACCCCCAGTTAATTTTTGTATTTTTTGTAGAGATGAGGTTTCACCATGTTGCCCAGGGTGGTCTGGAACTCCTGGGCTCAAGCGATCTGTCTGCTTTGGCCTCCCAAAGTGCTGGGATTACAGGTGTGAGCCACCACACCCAGCCAGTTGTGGATATTTTATGTCTCTCAGTAAGTGCTGAATATTTTAATTTAGAGTTTTCTTGCTGCTCTTTCTTCCTGTTCTTGTCTACCTGTCATTTCACTATTACCACCAATCCTTATTATTACTGGCAAACAGACAGATAATAGGGAGGAAGCTATTACTTCTCTGCTTCAGAGTATTGTCTCAAAAATAAAAATAGCCCTGTAATCTTCTTAACAGGTAAGAAGGACCAGGTGGTGAATATCTACAGAAAATGGTTCCATCAAGCTGGATTAGTGGGGTGTCACCTTCCAATATAGATAAAAGCCTGTCAAGCCTCTGTTTGACATTTATTAATGGGACTACCATTTGTTGAAAGCCTTTGTGTGTGTGTCAGGCACTTTACATGCATTATCTCAGACTTCATCTTAATTCTAGGAATTGGATATTAATATTCCCATTTTACAGATGGAGAAACTAAGGCAGGAAAGGGCTAAATAATTTGAACAGTTCAAATAATTTAACAGTTCAAATGGCTGTTTGTTGGTAGAGCTGGAATTTAAACACAGGGATCACTGGCTCCAAAGCCCACTCTCTTTCCATACAGCGACAAGGCTCACAGGGCAGTGCTCTGAAGAAGCAAGACCTCAGCAAACGAGGAGAGAGAAGATAAGCATGCTGCAAGACAGGATGTTATGACTGCTGCGGAAGAGTCAAGCACAGTGTTACTGCCATTCAGATTCATTTGGAAAGAGCTGGAGAGCCATTGGGAAGGAGGTGGCTTACAAAGGAGAGGAGGGTATTTTAGGTGGAGAGAAGAGTAAGGGCAAAGGCATAGGATCTAAAAAGCCTAGGACATGTTTACAGAAGAAAGGGTAATGCTCTTTAGATGGTGGATTGTGTTCATGCTGCTATGTAATCAAAGATAAGCCTGGAAACTTAGATTGGGTTCCTATTGTGAAATCTAAGAGATAGATGAAGGGGTTTGTTTTTAAAAGATAGTCAGCGGGGAGCCATTGCAGTTTTGAATAAGGAGCTAACAAGTCAGATTGGGGTGGATCATAATGGGTAAAGATGGGAGAATGACACTCCGATCACATGACTGTAAACAATTTATCAAGTAATAAAGGGAGCCCGGTTTGAAGAGTGGCGGGAGGAATGGAAAGCAAGGACCTGGTTTAGGATCAGATACAAGGGTAGGTTTACTATGTTTGTGCAGATGGGATTCTGGGGCACGGGGAATGGCAGTCGTGGATGCCTTCAAGTCACTGGGAGCCTGAGTCACTGGAAGAAGTGTTGGGCCACTACAGATAAGAGGATCTTGGAAGGCAAGACTGGTTGTTGGAAAAAAAGTTGATGAGACACCCGGATAGAATGTGGTTGTTTATAGAGGATTAGATTTGGAGTCATCTACCTAAAAATGATAACTTACATTGTAGGGTGTCATCAATGATCAATGTCTTTTTTTTTTTTTTTTTTTTTTTTTTGAGATGGAGTCTCGCCCAGGCTGGAGTGCAGTGGCGCGATCTCGGCTCACTGCAAGCTCCACCTCCCGGGTTCACGCCATTCTCCTGCCTCAGCCTCCCGAGTAGCTGGGACTACAGGCGCCCACCACTACGCCCGGCTAATTTTTTATATATATATATATATTTTTTTTTTTTAGTAGAGACGGGGTTTCACCGTGTTAGCCAGGATGGTCTTGATCTCCTGACTTTGTGATCCTCCCGCCTCAGCCTCCCAAAGTGCTGGGATTACAGGCGTGAGCCACCGCGCCCGACCATCAATGTCTTTTAGGAGAGCAGTTTTATTAAAGGTCGAAGGGCTGACGCCAGGCAGAAATTCTCAATCCTAGTTACACGTCAAAACCACCTCTGGATCTTAAAAACCACATCTGTTGAGTCAGAATCCCCAGAGTGGCAGATCAGACCCTTCTATCATTTAATACCACCACAGGGGATCTGCTGGGCAGCCAGAGTTGAGCACCTCAGGAGAAAGGGTAGAAATTTTGCTGTGAGAAGGCAAGAGTGAGACAGCCTCTTACCTAGCCAGGAAGAGAGATGTACCATCTGGGTTTCTCTTTAAGTTTCCTCTTTCACATCTTTCAAGCACCTCTTCGTTTTGCAGATTCTATTGATACCTAGTGAATACTTTTTACTGAGAGCCTTCTGGTCGCTTTAGCAGGCATTCATCTCCTCTTATCATAGGCTGTTAAAAAAAATCAGAGGGTGGTAGAGCTAGAAGGAAACAGATGTTTTAACTTTCTTTAGCATCGGATACCTTTCAGAAAATGAAATCTTACATGAAATCCTGATGTGTAAACAGACCAAAGCAGAATCATTCTGAGAGAACCACAGCCCAGAGCCCACTTACTTCCCCACTTGCCCCAAGCAAGGACTTTAGAGAGTCCTTCCAGATCTCAGGATCTCTATCTCACAGGTTCAGTGCCACCTTCTCTCTTTCAGATAAGGAAATTAAGATTTTTGAGTAGTGAAATAATCGATCTTAGGTGGCATATTTCGGTTAAATCTCCTAAATCCTTATGCAGTTTTCCTTCCTTCACAGGGTGTTGTCTCCCCTTCTGCCAGTCTGACATCTCCCTAAAATTCACTCTCCATTCCGACAGAGAAAGGTACACAGGGAATCAAATTACCCACAGCAGCCTTGGTACAAGGTTAAGTGACAGAAGAGGCTGCAACTCCTGACTGCCATGAATTATGTGGTTTATCTACAGGGATCTCATTTATTTCTGCTGCTCCAGTTGCAGCTCTCTCTGGTAATTCTGAGTGGCCTGTAAAATCATTATCTGGCCAACGGAGGGAGATAAAAAGCCTTGTTAGTTTTAAAGGGAAAGTTTCAGTGATTGAAGTTTTATCAGCAGGATGAGCACGGAAAAACTTTTTTCCTTATACTGATCTGAGGAAAAAGTAATGAGACCTAAGGCATTATAATTGAAAATGAGAATTGTTAAGTATCTTTTTTGCATATTTTATGTGACTGTCAAGGGAGGCTACTATGAGGCATATTTGGCCCTAATATACTTTTGGCATCTAGTATACTCCCTAGTTGTCCCAAAGCTTTGTCCTGGCTGCATCTCATTCTTTGGGAAAGTTTGTCACAATAGAAGGAACCACAACTTCTAAAGAGAATAAGATAAATTTCTGACATGAGGATACTTAACTTTAAATTCCTATATTTAAGAAAAAAATTATTCAGACACTTGAAGGATTCTTACTAAATCATTGCATTTAGAAGATTTAACCTCTTTTCTCATACATGCTATTTTCTTGTACAATGTGCCTTTGCTGAGGTTGCATTCATTGTTAATATTTCGCTGTATAATCACAGGTCTAGATGGGATGATAAAAAGCTAGTCCATTGCCTTGTTACTATGCAGGCACATATTTCAATCACAGAGACTGTGTTCATCTTTTTTTAAGGAGACATGGAGCAAGGTTTTCCTTGTATTAATGCCAGGTGATTTTGCAGGCTACTATTTAGCTCACAACTTCTTGTTCAAGTCTGAAGAAGAGAGTAGTTGTTATCTCCAAATTATCTTCTAGCACCCTGCAACAATACTCATTTCTTTCATTTCTGGCATCATTGCAAATTTTCTTCATCCATATTGTAGGGAAGGTCCTGATATTTGTGTCTGTGAGGGGACTATGCTCTAACTACATCCCTCTGTAATTCATGGTGTAAGTCAGCAGCTAAACTGGCAGGATAGAAATCTTTTCCCAGAGTGGCAATCAATAAAACTCATGAGTATCCCTTCATACGGATGCTTATCTTAGCATCTAGTTGAGTTGAGGAATCCAACTCAGATTCATTTACACAGCAGTACTAAAAACTAAAATTGGAAGTTCAATAAATAAATGAATAACTTTGCTAAGATAGTCCTTCTTTAATATCTGAAAATTCATGTTTAACAGAATGCTGCACTTACCTAGCTGTTTACATTTTTTCCCTGCATCTCCCTCCTTCTTCCTTTGATTTGTATCAGCAGCCAAAGCAATTGTGGATTGAAATACATATGCATTGATTTCCAGATTTCAGGCTTTGCTCCTCCTCCCTCTCTCCACTGCCTTTGGCCACTCCTTGTCCTACTCCATCTTCTAGGCTCTCAGTCACTTAGCTCTGTGTATTGAGAAGAGGCTCACCCAGACTGTGCTTAGTGTCCTGGTGGCTGTGGCTAAAGGTATGTAATCATAGTAATGGTAGCATGCCTTGGATTTACATAGACTTCCCAGCATTCTCACTTTAATCATCTCCATAGAGGACAAGGTTTAAATCCACAAACAGCAACTCCCCTCACCAAGAGACTAGGGTGAGCACTTTGAAGAGTGCTTGAACACAGTATTTTCCAATATTCCCAGCTGAAGAGTATTACCTGGGCACTTGTTAAACATTCAGATTCCTGGATCCCAAATAGACCCACTATAAATATGAATGCTTAGAGAAAGGTCCTGGGATCTATGTTTATATCAACAGCCCTGGAGAATTCACATCACAAGACAAGGTTAGAAAACATTCTGCTAGAAAGATGCCTATTGCTCTCATAGGCTCAGTGCCAGCAGCTCTAGAAGGACTCAATGACCAAAGTGCTGGGCATTTATATGGTGCCAGATTTATAGTGTCAGATGTATACCAATAGCAGGCTGTAAGGGGAGGCTGGGTGCTAGAGATTCTACTCAGGCTACTTTCTTGATCCTAGAGAGGTGCTCCAGGTGGTGGTGAATCCTAAGGGACTGCAGAGCTAAGAGGAAGGGACAGAGTGTCTTTTAATAACAGCCCTTGGGCCCTCTTAATTGGCTTGGCCCAGACCTGGTGTAGTCTGACCCAGGTTTGCAGCTTGGATGTGTTCTTCCTCCCAGGACCATGGCCTGATCCGTTAGTGTAACAGTGTACAGAGTGTTTGTCTGGTTCCCAGAGAGTCTTCCCTGCCCTAAACCAGAGTCTTGGAGAAAAGAAGGTGGGGATGGACCAGCTAGAGTAAAGCGGCAGGTAGGAGGTGAAGTTATGGAAACTGCAACCAGGAAGCTTGCACATTTCTGGGGCTATACAACTCAGCAAGGTGCTAGGATTCAACATAGTACTTTCATCTATAGGAATTAATCATACTGAGGGATAAGAGTTCTTGTTCTATACCTCAAACTTTAGTTTCCCTTAGTGGTAGTAAGTATTTATAGAGCTAAATTCAACATAAAATCTTAGATTTTCGGCCAGGCGCAGTGGCTCATGCCTGTAATTCCAGCACTTTGGGAGGCCTTGGCGGGAGGATCACTTGAGGTCAGGAGTTCTATGAGACCAGCCTGGTGAACATAGTGAAACCCCATCTCTATTTTATTTTTTTTAAAAAAAGTCTTAGATTTTCAATGATCTTGTACTGTTTTTACTTTTAGAGGATAAATGATCATTGAATTAAAACAAAAGTTAGTTTTCAGTTATAAATCATTACTGTGTATTTTATGCCTAATAACTTAATTATGTCACTCTGGAATTGATGAATTTGAAGAAACATGGAAAATTATATTGGTTATGGCTGTGAATCTAGTGATGTGAAGATGTTGGATTTATGTATGTTAATTTGATTCATATGCAAGTCAAAACACGCATATTTTTAATCAGCAAATGGTTTAATATGCTTTCCACACTTATAAAAAATGAAAAGTACTGCGAGCTATTTTTTGCCTCGTCATTCATTCTGTCAACAGTACTTATTATGAATGTGGTGCATTTGGGTACAAGGCAGAGTTACAAAAGCAATAGAAAATACATCCCTTTTGTAACAGAAGATAGAATAAACTTAAACACAATTTTTTCTCACTTTATGCTTTGAGGAGTGTTTCTAAGGAAAATCGTGTGGGTCATTTGAACTTTTATGACTCAAAGATCTAAATATTAAAAATTCAGAGCTGATTTATAACCATGTTGTTGGACCTTCTGTTGTCATTTTTTATTAGTCATTCATTAATTTATTCACTTTTTATAAAATAATATTATTCACCCAGCATGTGTGAAATACTTGCAAGGCAGCATGCTACAAAGAAAACTTGATCCTTGACCTCAAAGGGTTCACTGTTTACTAGAAAAGGTAGCTGAACTATTAAAATGAAAACTCGGGTCATCAGCTTGGAAGGCAGCTGTGCTCTCTCACCGCCACAGCCCAACTCACCTCAGCTGTGTTGAATTCTCATGCGAGGCTTGAGAGGGGCCAGTGCCTCCTATAAGAGGACAGAAGTGAAGGTGGGCTGATTTCTTGCCCAAGACTGTGTGCTGGACAGTCTTCCAGCTTCCTGAGCTGCTTCTCTAAAGCTTCTTTGTACCTCCTTCCAATTAGCCCAGAAACTGGTTCCAAGCCAATCCCATAACCTCCCGACTCTCTTGATAAGATATTAGTAAAATTATTACATAACTTTTTCAAAGTTAATTTATAGGTTAAATCCAAATAGCGTTTCTGCTCTCAACAGCTTTTGTTGGGGTGTTAACGATCCATTAGTGAACAATTAAGTTTATGAGGGAAGCAGCTGCCTGTTTAAAGGGATGCTTGGATAAATTCCTCAGCAAAGTAGATCCTTTTATATGTAATAATGTCTTAATTTATTTTTACAATTAGATTTTCTTTTATTTTAGATTTGAGGGTTCATGATTCCACTTATATGAGGTACCTAGAGCAGTGAGATTCATGAAGCAGCAGTCATGAATCTGACTGCTCCAGGTACCTCATATAAGTGGAATCATACAATATTTGTCCCTTTGTGTCTGGTTTATTTCACTTGGCATAGTGTTTTTGAGGTTTATCCATGTTGTAGCAACTATCAGAATCTTGTTCCCTTTTAAGGCTGAATAACATTCCATTGTAGCTATATATCACATTTTGTTTATCCGTTCAAACAAAATGTGAAATATGTTGATGGCCACTTGGGTTCTTTCCACCTTTTGGCTATTGTGCTGCTATGAGCATTGGTACACAAGTATCTGTTTGGATCCCTGCCTTCAATTCTTTGGGGTATAGACCTAGGAGCAGAATTGCTGGATCATATAGTAATTCTGTGGTTAATACTGTAAGGAACCACCAAACTGTTTTCCACAGCGGATGCACCACTGTGTTTAAATTTTAAAACTTATTCTCTCAGTCTTGATGTCATTCAAATAAATGATTCAGATATAAGGCATTAAGACTTGGTTAATTTAACTAATTGTTATTCCTACTAACTGCATTTAGTAAATGCTACTAGTACAGAAAAGAAAAATGAAAAAAATAGAAAAGAATAAATTGGAAGAGGTGTTTTTTCACAATCCCATTTTGAATATTTATCATACACATATCACACTTTGTTGGAACTATAGCACTGAAACCATTCTAACCCATGTTCTTACTCCTGTTTGTCTACTTTTTTCCAGGTACAATCTTAGGGCAGGAACCATGGAAACAGGTGCATTAACAGGAGATGTGTTTTTTTGTGTAAGATGTGTAAGTTTTTGTTGTTGAATCAATTGATTCTTTATAATAAAACCTAAATGAATATCTGATTAATCTGCTAATATCTATTCCTGTTTCTGGACATTAAATTCAATGTTCCAGTAATTATAGTTCCATCAGAAAGGCATATATCACAGAAGTAAAGCTTTTAGAAGGTAAAAGAAACCAAACGGTGACAGGAGAAATTATTGGATATGATTAGCATGCCCAGTGTTAAATGGGGCAGATTTCATAAGGGGTTGAATTATGCTTAACTCTGCAAAATACTTAGATTTTGGTGACAGATGGAAGGGTGGAGTTTGTGGACTGGGGCATGGCATTCTGAAATTGTTTGGAGGTAGGAATGTAAGGGAACATGCAAGTACTTTTGCCCTACAAGAATGAAACAGGCCAGGCATGGTGGCTCACGCCTGTAATCCCAGCACTTTGGGAGGCCAAGGCGGGTGGATCACCTGAGGTCAGGAGTTCGAGACCAGCCTGGTCAACATGGTGAAACCCCATCTCTACTAAAAATACAAAATTAGCCGGGTATGGTGGCACAGGCCTGTAATCCCAGGACTTGGGAGGCCGAGACAGGAGAATTGCTTGAGCCCAGAAGGTGGAGGCTTCAGTGCCCTTGACCAGATGGCTGGTAGACTACATCAGGCTGCTGCTGAAGTCACAAGAGTATATGCATTCATTAACAGCTATGGACAAGGACACAGGCCTGTTGTTTGCCTACCCTTGCAGGGTGGCTGACCAACAGCACATCATCGGGGCATTGCAACACTTACATGCCCTGTATGGTTGCCCTCTGTCCATTGAGAGTGATAGGGGAACACATTTCACTGGACAACAGGTACAACAATGGACACAACAAATGGACATAAAGTGGGGATTCCACGTGCCATACAAACCACAAGCTGCGGGTATGACTGAGCAATATAACGGACTGTTGAAAAATGGGTTACGCTTGCATGTTATACCACCGTCTTTGCGGGGCTGGAGTTCCAGGCTGGACCTGGCGCTCCAAACCTTGAATGAACAGCCATGGAAAGGTGGCCCAGCCCTGGTGGAGGCTTTGTTACACTAAGCCACCACCCCCATGCAGTTGCAGATACATACCAAGGATGACCTCCTTCAACCAGGTATGGGGATGAAAGGTAACCTGTTGTTGTCTGCCCCAACACCCCTGATGGCAGGGGAACAGAAAACCTGGCTGTGGCCATGGACCCTCCAAGCCCCCCACTGCTGGTGGTTGGCCATCGGAGCTCCCTGGGGGGAGGGCCTACAGTATGACTCGTATATCACTCCTTGGGTGTTCAATACATGGCCCCTACAGCGGGAACAGCCAGGGAAGGAACTCTCCTCTGGGGGACATGTGTACTGTCTGTTTGGCCTATTATGAGCTCTCCTGTGACTTTGGCACAGATACAGGACTCAAAGGAACCATGGGGAGTTGAGGTGTGGTACCATCACCCAGAGCAAAAGCCCTTGGTGGCTGCATTGTTATCCAGGGATGAAAGATTAGCCTGTATTTTGCCTGAGGGATATGATTTACCTCTGTTAGTACCTGTACCTGCTCTGTCATTTCAACTGTAGGTTAACATGCTCTAACTGCATTTGGACTGGGCCCACACCTACGCTGAGGTGACCAAGTTTCCATCTGTTGGATCTGCACTGCCCTTCCAACAGCAGCTGCAGATGGCTTGCCTTGGCACATACATTCAGTATCTGCAGAGAACTGGACATGGCTGGAGACCTGGGGTCCCATGGCTGATGTCTGTGAGGCAACATGGCAAGCTTTGAAAAAGGATGCTGTAAGACCCACAGCACACCCGCCCCCTGGCTGGCCTGTAGTGTTTATGATGGGTGGGGCTGGCTAGCGGGGGAACATGCAGTACCCCAAGCCCAGGTACTGTGGTACATAGAGCCACATTGGGGCAACACCCCTGTGGGATGGGTACCCATCATGGCCTGTGCAAACATAATACATGTCACCACACTGAAGGTATGATGGAACGAGCGGCCTCACCAAGGTTGGGCCCCAATGGATTTTGTGTCCCCTGGGAGTTTATGGGTCTGTGGGGACACAGGGTGGCCTTAGCTACCAGTGAACTGGACTGGACATTGCACCTGGGGGTGGCCTTACCTGCCAATGTTCTCCCCAAGTTGCCCAGATAGCTCACTTAACTGGGAGGTGCTATGTTCTCGGTTTGTGCAAGTGCGACGAGTCCCCTGGTGGTTCTGCCTCTTGGCAGTGACTATCCCTGGAGTGGGTGTCATAACCGTAGAAGCACAAGTTACCACTCTTGCACAGCACACCACTTGGGCTCTGAATTACACTTGAGTGGCCCCCCTCCTGTTAACCAATGAGGTTGATCAGATTAGAAAGGTGGTATTGCAAAATCAAATAGCCTTAGACATAGAAACTGCTGCCCAAGGAGGCACCTGTGCACTTTTAGGAACACAATGTTGTACCTTTATTCCTGACAATCGGTAGAACATAACAGCAGCCCTGCAAGGGGTCTCATGGCAGATTAACGCAGTTGAGAGCCTTACTGATGATCCCCTGTGGAGATGGTGGGCATCCCTAGGCTCTGGCCTACACTGGGCCCTAATAGTCATAAGTGGCATAGCTGGGATCCTAGTAGTGAGGTGTTGCTTTCTGTATTGTTGTTGTGGGTTATGGATTCAGGGCTCTGCCCTATGGGCACATGTGCCTGCCTGGAGGATGCCCTAGGCCTAGGGGGTGGAGTGTAAGGGAAATGGCTGTGCTTTAGTCAGGAGTAGGCTGAGGCAGGCTTCCGGCACAGCATAACTCAATGGGTTTGGAGCGCAGGCGCATAGCTCCGCACATTATGTAACCAAGCCATGTGAGGCACATTAGGTGATCACCCATGTGAGCTTGTGCTGGGCTTGGAGCCACTACTGTCTGTAAAAGGTATAATTACCCTGCTAATGCTGTACATATGGCTTGCTCACACCCAAAGAGAGGGTAAAGCCATGTCAAAACTGTCTATGATTCCTTTAGTGTTTTTCCAGCTACCCACCACTCATCCACTGATTCCCGTTGGATCTCAATTAGAACCTGGCAGCTAGCTTATGGGAACTCGGACATCAGTTAGAACCTGACAGCTAGCTTATGGGACCAGAGGGAAGGCAGAAGAATCAGGAGGCTCCCAAAGGTCTCAAGGGCAGCTTCAGGCTTGTCCAGGGGCTGCAAGAAATGAACTCCAGGTGGCTTTTGGTCTCTTTCTTTGCTCTGCTCAGTATCAGGAAGTAAGCTTCTAATTGGCTGAACTTGTGTCATGTGCTTGGCCCCTGGTAAGGTAACATCAGGGCCTAATGCCTTGATCCACACAGGTCTAGCTATCTCCAAAGCAGCAGGAAGTTGAGGTGCCAGAAGAAGATGGAATGGCCGAATTAAAAAAAAAAATCAATTACTGCTCTGTCATATTGTGTGAAAGACATAATTCATTTTATTGTACAAATGATTATAATTGATTCTTAAAAGTGAAACAACTGTGCTCTACATATGCTTATTCAATCATATTTACGAGACAGATATGCCCCATTTTATGTTATTCCTGGGGATCTGAAAACTGGTCTTTAGTAGGTATGTGTGGGCACAGGGCAAGAGGGTCACAGTGGGCGGTAAATCCTGAGGAATCAGTTAATTGTTTTGTTAGAGAAATAGACCATTTAACTGCTCACTTTTCGACTAAGGAACAGAAGATACAATATTAATTCATTAACTATAACAAAAATATAGTTTAATTTTATATCATAGCTAACTAAAAAGTATTTTAAGTTGACCTCATTTCATAAAGGATTTGAGGTGAGAAGACCTTTTGTTTTAATCAGGGTTCTTTGATTTGAAAATTTGAGATACTCACTTCAAAGTATCTAAAGCCCAAATGGGATGTGATGAATGATTCCATCTAAAAATCTCATAGACCTCAAAGACAGAGTCCTCTTTAAATCTAGAAGCAGGCCTTTAGCAGGGATGGGAGCCTTTCAGAGCACAAAATGCACAACCATACACAGCACCCAGGCTGTCAGACTCTGCTACTGTTTTTCTCTGTTTAGGCTTCCTTCCTCTTTCTGCAGAGGATGAGGGAGAGTCTTGGCTTCCTCCTGGAAATGCGGACCCACCCCCAGCTTTCGGGTAAACATTGCCTGCACTTCAGCTGGGCGCAGGGTTCCCTTTGTTACTGAGACAGACTCTCAGGTTGGCCCAGCCTGAATCTACCGGGACCCCATCAACTGTGAAGTACAAACCTCGCTGGAGGTGGGAGAGCACCTTGTGGTTGAGAAGGTCTGAGAAAGGGGTGGGTGTGATCTGTCAGACACCCTAAAATGTTTCCCTGTATTGTTTGAGACAGAAACAGCTAGGGAAGAGAGGGGGTGGTGGGTGTGGGGAATAGAAAAAACGTGGTACTAAGAGAAATGCAGAAATGCTGGTGGTGATTCAAGAGGAGAAAATCAATAAAGGCTTGGGGCAGAACCTCAAAAGGTGTTTAAGTCAGGATACTTTCAGTTGTATGAAACGGAAAACCCCTGTCAAAGTATCTTAACCAAGAAATTTGTCTCATCTGACAGGAAGTCGTGAGTAAGGCCACCTTCAAGGTTGGTTAAGTCAGCCATACAACAAAGGCTGGAAGGCCCTGGTTCTTTTTATCCTTCCACTCTGCCATCCTTGGTGTGGTCTTTGTCATCAGGCTGTAGAGGATCGAGGCATCACATCCAAACCCAACCAAGTCCAAGGGCGAAAGAGACCATTTCTTAGATGCAAGGAAACCTCTAGCAGATTCTTCTCATGGCTTGTTGACCAGAATTGGGCCACCTGCCCATTCCTGAACCACACATTAGCAAGAGGAATGGGACTGCCAGATGTGACGCAGAGGGCCAGTCTTCCCAGAGCATGTGGCTGCTTTAAGAGGGGGACGCTGAACACAGCTGCTAGGGTTCTGAGAGGAAGGCGGCAGGAGGGGTGTGGAGGCAACCAGCAGGGCGGCTACAGAGAAGCAAAAGAAAAACAGAGAGGAGCAGAGAGGCAGACAATGACAGAGCCCAAGAGGAGGGAGGCAGGAAGGTGGGCAGGAACAATAAAGCACAGGTGGAGACAGACAAGCTCGTTAAGTTTGGTGTCTTAGGTTAAAACGCTGTTGTCATATCTTGCTCCTCAGCCAGGCAACTATTAGAAGAACACGCTTTACCTGTTTTCACTGCCACTTGAAGAGCTGATTAACTTGTCAGTAGTTAAACTTATTAACCATTTTTCAACCTCAGAGTTATAAGGGAGGTGGCCTTAGCAGTATTCAGACAGAAAATTTTTCTCCTTTTCTCCTTAAAATAGATCAGCATTTATTGAGTTGTGAAGGAGTTGCGTGAAATAAATATGATTACTTAGTTACTTTCTTACATCTTTATGTATAATTTTATCTTCTTAATTGTAAAAGCAATTTAACCACACTTAAAAATTGCAAACCAGAAACATGAAAACAAAATCACCCAGCCTTATAACTGTTCTTATTTGGCAAAAATTAACTCCTAACTTTTTTTCATACAACTGCATACCGTTTTGTAGACTGCTTTATTTTTCAAAACGTGTATCATATACATGGTACAAATTTCAAAAACAGACTAAAGGGGTTATTTAAAAATAAAACATGTCTCCTTCCTATCAGTATCTTTAGTCCCCCAGTTTGCCCCCCATTCCACCCTAACTCGCTGTTACCAGTTTATTTCGTTTTCTTCCATAGATAGCCTACCCATTAACAAGGAAATATGTGTATGGATATTCTTTTGCCAACAGAGCTTATCTTTTCACAAAATGATAGCCTACTGTGTACACTGTTTTTGTTCCTTGTTTTTAAAATTTAACAATATTACTTGGAGATAATTCCATATATAGTGCCTTTAAAATTTAACATTATAATGTATCCATATATTGCCACATACTCTATAAGCAGTATCTTCAAGAGCTGTAAAAACTGTGAGCAAATGACTCATTCATTCCTTTAATAAATATTTATCAAGCACCTGCCATATCTGCAGAGCTCTGGTGATTCTAAGATTACCAAGGGTTAGGTCACACCCTAGAAGGAGTCACAGCAGATTGAGGAGACAGGTAGGTAAACAAGTTCTTACAGGCAGCCTTTAAGTGCCGGGATGGAAGAACACAGCGGGTGTTGAGGGAATAAAGAAGGAGCCTCCGAGACATTGAACAAAAGTAGTGAAGAATAAGAGAAATCAGCTCACAGACAAGAGACAAGGAGAATGCCCCAGGCAGAAACTCTAAATGACATGTGCAGAGGCACAGAATGTGAAGGAACATTGTGGTCCAAGTAACTACAAGGAATTGGATATCACCCCTACTCTTTGATCTTTAATTTCTGGCCAAGTCTTCAATATAAATAATGCTATGATATACATCTTGCAGTGTATAACTTTTTCCATCTGCTGGGGTATTTCTTTGGGTAGATTCCCAGAAGAGGGACTGCTGAGTCAAAATGTAGGAGCACTCTGACCTGATATATACAGCCAAAATGCTTTCCAAATGGACATATTATTTCATAAGGACACCAACAATGTATGTGCTAACCAGTGCTCATTATTTTTGTATCTTTATTAGTTTTAATGTATACTTCATTTATTACTAGATTAATTTCCCCATATATTTTATTTCTTATATGATTTATTTTCTGTTTATACTCAACCACTGCGATTCTATATTTTACTATAGCTCTATGAGCCCTACTTATAATATAGACATTCAGGTTTTTATTTTTCATGTTTGCTGCCAATTTTTTTTCTGGTTTAGCTTACACTAAAAAAAGCTGGACACGTAGAAGTGTTTAAGATATTACCCAATCATATCCATTGATTATTTCCTTCTATTGCCTCTAAGTTGAGAAATACTTCTATACAGAGGTTTGACAAATATTTTTCCTTCTGGTCTGCTTTAAAATATATTTAACTCCTTAATCCTCATAGAACTTATTTTGGATATACGAAATGAGATAATTCAATTAGTTTTTCCACCCCCCCCTCCAAATTACTGATTAGTTATCTTACCTTTCCCTTCTCCATTGATTTTTCTTTTTAAGACTTTATTTTCTTAGCAGTTTTAGTTTCACAGCAAAATTGAAAGAAAGACTGCATACTGTATGATTCCTTATATATGGCATTCCGGAAAAGGCAAAACTAAGGAGACAGGGATACAGTCAAACTTCAGTGGCTGCCAGAGACTGGGGGGAGGAAGGGATAAATAGGTGGTGTACAGAGGACTTTTAGGGCAGTGAAAATACTCTGTATGATACTATGATACTATGAGGGTGGGTTCATGTTATTCTATATTTGTCCAACCCTATAGAATATACAGCCCCAAGAGTGAACCCTAATGTAAACTATGGACTTTGGGTGATAATGATCTGGCAATGTAGGTTCACTATTTGTAGCAAATGTGCTACTTTGGTTGGGGATGTTGACAATGGGGGAGGGTGTGGGGTCGGGTATATGGGATATCCACTGATTTTTATTTCAAAGATAAATCCACTTAGA
Source organism: Homo sapiens (assembly GCF_000001405.40). Lineage (NCBI taxonomy): Eukaryota > Metazoa > Chordata > Mammalia > Primates > Hominidae > Homo > Homo sapiens. The sequence continues at coordinate 98,660,440 of NC_000004.12, read as the reverse complement.
GATCAACTCAGTCATCAATTGCATCTAATTTCTGGTCCTTTTGAAATGTGTCACATCAGCTTAGGACAGACCTTTCTTCTGACTCATCCAGTATTCCTGCAGCGACTGTTCTATTTATATACAGAATTACAACATAGCTCCAATAGGCTTAGGTAAAGCTTGTCAGTACCTTCCTGTTAACAAGGAAATCTGCTGCTGAAAGACCTTACTTTTGAAGTCTACCAGATTGGTGGTAGTATGGCCTGTGTTTTGAGTGGGTAGAGAGCACTTTTGAGGGAGTGAGGATTATTTCATCCAAAGGGCTGAAGCTACTGTTATCCCGTGTCATAGCTTCTGAGGTACTGAATGAGTAGGATCTCCTGGCCCTCCCATCTCTGTGGGTACCTCGTTCATACTTGCGACCTCAATATAGCCTCAATCCTGCTGAAGCCCAGTACTATCTCTAAATGTGGTTTATTGCAGGAAAAAGTAGCTTCTTGACTAGCCAAAACTTGACTGCCGGTTGTCAACTAGCCAGTTTTTGAGAAAAGTGAGAGGTTGTTACGTAGGAAACCTTATAACTAGAGGCTCTCAAACTCAAGTATTTAAGTATCATCTTTTAGATTTCTGTGTCCAGGATCGGGTTGCACTGGGTGGTGCTGGAAAAATTTTTTGATCTCACCTCCTTCTAGCCTTTTGAATCCTTAAAAATATTCCCATAGACATTTATACACAGTCCTGGGCGGTTCTTCCTTCTCCTTCCGTGAAATACTGGTACCTGCTTTGCCAACACCTATGAAAGTGCTCCAGGAGGAGGGCGGATAAGCAACTAATGAGCACACCTGCTCAGGTAGGGTTCTAAAACAATTTCCAGCCACCTGTTCTATTCTTCCCCAGAGTTCAAAAGCTTAATGGTTCGTGATCCAAAAACCCAATTCAGATTCCCCAGAAGACCTCCCTGGAATCCGTTGTGGATTCCTTCCTAGAGTTAGGAGGCAAGCAGGTTTCTTAGGCACTATTCTGTCGGGGTAGGGGGGAGCGTGCGCTGTCCGGGTTTGTGTGGTTGCAATAGACCCTAGGGCGAGGATCGCATCCCGGGCCAGGACTCCCTTGAGCCATCTCTTTTTCCTCGTCCCCATTTCTAGGATAAAACCCATTTCTCCGGTAGGTGGGGAGGTTGGGTTAGAGTCACACAGGGATTCAGGAAGCTTTCCTTTTCAACGTCCCATCCCTTCATCCTTTCCTCCCACTTCCCGTGGCTCTTTTCTCCACCTTCCCCAACTACCCCCTTTTCCATTCAGCGAAGTCCACGACGACTTTCCTTCCCTGTCCAGTGGCATCGCATCTTCTCTAGCCACATAAGCCTGTTGTGGAGGAGGGGGCGCCAGTGTGGCTACCCTGGAAGGGGTGTCGGGGGTGGCTCGCAGGTCCTCACTCACCCAGCCCTCTCCCCGAGGAGCGACCCTCTCGCCCGCGTCCCTCCAGAGCTGCGCCGCTCATCAATCCCGGTCACTCTGCCAGCCTGCTCCCCGGGCGCCCTTCCTTCTCCCTCTCGCCTGCGGTCCTCCACCCTCCCACCCCCTACCTACCCCGCAGCGACGTTCGGGGTCAGCGGCGCTTGGGGTTGGCCCGAGAAGGGGCGGGGATAAAGCGAGCGGTGGAAGGAGGCGGCTACGTGGTGCCACCGCCGCCCGGGAGCGCCCGACCCCGTGCGCGCGCGCGCCTAGCCAAGGCTTGGGCGGCGGGCGGAGCTGCGGGCGGCGCGGGCGGAGGAGCAGCCGGCCGGGCGGGCGGAGCGAGAGGCGGGCGGAGCGAGGGGTGGGAGGGCGCGCGCGAACGGGCGGGCGAGCAAGCGAGCGGCGTCTCCACCAGCATCTGCCGCGGCCGCCTTTGCCCGAAGCCCGGGGACGAACCGACGGACCGACCGCCTGGCGCACGGACGCGGGCGCTCGCTTTGTGTTCGGGGCTAGCGTCGGCGAGGCTTGAGCTTGCAGCGCGCGGCTTCCCTGCTTTCTCGCGGCCACCCCGGCTCCGGCGGCCTCGGCGCGCGAGGGGCTGGAGGTGCGGGAGCCGCTCTCCGCCGGTCGGTCCCCGCGCGGCTGAGCCCAGGCCGCCAGCGCCGCGGCCCCGTGCGGTGTCCCTGAGCTCCTGCTCCCCGCCGGGCTGCTCCGAGCAACGGTGCTTCGGAGCTCCAAACTCGGGCTGCCGGGGCAAGTGTCTTCATGAACCCAGAGGATGTCCGGGAAGCACTACAAGGGTCCTGAAGTCAGTTGTTGCATCAAATACTTCATATTTGGCTTCAATGTCATATTTTGGGTAAGTTGGAGCGCTCCTGGGATTCCAACTATTGTGGCCGATCGATTCGCGACGATTTCCCCCACGTTGTTCGTTGCCTTTACTTTTCGCAGCCCCGCAGGCGCTTGCCGGAGCAGCATAGAGGCATTCGCCTTCCGCCTTTCCAGCTTGCGCGTTGGAGAGATAAACATTTAATCCTTTCGAGGAATGGGAAGAGGTGAAAAGAGAAATCGAGGCGGAAAGGGGGCACCGAGGCCTTCTGGTGGCTTTTTGAGGAACGAATAGCAGGGATGCAGATAAAAGAAAGGGTTCGGCAGTTTGAGAAATGAGCAACCACACGAATTGGATTTGCTCTCGGTGGGATATAGATGTTGGGCAGAGCGTGGTGTCATAATAGGGAAGGCTAATCGGGCACGGCCGACCCTGAGGTCCACCTTCTAACAACGATCTGATTGGACGAGGGCTTGGCTCCGTGTTGCCGCGGCTGGTCTGTGCCATGCTCAGCGTGTATCTTCTTGCACCATCTCGGGCTTTGTGTAGGATGCAGATGCCGTGGTATATGGTCCTGTAATTGCACGTAAATAACGTTTCCTGCACGCTCTCCTCTTCAGCTGGAAAGCGCTCCCTGTGCGTAATGGACTGGTCAGTGGGGGTGCGGGGTAGAGGGATTTATTTGTATGTATATATCATCGTCAGGATAATAAGTCACCGTCAACATATATTTCAGTGTGTTCCTGCCCCACGTCCTCATTTTTAAAGGAGTGACACAGAGCGGGCCGTTTGGGGGAACCTTTGTAGAAATGCAAAGGAGAAGGTGTGCGAGGCATGTTTTATTGGGGAACCGAGAGAGCAAATGCTTTAACACAAGATTCAAATGATGCTCTGCTTGGGACTGCAATGTGTTGGGAACCTATTGTAATTAGGCTGGGACGCCTACTCTTTTTGTTTGTTTGTTTGTTTTGATTCTTTTCCTTGATCTGGCAAACGTGTTCAGCAGCCAGACAAAGAGTTCTCCAGGACAAGGGGAAAACGTTGGTTCAAAGACCATGTTATTTTTCTTCCCCTTCTCATCCCATCTCATCCTCTTCCTCAGTGGGCACCCGCATTTCCATAGAAAGTAAAGATGGTGGCTGTCTGGGTAGGGGGTTCTCTAAGTTGCTGTTCAGTGTGAGGTAAACAATGCTCCAACTGCAGGATCAATAATTATCCACAGCAGTCTGAACACGGAATGTATTTATTTGAATTCTCCTTTAATTTGGGCTGTTTGCTGTACGTATATACATCTGTGAGAATAGTTGTCAATACGGCTCTTCATATTCTTTTTTTGTACCGCACTCTTACCAGGTTATTTTATTTTCTGTTTTCTATTATAATACCTTGCATTGGTCATGTATGTTTTGTGAGGGGAAATGCAAGGGATTGGAGACCACTTTCCGTGTCAGCATGTCATCTGTCTTCAGGACTAATAAAGATAATGAGGGGACACATGAATGGATGTCATATCCGATCATTCCACAGGCAGTTTTTTGCCAGTGTTGTGCATGATTCCCGGGAGCAGTCACCCACCTCCCTGCAATTAAACACTGCTACAAGTACAGGAAGAAGGAATTATTTTCTTTCTTTGCCCCTTCTCCATTTGTGAAAATGTTTAAAAGTGGTGGGTAGCCACGGTTTTGAGTAAGATATTCTGATTTGATTGGAACTTGAAACTTTGTGACTTGGAGAGGCACGGACTACCGAACTGGGACTGGTTCTTTTTGGGGTAGTGAGTTCAGGCCTCTTGTTTCTACTTGAACATTTCTAAAAGTTGCACATTTTAGCTACCCAGCAACAAAAAGCACCCAGGGACTTTCTCTGCCGTTTCCTAGCAGGGGGTGGTAAGGAAATAAAAGGATTTGGGTCTGTTTCCCTGACAGTTTGCTGTAATTCTGTGGAGTGCATAGAGACAAATTTAGCCCTTTCTATGGATTAGGTTGCAGCAAAACCCCTGGAATTGTAGAGAGCTTCAAAGAATTGCAGAGTGCTTGCTTGGAGAGGTCCAGAACAGAGCCGCATGTTTTCTGATTGTGAAGGTCTTCATAGGTGGGTGGGTGAGTATGGGAAGCCTGAAAGGAGACCTAGGCTATGGGACTAAACTAGCTGCCCCAGGCAGAATTGTTAAGTGAGTGCCTTCCTTATGAGGGCCCTTCACTTACCCTGCCTCTTGCCTTCCCTTCCTCTCCTCTCTGTGCCCAAAGCCTTCCTCTCAGATACTCCCTCATACCTTTCCTATCCTGCTCTCTGCCTCAAAATTACCCCATATTTAAATTTCCTGCTTTATTGTACCATGGTCTCTAGTGATGATCAACAGAAAGGCAACCATATGGTTTTGGTTAAAGTAATTCAGACTAAGATGTTAGTGACTGAAAAGCTGGGGTCAGTAGCTTGGCAGCTTGCTTCTGAAAAGTTACACACCTCTGCTCTCTACAGAGTCACCAACCTGTCTGTGATTGCCAAAAACAGCAGACTCGGTGCTACTCCCATACAATTATGAAGAAGAGATTGCCAACAGCATGGTTTCCTAATTTTCATTTTCACACTGAACTGCTAGACTACATTTGACATACACTGGTGACATTCAAAGGTATAGTTCTGGTAAAATAAAATTGAACATATGGTGGCACCAGCACTGAGAGCTTGGTTCTTTTCCTGATCAGCAGTTTGGCTCTTCATCAGTTAACTGCCTGGGCCTCAGTTTCTCAGCTGTTAAATTGAAGGAGGTGGATGAGTTATAACGTTCTTTCTAGTTCTTACACAGAATGAGTTTCTTGAGTTCCAATATGCTGGAGAAGAAAAATAGAAGAGTTTGGCCACTAATTTATAACAGAAGTAGTATATACCAGGACACGTGATAAATTATAGACATTTTCTGTTAGGGAGACTTGTCTGAAGACTAGTTTTATTACTTTCATTTCTTCCTCAAAGATCCTTTCATAAAAAACAAACAAACAAAAAACAAAAAACAAAAACAAAAAAAAACCAAGGCTGGGCGCGGTGGCTCACGCCTGCGATCCCAGCACTTTGGGAGGCTGAGGTGGACGGATCACAAGTTCAGGAAATCAAGACCATCCTGGCCAACATGGTGAAACTCTGTCCCTACTGAAATACAAAAAACTAGCCAGGTGTGTTGGCGGGTGCCTGTAGTCCCAGCTACTCGGGAGGCTGAGGCAGGGGAATCACTTGAACCCGGGAGGTGGAGATTGCAGTGAGGCAAGATCACACCACTGTACTCCAGCCTGGCAACAGAGCAAGACTCCGTCTCAAAAAAAACAAAACAAAGCAAAACAAAAAACCTTTCACTAATTTCTTCTTGGCTTGTTCAGTTCCTGGTATAGTGTCCGTGCTTCTCTCTCCCCACTGTGAATCTCAAATGTAGTCCTGTGAGTCATTAAATATATTTTTATTATTAGAATTACAGCTTCATGTATAAAATCTGAATCCTTTTATATAACAGTTGTAATGACATTCTGAGTAACAAAGTCAACATCTTGTACAGATTCCTTTCTCATTAGTTATCACAGGCTGGTGGGGGAAAACTTGTTTCCTCTGTTATATATTGGAACAATTCAAGACAGAAGGGAATTGATTTTATTGAGGGTGTCACCGTACTGGGACATTTCTCAGAAAACCCTGAGACTGCTTTGGGTTTGGGGGAGGGAGAAGAAAGAGGATTTTGTTTTAAAGTCATTTCTTTGGGGTACCGAACACCACATCCCATCACTCATCATTAATAGATGTTTTGCCCTTTTGGATTCTGGCTTTTAACTGTTTTGGATTCTGGATACTTAACTGTTCCCAGGCAAGTAAATTGATCTCAATATTCTGGTTATTTATTGCTACATAACCTCCAAGCTTAGTTGTTTAAAACACAGTTGTTTATTATTATAGTTCACAGTTCTGTGATTTGGCCAGGCTCATCTGGACAGTTCTCACTTGGGGTCTCATACAGTTGTGGTGAGATGTAGTTGGAGTTGGACTTACCGGAAGGCCCTCTGGGCAGGATGCCTGAGATGGTATACTCATATGACTGGAAGCTGATGCTTGCTGGGAGCTTAGCCAGAGTTGTCACTGGAGCACCTACCTACACGTGGCTTCTTCCTGTCTCTAAGTCTTAAAGAAGCTTCCAGCCAGTTAAGGTTCCACTTAGAACTGGCAGTGCCACTTTTATCTATTCCATTGGTTAGAGCACTCATGCAGACTGCTGAATTTCAAAGGGTGAAGAATTAGAAGCCACCTTTTGATGGAGAAGTGTCAAGGTCACATTGCAGAAAGTCATGTAGGTTGTGGCCATCTTTGAAAAATATAGTCTACTGTATTAAGGCACTGAGCCTTAATTTCTTGTTTATAAAGGAAAGATAACATTAATGGTGTTGTAGTTTTAAAGATTCAGTGAGATAATGTTTTATTCGGCATAATATCTCAATATTTAACAAATAGTGAATATCATTACTGTTGTTGTCTCCAGATTTTATACTGGTTCCATACAGGGCTATAGAACTTCTAGAATGCCTTAGTCTAGTACTTTGGCATCATTACTACTAGGTAATGATAATACCCTTAAGATCTGCCAAGAAGATGAGGCAAATGGATTCAATAGATTTTATAGTGACTTGTTAGGAAAGAACTCAATGGAAACGGTGGAATGATTTGGGAGAACCAAGTCATTTTTCTGTTTTCTTTGCTACAAAGGATTAGAAAAGCCTCAGTTACTTGAGGCCAACTTTCTCTTTTGATATGCTTTCAGATATTACCTTGTGTCTTTAAGTGCAAGTTTATCCAGGGTTGATGGCAGGATCTTGCCTCTAATTTGCTTCCACAGGGCTTAATTCAGAGAGGAGGGAGACTCAGGAAACCTTGGGGCGGTGGGGGAGGGGGGGCATCAAGTAGGAAGCTTTATCTTATGATTCACTATAAATTGCAAGATGTTCTGGAATGATGATACATCAGCAGTTTATAAGTCATAATTTTTGTTTTAATTTGCTAGACATCTGTTAGCTTCGATGGCAACCATATGGGAATCTAAATTGCGTTTTGAATTACAGGGAGATGGTAGGAAGAAAGCTAAATATGGTTATGAAAGTGTCATATGGGAAAAGTGTAAGAAAGGTATAAAGTGGGGAAAGTAATTGAATATAGGCTTGCTTAGTGTGGCCACTCCCTCTGTGGGGCAGTATGAAGGCGCAGAAGCATTCTCACTTGATATACTCCGCAGATTGAAATGAAGCCAAGTGGGGAGAAGTTGGAAAACCAAATCATGTTTCAACCACCATAAACTTGCCAAAATGTTGCACTCATTTAGATGGGTCACTTTGTTTTAATGTCCACAGTAATAGGTAGTCCCTGGCAAAAGGTGAAAGCAATCTGCATTTTTAACAGAACTTTTCACTAATGATGTTTTTCTTGTAAGCACCCCAAAGAGTCTTCCAAGAATATTATATCTTTGTGACAGATGAAGAAATTGGAGTACAGAGATGTGGAGTAACTTTTGAGGTGTTGAAGAGCATGTCAAGGTTCAGTTTCAGAGTGTTAAGTCTCTTCCGTAATGATAGCCCCAGCTTTTTGGGTGGAGACTTATTTTAGAAGATGCTTGTTATTCTAAAATAAAACATCAAGTAAGTCATTTACATCTGTTCATAATCGAAAAGTGATAAAGTTTTTGCATATGCCACAATTAACACCACCCACAAGCACAAAAAAGTTAGGATGAAAATGTTCTTCAAGAATATGGTGGAATAATTGTAGCCTATTGAAAATTCATAAATGAAAATTGGAGTATTGTAGACAGCATTCTTGAATCACATGTTTGTTTCTGTGTGTAATACTGATGACTGTCTTAAAATTTCTAACTTCCAAATAAATCATACTCCACTGGATTATAAGGGCTTCAAGTGTGGGGGCTGTCTCACTTTCATAAGCCCAGTGTCTTGCGCATTGTCTGAAACACAGTAGATGTTTTGATAAACGTTTGGGCCAGGCTTGGGGGCTTACACCTGTAATCCCAACACTTTAGGAGGCTGAGGCTGGAGGATGGCTTGTGCCCAAGAGTTTGAGACCAGCCTGGGTAACATAGTGAGACCCTATCTCTACAAAAAAAAATTAAAAATTAAAAATTAGCTGGGTGTGGTGATGCGTGCCTGTAGTCCCAGCCACTTGGGAGGCTGAGGTGGGAGGATCACTTGAGCCTGGGAGGTTGAGGCTGCAACTGCACTCCAGGGTGACAGAACAAGACCCTGTCTCAAAAAAAAAAAAAAAAAAAAAAAAAAGTATGTTGAAGGAAAGAATTACAAAATCATCAGAAAGTACGTAGGAATCATCTCCTCTAACTTCCTAGTCAGTGAAGCATTCTCCATTGTATCGTGCCTACCTTTCTAAGCATGGATCTGTTTTTGGACCACTTTAATTGTAGAGTTTCATCTGTTCAAACTAGATGTTATCTGTCTCCCCATCATTTCCATCCTCCTAATTTACTGTTCATTTAAAATTTTTATTTGGAAACATTAAACCAATAGGAAAATTGCAAGTAGTATAGAGAACCTGTTTTTATCCTGTTTGAGACAAAGTTGCCAGCATGTTGGCTATCACACAAACAGTTGAGTATGTATTTTCTGTAAACTGGACTATTCTCCTAGATCACCACAGTACAACCATGAAAGCCAGGAAATTACCAATGATACATTAACACCATTTAATCCTTAGATTTCATCCAAGTTTCCCAGTTGCTCCCATAATGTTTTAAAGCAAAAGAATTCAGGTCAGAACCACACTTTGTATTTAGTTACATGTTTTTAGTCTCTTTCAGTCCTTCACTATCATGCTCTTGATACTTTTGACAATTATAAGCCAGTTATTTTGCAGAATGTCCCTCAGTTTGTGTTTGTGCCATTTTCACAAGCTTAGATTCAGGCTGTGCATCTTTGGTAGGAATAGTACAGAAATGGTGCTGCGTTCTCATTGTACCCTATCAGGGTGGCATTGATTTCTGTTTGTCCCATTACTGATGATGGTCACTTGATCAAGGTGTTGTCTGCCAGGCTTCTCTACCATATAGTTACTCTTTTCTCATTTGTAATTTATAAATGTTTTATGGCAAATTACATTGAAACCATGTAAATAGCCTATTCCTCATCAAATTTTCAATCTGTTATTTATTTATATCAGTAAGAACTTAGTGTCTTCCTTTTTTCAGTGTGGTTTAATGTTACTGTCATTACTTTATTTAAAATGGCCCTAGGTTTGGCCAGTGCAGTCTTTTCACATTGGCTCCTGTGCTCTTTTAACTCCCATCAGTCTTTGAGCACCATCTTGCTCTCTGGCAGAATAAGATGTTCCAAACTCATTTTGTGATTTACCTGTGTCATCTTTTGTATCAGACATTTCTCCAAGGAGCTATTGAATGGAGAATGGAATTTAGAAGCCAAGATCTGGTTGCTTGGTGTGCTCATTGCTATTAGGGTGTTGCTACTCTGTGTATATACAGACACACATGTACATCTGTAATTCTGTATCTATGTACTTTTAAAACCATGAGTTTACAGTCATACCTTAAATTCCTGTCTGATACCACAGGGTTTAGTTTTTCCTCTCCATATTTTATAACTGCTTTATTTGACAGTGAGATTCTTGGTTCGCATTATTCTTAACAGTTTACTTATTTGGTAAATCTCCCCATATGTAACCAATCTTCTGCAGCTGCCACCACCTTTCCTCCTGGGGCTGCCCTCCTCAGCTGTTAGTGCTCTAGCATCCTGTGCCACCACCCCCATCCCCATATGGATACCTTTCTCCCTGAGATACCCTGCTCTGGGCTTCCACAGCATCCCTCTTCCTACGTTTTTGTAAACGTAGGAAGCCTACCAGATTGGACCTACCTAATGGCTTTGAATTTTCAGGAAGGAGAAGGCGAAGAGCCTCGGCTACTCTTGAATGATGTAAAATAAGACTTATCTTCCTTCCCCATGGTCCTTCATTATTTAAAAATAGCCATTATGTCATTCCTAAACATTCTGTTTTCCACCTTTAAAAGCTCCTAGTTCCTCCATGTGTTTACACTAATGATGTTTTTCTTGTAAGCATCTCAAAGAGTCTTCCAAACATATTATATCTTTGTGACAGATGAAGAAATTGGAGTACAGAGATGTGGAGTAACTTTTGAGATGTTGAAGAGCATGTCAGGGTTCGGTTTTAGAGTGTTAGGTCTACATATACTGTTTCCAGATTGTTCTTTGCCCTGGTCACGGTGCTCTGCCTAGGGTCCCATTTGGACACACCTCTATTAATGCAGCAACCAGAATGAAACACGTTGTTCACAGGCTTTTCTAACCATCCGAAGAGCAGCAGGCTCTTGAACTCTCCCTTCAGTCCCTAGGCTGTGCTGTGCCTGGTGGCAGAAGCCTCTGCTACTGTCTGGAATTGACTTTGAGTAAGTTACTTTCACAGATTAGTTCCTCAGTTGCTCATCTAAAAAAACCAGGAAAATAATTTTCTGCAAAGTTGTTATCCAGTATTATGTGAGATCATGCATATCAACGTGCTTCATAAATGGTAAATCTCTAAATACAAATACTAGTTATTAACCCAGGCTAAACTGCACTTGCTTTCCCTGGCAGCCAACGAACACTTTGGCTTGGATTGACTTTTTAGTGAAATAAAACCTTCACTTTTTCAAGTGAACTCTATTAAACCATCCCCCTAAGCTATATGCTAATCAGAAGCCCTAACCCTCCAGTTAATTATTTGAATTTAGATTTAGTTCTGTTTATTTCTCCCATTTAAATGTCTTATTCTGGCCCATTGGATTTCAAACCTGCTACCAGCAATCCTAGGCCTCCTTGAGGCGTATGTGGGTGGGTGGGTCTGTGCTGGTGGGGTGTGGACTGAGCAGTACCTCTCTTTCCTCCAGAAAAGCTTGGTTATTAGTTTGATATTTTGGGATACTAAGAAAGATTTTGCTTGAAAAAAGGGGTCCCACCACTTAAGAAAGAAAAGAACCAGTATTCTAGCCTTTAGATGTCTTTGAATCTTGATGGCCAAAGTACATTTTTAAAAAAATTACTCCTCGTGTGGGTTTTTATCTCTTGGAATCTCTCCATGCATGGGAAGTCCCTCTCACTAACTAGGGGTCACTTCTGTAGGATTAGTTGATATTTCACCCCTTTATGCATGTAGTGTGGCAGCCTGATTAGTAAGGAAATTTCAGTCTTCCCACTGGGAGATCTGGTTCAGTAGGTCCATCCAGGATGGGGTCCTGGAATTTCTGTTAAGAAAAAAATCAAAACTTCCTGCAGGTCATTGTGATGCCCAGCTGAGTTTGAGAAGCTTTAGCTTGTTTTTCTTGGGAAGATGTGGCCTCTCCTTCCCGTTGCTCCCTGGAGGGGATGTGTGGGAGAGCTGGGCGTGGGTGGTGTAGAGCGGTGACCATTTCACCAGCACATGAAGCTAGTGTTCTTTGCTTACGAGAAAAAAAAGGTGGCCTATTTTATCCCTCATGGAATTTTTTATTAATCCAAAAACGCCAGTTTATTTTTAAACCTGAAAGCCCTAAAAACAAAATGAGAAAAATCTCTTGAAAGAGAACCTCTGGTGCTGCAACTAGTTTGCTAGCAGTTAGCATCATATAGGGCTAGAAGCTAGCCATTTATTCGATAGGCACAGTGAAGAGCTAGACTTCTGGTTCCTTTGCCCTGCTTGTCCTGGACCACTCTGCGTGTGTCAGTGCAGTTGAGTAGCTCTAACTACAGACACTTAACAAGGGCAGACCACCTTCTCCTTCAAAAAAAATCAGCCTCCCCATCCACTGTTGCTGTTCCTTTCAGCCTCCCTTTTCTGGGGCTTTCTCGTTGGCCTCCAGCCCTGACTATGCTCAGTTTGTAGGAGGGGAGTTGCTTTCTGCGTCAAGGTCTGCATGACAGGTTCATTGAATTCCCTCTGCTGTAATGCTGTGGAGGGGACATTTCTTTTCCCATATCCAAACTTGCAGCACTGTCACAAAGACAGTTGACAATAAAGCAAATACAGAAGACCCAGACATGATATTTGCCAGTGTTCTTTAGAAAGCTTCAATGTGGAATATCCGGGTTATGCCTAGTGTTTTCCTGTTATTTTCTTAACTTTCTTTTTTCCTTCACCCCCTTTGAAAGTTAGATCTTTGATTACGGCTGGGTTCCTAAAGTAGAAATCTTGAAAAATAACATTTTGAATAAAACTCTGTATTATTTCTCTGAGCTGTTTTACTGGGTCTAACACCACTCCTTTTTTTTTTTTTTAAACAAAACAAAACAGAAAAGCCAACCAAACAAAACCAAACCAGAATGGTATGCAAACCCAATGGTTAGCACTGTGATATTATCCATATGTACATAGAGGATTGTTAGTTATGAATCACAAGGTATAATTTTTAAGTAATATAATCACTAAGCCCAATTACAAAATGGTGTTTTTGTGGATGGCAAAACATCTACAAATGGCAAAACATTTTGGCTCTCTTCATTGGAAGGGAAAAGTGATGTTCTATACCACTTCCAGCTACTATTTACTATTTTGATAAGTATTAGAAGGCATAGGGCTCTTTTTACTTGTTGGAAAATTTTTCTAAATTACACTTGGCACTAAGGCTTGAATTTCTAAAAATCTGGAGGGAACAGCTGGTGCTCTAATAAATATTCAGGCCAGCTATTTTAATGCATTGTACTCAATTAAGTAGTCCTAATAAAAGAGGAATACTTGACTTAAGCATTTCTCAAAGCATAATGTTGTGCTTCCAACAAAAATTTCCTCCAACTGTTGATATTTCCCCCCAAGCAGCCTTAACATTTAATTCTGCCAAGTAAGTAATCTAATCATGGATGATGCATTTAATGCCAAAAGTTAGTTCTCTTTTAAGGTATAGTTGTATCAATGTGGCCTAGCCCTTTAACTGGAGACTCCATAGGTCACTGACCTTTTAGAAGAATTCTTCGTCTGGTTCAGAGTGAGAGAGTATTGAAAGATTCATCCTAACTTGGGCATTCTGGTACCCTTGTGGTGGGAGGGCAGAAAGTCTGCTGTTAAGGAGTTTAGACTTTGAGTGTGTCTGGATTTTTACCCAGCTATGTTCCCAAGCTTGTGACCTTAGACGTTACTTGCCCACCTTGCAGTTAAGTCTCCCCTTCATCTGCAAAATGGCACGTTTAGTAGTATTAATATTATTAATAGTAGTATTAAGATAACGTCTATCTCGGAATCCTGAGGATTTGAGGAGTTAATATGTGTAAACTGCTTGGAATAGTCAATAGGTATTAGCAATTATTATACTGTTTTCCTCATAATTTATTTTGATTGTTTTCCCTTCTTTCAGAATCATTAAAATAATCTTACATTGTAACATATATTTTTTGTTCTCTGTAATATTCTGCCTACATAAGTGCATTCTCAAAATAACTTAAAAGGAAAAAAAGATCTAACAAATGTTCACAGTGTTCTTTTCATTGTAATGAGTGGCACGCAGTTCTTATCGTGGATACCAGACCATGAATTCGCTTCTATTGTTTGTTGTTAATTTTCCCTTTTTTCTTTACCCAGTTACATTCACTATTTTCTTTGCAAAATCAAAGTGTCTCCTATTAGTATTTTGTACTGGGAAGTTGAGTTTCTGATGGATAGCTGTGGTGGTGTTAGGCCTAACACCTGGGTGGGGTGGGGAGGATAGATACCCTTTGTCAACATCTGTTAAATCTGGGCATTCTGGAACTATCTAGATGGCTGTAACTAAGTGTCTTTAGTTCTTTATGGTATCATAAATCCTGCATATTTTGGTCATTTTTTTCCTCTATTTCAGACAAATTCTTGAGGTCATGAAGGTGAAACTTGAGTCAGTGATCCTGATAACTTGGGTTTTCCCCTTATATGTCCTTCCAGCTGATGCAGAGCTAGGATTTTGGATTGAACTACCTGGATCATTGACTAATCATCTTGGTGAATGAGAGACTCACTGGCTTCTCCTCTAGGGCATAATGGGATGCGATGAGAGCTTGTGCTTTTTTTTTTGCCACCTGTACTGTCCCCTGACACAGGAGACGTGGGCTGTCACATTTCCAAGTTGCCTCTTCCATATAACTGGGCTCAGCTCTGAGAGGAAGGCCAGGGCGTGCTAAATTAGTAGGTGCCTGTCACTCATTCCCATGCAGAAGGCATGCTGAAAACCCCAGCCCTTCAAGGGGAAGCAGGGGATAAAGGGATAAGTCTAAGTAGAATTTTTACTGTAGTTTTTATTAGTAAAAAAGAATGATATATGTAGCACAACAGGAACAGAAGCGTATTTAAAGTCATCTCTAGCTTACCAGAAACACCCCTAAAACTGCTGGTTTAGATTCATTAATCAACCTCATGGTCCTCAGATGGGTTGTGACTCCCTGTTGCGTAAACACGAACCATGTTACTTCCTGGTCCTCCTGACCTCCACTAGCTGATTTCAGCGAGGATCAGGAGTTAGGTCGCCAGCTGATCTAAAGCAGCGAGTCCCAAAGTTCAGCCATTTGTAAACCACCTGCATGGTTTTGGACCAACTCTTGTGTCACCCCATAGTTTCTCAGATTTTAATATGCATACAAGTGGCATGGGATATGTTGTTCAAATGCGGATTCTGGTTCAGTAGGAGTGAGAGGGGACAAAGATCCAGTACCTTTAACAAATGCCCAGGTGATGCTGATGGCTCTGGCCCACTGATCTCACTTTGAATCTCAAAGATATAGTCCATCTGAAACAATCTTTTCTTTTAAATTGACTCTGATTTTAATCTTAAATACATATATTTAAAAAGGAATGTAAAAAGTATCACTATTCAAATGCATATAATGACAATAATATGACTTACTAACTTCTAGGTAGCTATTATTGGTGCCTGTTGGTAAGCCTGAGTCAGAGGCCTCTTTTCTTTTGTTATAATGGAGGTTAACAAGTGTAGCAAGTGTTCGACATTCTGGCATCAAATGGAGACTTTCTCCTTAACTAGACCAGAGGATGAAAAGATAGTTGAAAACCAGTGACTTTATATTGAAGGATATTTAATGCCACGTTCTAAAACTTCTCTTCTGGTACCCCAAGTCACCAGGGAATCGCACTTTGGGGAACACTTGTGCTTAAGTAATTTGCAGCAAGGCATGCATTTATAAACTGAAATCTATTAGTGAGGTGGATGGATCCCTAGAGGTAAAATGCTTGGGGAATGTGTTTAAATGTTTGCATACTCCATGTTCTGTTTTCTGTTGAGAGTGTGGGAGAGAAGAGGGGCATCCCCCATTTCTGAAAAGTTGCTAACCCTAGGCCCAGTGAGTAGTTACATCTTAGGTATGAGAAGGAAAATGCTTTGGGAAATTGTATCTCAGGCCAGCAGGAAGTCAACTTTAAATGCTTAGGAACTGTATCTCAGTGGGCTTCCTCCTCTCCTCTTTCAAGTTACTATAGGTATTGCTTATGGTCAGCTTTGGAATGAGTCTATTTACATAATGCATTTTAAAAATAGGGTGCTTTTCATTGTTCAATGACGAGTTAGTGGGTGCAGCGCACCAGCATGTCACATGTATACATATGTAACCTGCACATTGTGCACATGTACCCTAAAACTTAAAGTATAATAATTTAAAAAAAAAAGGGTGCTTTTTTATTCCAAAAATACGGGAACATCAATATTGCTTTTTTAAAGGAAATTTACTACAATAATATTTTCTTTCGGTTCAACTGTATTAAAAGTGGAAACTCTTCGTCAGGTGCTCCGAGAACAGTGAACAAACACTTCAAATGAAAAAAATATTTTAGAGTTTCAGTTGTATTTCCCTATGAGGCCTTGAATTTAGCAAACCTTAGTTAATTAACTTTTTAAAGGAAAAATGTGCTCTTACATTAGTGGCTTTTAAGCATTTCTTCCGACTTTACCGGCCTTTCCCCCTTAGGACAACATTTAAAATAAGTGTTTTCAACAAACAGAGCAAATACCTTGTGAATAAACATCAATTTCACACAACCAGAAAAAAAAAATAAATCAATAAATCTCCTTTAGGCATTTGAAAAACTCTATACTTTTTAAAAAGGGAGGAGTTGTAATTCAGTAACAGGAAAACTAAACCCCAAGAAACCAGGCTGTTAGTTTTAGATGTTTT
This sequence comes from Homo sapiens, assembly GCF_000001405.40. Classification (NCBI taxonomy): domain Eukaryota; kingdom Metazoa; phylum Chordata; class Mammalia; order Primates; family Hominidae; genus Homo; species Homo sapiens. Next base: position 98,643,998 of record NC_000004.12, on the reverse strand, counting down.
TCAGCATGACCTTATGGAGGCAGAAGACGGGCTGGGAACTTCCTGAGCACCTGTTTCGTTATTGGTGCCCTACTTATCCAAGGATGGGCAACAACTGCCCACAGGGCAACTCCTGTGAGAAAGCCTACTCTGTTTTTGTTTTTAATCTCATAACTGGAATCCTAGGGAAAATAGTGTTTTCTTTGGTACCAAGTTCTTTTGGCTTCATCTATTGGGTTTTGAAAGAATAAACTGAATGAAGAGCTGTCTAGATGATACAACTATATGTGGCATTTTCATATTTTTTCCTGACCCTGCAAGATTAATAATCCCTAATATTCTCACTATATGCTTTGAGAGTTTTGCTGTCCAGTGAAGATTTGAAACAATTGCACAAAAATTTGAAAACGGTGTTTTACTTGTCATGTTTAAAGATACAGAGTCACTATTTTAGAAGTGAAGGGATAGGGGTCTCAAAACAAATTGAAATATATTTTGTGAAATATATACATATGTATTCCACTTAAATATAAAATATATAGTACCAATATATATCCTTGATGCTTATTAAATACTGATCTATATCCTTGGACTTTTTAAAAAAAGTACAGTCATGTATCGCTTAACAACAGGGGTATGTTCTGAGAAATGAGTCATGGGATTTCATCATTGTGCAAACATTGTAGAGTGTACAACACAAACATAGACGGTGTGTAGCCTACTACACACCTAGGCTGTATGGCATAACCTGTTGCTCCTGGACCACAAACTTGTATAGCATGTTATGGTAATGAATACTGTAGGCATTTATAACACGATGGTATTTGTGTATCTAAACATACACAAGGTACAGTAAAAATATAAAAGATAAAAAAGTGGTACACCAATGTAGGGCACTTACCACGAATGGAGCTTGCAGGACTGGAAGTTGCTCTGGGTGAGTCAGTGAGTGAGTGGTGAGTGAAAGGGAAGGCCTAGGACATTACTGTACACAAATGCAGACTACATTAACACTATACTTAGGCTACATTAAATTTACAAAAAATATCTGTCTTCAATAATTAACCTCAGCTTACTGTCACATTTTATTTTATTAACCTTTTTTTAGCTTTTTTACTCTTTTGTAATAACACTTAGCTTAACAGATTGTACAGCTGTACAGAAATATTTTCTTTATATCCTTAGTCTATAAGCCTTTTTTTAAAAATTATTTTTTATCTTTAAAACTTTTTTGTTAAAAATGAAGACAAAAACACACACATTAGCCTAGACCTATACAGGATCAAGATCATCAATACATCACTAGACAATAGGAATTTTTCAGTTTCATTAGAATCTTATGGGACCACAGTTATTCCGTCATTGATTAAAATGTCGTTATGTAGTGTGGGACTGTAGATATGTGCTCTCTTTGGAGAAAAAAAAAGAGAAACTACCTAAATGACCGTATCACCTCTAAATATTTTCATTCATAAGAGACTAAAATTTCTTTACTGTAGTATACTATAAATATGCAAACTAAATGAAACTTGTTTTAAAGTTAAAAGCTGGAGATCCATTTTAGAAACTAACACATAAGCAGAAAAAAAATTTTGTGGTTATTAGTTGGAGGCTAGAAAAGAAACTCTTTGAACTATGAAGTTACTAAGTCTTAGCTAGAGACCCCAACAAATGATTAATTATTGCTAAGAATCTTTTAAAATCCAGTTTTAAAGTTTAAGTGTTGTTTCTGTGGAATTTTTCCCTCACCTGCCCCCTTCTTTCTGTGATTCTAATTCCAAAATTGAGAAGACAGAGCTTTTTACTTTTAGGGAAGCTAAACCTCTTTCTTGCTCTAAGAAGGTTGACCTGCTGATGAAAGAACAGAAGGTTGGAATTCTTTTGAGCAGGAATAGCTGTGCAAATGCTTATTTCATTGTTCTTTGGCCAATCTTTTTAGCACTCAAGTATTAGAACTATGCTTTAATTGGTCTTTTGCAGCCCTGATTGTATAATCTTAGGATTTATATGTTGAAAGAGACCTTACAAATAATTTGGGTCCTAGTTTTTACTACTCACTGTTCAACACTTTGCCTACCCTTTTCATAGTGGAATCCTTTGTTTTCCTAACCAAAATTTTAAGCAAAGACCCCAGTTTATAAAACAAAGAACAGAGCTTCTCTTCTGGGAGCCCAGCATCTCAGGTGCCTCAGCTGTGTTCTTGGTATCACTGTGTAGGAACAGTGTGCAGAGGGGACAGTGGGAGTCCTGGTGGATTTTACCCATGGGTGGAGTTTGAGCTGAGACTGGTGGAGAAGGCATCTGCTTACCGTTTATATGTTGAATTAGGATGAAGTCGGCACTTGGCCTGTGTTCTTTGTAGGATGTGTGCACGCTGAATTGTCCAAGTTCCCAAGTCCCAGCACTTTGACTGTATTTGGTTCCACTAAATGGTTTTGGCGCAGTCGTTTTGATTAACATCAACCTTGCTTATGTTAAGTAACTATTCAGGTTATTTATTATGCATTACTCTCATGCTTTGGAATGAGCAGACTCAAAAACTTCTGCTTCATATGGATTCCATATGTGGCCTTTAAGTTAGCAGAAACACAAAGGTTTCCAATTAATTTGCACATAAAATTGTATATTGAGTAAGTTAAGCTTGATGGCATAGGCATTATTTGAAATTCTTTGTCATCTTTAATATTTTTATATTTCATTTAAACAAGTTATTAGGTGTTTGAAGGTTCTGTGGTGACGAACATAACCTACACATTCACATATGTCCTGTTTGGTTTTTTTGTTACAGAATGCAGGTATCCATGGAATTTATTTTATTGTTTTATACTGATGAGCTCCAGATAGTAGGAGATTATATAAAAAGAGGGGATATTTACTTTTTTATTTCTGTGATTTAACTTTTTCTCCCCTCCTCTTCCCAATGCTAGGCAGAGAATATTACAACATGTAAGACAGTGGTTAAGGGTGAGACTGCCTGGATTCAAACATGGGCCTTGATATGTCCAAGCTGTGTGACCATGGATGGTTACTTCATCACTTTGAACTACTCCTTTTGGGCAAAAAGTGGGTAATATTAGTGGCGACCTCTAGGATCATTGTGAAGATTCCATGAGATGATGTACATCCAACCCTGAGCACTCAGTGAATGCTGACGTGATAATTGAGGGACCAGTAGGTGACCCACTCAGGGGAGTTGCGGGCTTTTGGTTCACTGTCACCTGGGAAAAGGTGTTGTCAGTGTCCGGACCCTCAACTTTCCTTGTTAGAAAAGTGTACCCTGTATAATAGAACTTGTCACTAATGCCAGGCTTTGTTTCCTTTGTCCCCCACCCATTGGAGGAGAGTGTATCTCCATGCTTTCCTTTGGCAACTGGATCTGAGGGTTTTCTCATCAGAGCAGCTGCCATGTTCCTCTCCTCCTGGGCTGTAATTTCCTCTCCTGTGTAGCCATAGCTGTCCACCACGTCCATTCCTGACATGGCCTGGCCAGTCCTTCCTTTCTGGATAACAACGCCAACATTTCTTATGTCTTACCTCAGGGATCATTTTCAGGCCACAGACCTACCTGTTTTGTTTTGTTTTTTTAAAATGGTAGTATCTACAGAACATTACAGTTTCCGTAAAATCATGTATATAAATATGCCTAGAAAACTACCTGAAATATAGCAGCTATCCCATAATTACTAATTGAAATACGTTAGTTGAATCTGAAATAAATTTCTTAGCCTAGGAACAAAGTTAGCATCCATCTGGGTCTCTGCAAAAATTTGTAATGTGTAAAAATAGGCATGTTTAGGAAGTTGCTTAATTTATTAATATATACTTCATTTTTATGGCAGTTACAGATTCTCTAATTGAATTTATATTTGCATGATTACAGTTTTTTTTTTGTTGCAAACGATTTTTATGGGCTGCTGAAGTTTAAGGAGTCTGGCATTTTAAATTGTTCTTCACTGTCTGAGAAGTAAAAATATGTCTTAAAAAATCATTGATGTTATAGTAAAGGAAAGCTCCCTCCCTTCCCTAAGTTAGTGCCTTTCAGAATGTGAGCATTTGTCAAGTGGAATTCTGTCTGATCCTTTTTCATTTTCTGAGCTATTATAAGTGCTTTCTTTTCCTTTAACTGTCATAAATGGTTTTTCTTCCCTTAACTAAGTAAAGATTTCTGGAACAATGTTTTGACCAGATTGAAACCAGCTTCTGTCCTATCTACTAGTCATTCATTTCTTGATTTCTCGTGCATTTCTAAACATAGATAAGTTTCTAATGGTGAAGAAAGTGAAACAGAAAGGAAGGAAAGAAGCAAAAGCTGGGTTGGGTCACCATATTGAGCGAAGGATATGCTTGTGGGGAATCCTACACTGTGATATTGGAGTAAACAGTTACATTATGGGGTGAGACCAGGTGAGATGGCTTATGCCTGTGATCCCAGCACTTTGAGAAGCTGAGGTGGGAGGATTGCTTTAGGCCAGGAGTTCAAGACCAGGCTGGGCAACAAAAATGAGACCCTGTCTGTACAAAAAAAAAAAAAAAAATTAGCCAGTCACAGTGGGGTGTGCCTGTTTTCTCAGCTACTCTGGATGCTGAGGCAGGAGGATTACTTGAGCCCAGAAGTTCAAGGCTGCAGTAAGTTATGATTTTGCCACTGCACTCTGGCCTGGGCGACAGAGCAAAACCTTGTCTCAGATTAGATTAGATTAGATTAGAATAGATAGATAACATAGATAAGATCAGTGTTTCAAAATCCTTTTCCAGTGAGAGGCATGTACTGCTGCTTTTGTAACCCATGACATTGAGAGTGTAGCAGGGGGTTCATGTGGAGGAGTTGCTGAGACCAAGAACCCCGTAAGGATAGTCATCTAAGTTTGGGAATACACACAAATTGTTGGGAGACACTTCTCCATGGGTCTCTTGTGCTCCTGCATGTCTTACTGAGTATACCAAGAACGTTCTTTACCTGGGCCATTTCTTCGTGTTGTGTTTGCAATGAGCAGCCTTGAGGGATGAAGTAGTGTCTCTTTCTGGGACAAAGACTGACCTACTCTCACTTACTGCTTACTATAAAGCAGCAGGTTTCCCAAGCATAGGTTCCTCAGCTGGATGCACGCTCACTGCATGTGCAGCTGCCATCTGGGCCCCTCAACGCTATTTCCATTGGACTGATGTAAACATGATGCTGGTGTTGTCTGAATCATGCTGTGAATAATAAAGTCCTTTGTCCTTGACCCGGGAATCTCATGTCTTCTGCCAGCTTCTATGAAACAGTAACAGGCTAACTTATTACCTTGCGAGTAGGGTAAAATCAAACAAGACCAGATACAGGTGGAGCTTCCAGATGAGCTGAACATGTGGAGGTTCCTGTAGGGTGGTGCTCTAGAAAGGGCATGGAAGCGCCATGTCCCTTGCCCCATACCTTTACCTGTGAATCTCTTCATCTGTATCCATTGTAATTTTTTAAAATAATAAACTAGTAAATGTAAAATAACCAAAACAAAGAAACCAAATGCCGGTGTATTACATATAAGTTGATACCTAGCCAGTTAAATGCGTTCAGATGTGTCTTGTTTAGGAGGTAATCACCCGGGCCTCCCCCACAAAGTATGGTTCAAAGGGTCATGGTGGGTGGCTCCTCAGAGCATCTCAGCTCCCTTAGACCTGATGAAGGCTTCACAGGCATTTCATATCTGTGCCTCTGGCCAGTATATCTCCAGGGAACTGAGTGCCAAGGGAGACCAAGGCATCTTTACTGACATTGTTGTACCTTAAGTGAGGCAACATGTAAAACTGTGACACATGGGAGTGCTTGATTTTTGAGCGTGCGGAGCAACAGGGTCCAGTGTTATGGTGGCAGGGGCAGGAGAACTCATGGCATCAGGAGCGTAGACAGCCCCACTGGGCACGAATTATAACCCAGGCAGAGGCAAGGCGCAAGGGTGGTCAGACATCTGGCCCTGAAATAAGAAGAGACAGGTGGGAAAGTCCAGGCCAAGACCGTGGAGCAGAGTTAAGAAGGAGCAGGAAGAGCCGATCTCAGAAACAGGCTGGCTCTGTTGAAATTGGACTGAGGCAGATAATTTCTTTCTTTCTTTTTCTTTTCACCTTTCAGCACTGTTGGACATGAAGGAAAGATAATTTCTAAGTTTACTTTTTGATATTTATAGATAAAATGCTTTCAAGCAGTTAACCAGCCTATTGGAGAGTGACACTTAGATCATCTTGAAGTTGGTTTGGGCGATTTAGAGAAACATTTATAATTAAGTTATGCAGTTAATGAAAGCCAAGTGGGGACATTTGTTCAGAACAATTGTTTTTGTACCTTTTCTTTGTGATAGAGCTGTAAAAGTGTATTTACTTGTAAACTGCAACAAGTTTTTGCTCCTTCCCCCATCAAAAGAATAATATATCTATATAATAATTAGGCCTGAAATTAAGATTCTAGATTTAAAGAGGACTCCCAGGGCTCAAATATAGGAGATAAGATGTTGAAACACCACTCCTGTTGTTTGCAAAATGAATATTAATGACATTTAGTCAAAACCAAATTCTAAATATTTAATAATATGTGAAAATTATTAACTGCCTGTGGTCATCAGTTGAGACCCATAGTTACTGCTGGAATCCAGGGATACAGGGATTAAAAAAATAATGGATCAGAAAGTAGATGTTAATGGGGAAGTATCTGTGGGAGAGTGACCTCTTATCCCTGAGGGCCGCCATGTACAGCTACACAGGAGGCGAACTGCACAATTCCCTGGAATGTGCGTGATGCTCCCTGGAGTTGTGCAGTGTGGCAGTGCTGTGTGCATCAAGGGCAGGAGCAACGGCAGTCCTTCAAAGGCTTAAGTAAGTGGCATAGAAAGTGGACAGTCCTTTTAAGTTGCATGGCTTCAGACACTTCTGTTAGTGTGATAACTACTGCCTGTGCCTCTCACTCTTTGAAGAGGAACTTGCTGGTGATGGGGCTTCTCATGGGGAAGCTGGGAAGCTCCCTACCAAGGGGGAGGGTTCCTAAGCCTGACAAGGACTGCTCATCAGGTGCTTTGGTATCCTGTAGACTGGGCTAAGAAACCTCACACCAGGGTCCACTCTCCAGCTGGTCTCCACTGGGCCTAGGGAGACCAAAAGACCTGCAGTTGCTGAACCTCTCTTATTGTACCTGTGAAGCCAAGTAAACCATTTGTTCACTTATGTTAAAGAATAAGCTTGATCATTCATGTTCAAAATAGTTAACTCTTTTTTGTGAATTAATAGTCTGGCTATAATTACATTTGACATTTCAGTCCAGTATATTTGTCATCCAGATGAAGAAGCTGCCAGCCGCATTTTTTTCCAGCAGTTTTACTTGACTTTCTTTTAATTTTATGTACAAGGTGTTATTTAAGTGCACAGATTAATAGAGATAATATTTATATGTAAAATTATTTTTATTGCATACCTCTATGAGTAATTTCTCACTTGCATTGTTATAATACCTCCCATCCTTCCCTAAAGCGCCACTCTCCCCACTCTACTGCAGGAGATTTCTCTAGCAGCAATTCTGATTATGTCATACTCCCCTGCTTTAAATAGCTAAATATTCTTAATTTGGAAAAGATTAAAGCTAGGCACCATTATAGGAACCTTGCCTACTTGTCACCTCTCATATTTTCTCATCCATATTCTGTTCCACAGTCTTACCTGCATGGAGCAAAGGTGTAGGGCATATTTGATGTCCATTATAAAATATTCAGGCTCCCTCAGTTCAAGGGTCCTCCACTGTAAAGCAGTCCACTATGTATGCAGGTGTCAGTCCTTTTTCCACCACCTTGTGGGAATTGGGACTTGGAGAACTGCCACATTATGCCCTTATTTACATTTCTTGACTCTGTAGCTTTGCGCTTACCTCTGCTTTAAATGATATTTCTGCCATTTCTGTCTACCTTCCATCAAAGGTATGGTGTCTACCTTTACAATAAGATTGTAAAGAATAAAGAGGTAATGAGTACAAAGCACTTAGCTCAGGGCTTGATTAGCTGCTGCTGCTATTATTGTTACTCTTGCAAAATTGGTTCCAGAATTATACCCTTTGGGTGCTCTTTCCTAAACTTCTTCTATCCCTACCCTATTATTTAGGGAGACCCTATTTAGCAGTTCAGTCTTTATATATTCCTTATAGCTCTTTGTTGGCAATATTTTTAAATCATAAAGAATACCTAAATCTATAATGATACTAAAAAGAGTATTTGTCTAATTTTCTTCTGGCCAGGTGGATGGCATCTATGAAGAGGGGGCTGTGGAACGCTCTCAGCCAAAGAGTGCTAGTCTGGCATGTTGTGCTTTTTCAGTTTGAATGGCTCTGGGCAATCTGTTTTGCTGTAGTCTCTTTTTTTCCCCCGTTCAGCACCTTATTTTCCACCTGATGGTCTTTGATTCACAGCAAATTGTTTGTCTTCTAAAGGATAAATCGAAGGTGGGTTTAAATGGTTCAAATACAAGCTGGCTATTAAACTGTGAGTTTTACAAGCTGTCATGTCATATGGGCTGAGTTCTATCTAGCTAGATCCACCATTGGAACTATTCTAAGCCATGGTGAAAAGATAAAAGACATCAGCCAATAAATCCCTTCCTCATGTAGGGGATTCATTGTTGGGATAGTACCTCCACAGGGTGTACTATCAGGCCCAGGCTTGTCACCATGACCTCTTTGGTGCTAAGTCAGTTAGAGGACCCATTTCTCACTGGTCTTTGAGTTCCCCATGGGATAGGACCTTAAGGGGGTTTTATCCCAAGCTTTGCCAGGGCCTGGCTTCTGGAAGGCATTCCATAAATTGTTTTGAATGCATGAATGACTAAATAAGAAAATGTGAGAGTGCTTCGTTAACTGTAAAATTAGCTAAATGTCAACTAATATTTTTTCCCTTCTGTGATGTGGAAAGATATGCAGGTGCAGGAGCAGGCAGCTGATGGTGGAGACTGGGGCGAATGGAAAGTGCCTGTTATAAATGGCAGCCTCCTTACCTGTGCTTCTGTCCAGCTCTCTTGCCTCTCACCCTGAAAGGCTGTGGTCTGTCAAATCACTCACAGGTCTGTCTGTGGAGAAGTCCTAAGTAGTATAGGGTCCCCACTTCTGTGATCCATTTCAGTTCCAACCCAAAGGACTTTCCAAAGAATGGACATCTTTTGTCTCTTCTCCCACTCTGTCCAGTTGGGTTTATAATCCCTTTCATTATCTTCTCCTCATTCTCCCCACTCTGTTCTGGTCTTCATCTGTAGAAATTTATCTGTCACCATTTTGGGTGCTCAGGATGCTATCGTTTCTCAGATCCTTCCTTCGTGTTTCATGGATACCTCCTGGAACCCTTTTTTCAGTGAGCTGGGAATATGTCTTTCAAGAAAAGGAGGTGGTATATATTATAAAAAATTTAATTTGGGACAAAGCATCTGACAAAGCGTTTTTCCCTCCTTATGTGTGGACTTACAGCAAGTGTTTTATAATAGCATGCAAAGTAAACCACATTTGATGGGTTTTATTGAAAATAATACATTTACCCCAAAAGGGGAAAAAGTACATTTTTGTGCATGTCAATTGACAGTATTTGAAATGGAAATTTTTCTAGAAAATTTGGGAGGTAACAGTCTCAGGAAAGGAAACTTTATATGCTATAATCCAGACATTGGTCACAGAGAGATTTCCTTTGGTGGCTTAGGTAGGGCAAGGCAAAAGGCCCCTTGTACCCATCTGCTGTAGAGATAGCATATGGAAGAGCCCTGCCACTCCCTGCCAGTCAAGCCCTTGTGATAAATCTTGATACTCCCATGTATATTTGCCTGCTTGTGCTGCCAAGGCCACTGAAAAAGGTCAGTGCTTTGTGAAATGGAGAGTATGATATAAACATAGAAGTTGTTAGTAATTTTTATTGTGATTGATCACTTTTTTTTTCTTTTCTTTCCTTTTTTTTTTGAGACAGAGTTTCGCTCTTGTTGCCCAGGCTGGAGTGCAGTGGTGCCATCTCCACTCACCGCAACCTCTGCCTCCCGGGTTCAAGCGATTCTCCTGCCTCATCTTCCTGAGTAGCTGGGATTACAGGCGTGTGCCACCACGCCTGGCTAATTTTGTATTTTTAGTAGAGACGAGGTTTCTCCATGTTGGTCAGGCTGGTCTTGAACTCCCGACCTCAGGTGATCCTCCCGTCTCGGCCTCCCAAACTGCTGGTATTACAGGCGTCAGCCATCGTGCCCGGCCGTGATTGATCACTTTTAAGTACATGAGAATTCTTGGCATGACATACAAAAGAGGATGGGCAGAGTTCCTTTTCCTGTCTGTGATATATTTCATGACGATCCAGTCTTTGCGGGCAGTGGTTCAGGGTAGTGCAGCCATTGTAACCTAAACCATTCCTGTGTGTTTATTTATCAGATTTTCTCAAAGGGTGAGTGCTGATCATTTTAAATTCTGTTTAAAAATAAAATTGTTCATCGAAGTGATGAAATAAATAGGGGTCAGATATGATTTTAGAGATTTCGAATCCTGAAGAGGGTTTGAGATTTGAATACCATCTCTGTACACTCAAGGCAAACTTCCTGTATCACTCAGGACTCATAACTTCATCTGCAATTTTATTATTGGGTGACATAACTGAACAGGTCGCTGCAAACACTGAGAATTATTGAGTTGTTTAGGTGAGTCTCTCTTGTTTAAACTGTTGAAAGGTTCATTGATTTGTGGGTGAGGGAAAACTGTTGTAGCGTAGTTTTAGTGTTTGCATTTCATTTTAACATTACCTTGCAAGGGATTTTTCATGCTGTACTAAGGAGATTACAAGGCCACCCTAAGGCATTTTAGGGTTATATAAGGAACTGGCTTTGCTGTTTTATGTACTGGCCCTTTTATTTTCTGGCTAAGCCAGAATCTTGGTAACCCTCTCACCTATCACCTTTGGGTATTACCTTTTCAGCTCTCCCTTTGCCCTCATGAGTCCAACCAGTGCCCTGGTCTGAGCCTCCATCCTCCCAACTGCCCTGGCTTCCTGCTGTCTGCCTTCCGTGTTCCTGCCTACGGTTCATGCTTTGCCCTGGACCTCAGTGGTCCTTCATGTCTGTCTGATCACGACACCTCATGCTATGAGTGACCTCCACAGCTTCTGCTGCTTTTGGTGCAGCATCAAATCCTCCCGGTCTGTGCTTTCTCCTTCAGGGCCCACCTGCAGCCTTATTCCCTTCTCCTCTTCCTTCTCTTCCACTCCAGTCCTCCTCCCCATCCCCAGTCAAGTTAACCCTTGGAATATTCTGTCATACCACCCAGGACTTTTCCTTCAGAGCATACATCATAATTAGGTGAGGTCATTATTGCATATTTGGGTGATTATTTGATTGTCTGTATCTTGCGCTAGGCAGTCAACTTCCAGAGGGAAGTGGCTGTCCTTTTAATGCAGCATTGATGGTAGCACCCACACTCAGGGCAGGGTTTTCGAAGTGCTCCATAGGTCCTGGTTTTCCGTGACAGTGCTGGTATACCCCTGAAGTCCCCATGTAATTTATTAATAGTGTCCCCTTTCACTTTCAAAGTTACTCTCATTTTGAATGACAGCATATATGATGATCCCTTCTAAAGCCCAGTGATATGTAGTCATTCAGGTAAAAGGTTTTATTGTCAGGCTCCCAGAGTGGGAGAGCCTGGTTCCAGGGTCGGGGGGTCAGAGGGGAGCTGTTGCTGAATTTTGATTCTGGCTGAAGATAATTTATCTTCTTGAAACTCTGGCAGCATATACAGATGTGCCTGTTGTTAACATTTTAAGAGGTAAGAACACTCTCTGTGCACCTGGGATTTTGGAATATGATAGTGGGAGGCACCAAGACTGTTACAGAAATGGAAAATGAACACAGGGTGGCAGAGGGTAGGTACTTCTGCCAGTCAGAGGCAGACAGACTTTCAACTGGAAGGGGTCAAGGACACTATTGCATTGTGTTTGGCCAAACAAACAAAATGCATTCTAGGGGAGAGCTGGTTTTAGTCGTGTGTTTAGCGGGGGCTCAGTGAGAGGCACACAGATGATCTGTGCATCCATTTCTCTACTGATGTAAAGACTCAAAGAAGGTAGTGTGCACGGTGCCAGGGGAATCTTGTTGAATTACTAACAGTGAAAAACTAAAAAGTGGCCTAAGATCTTGGTTTCTAAGGCCTATTATGGCCGAGTCCCCAGAGACAAAGTTTCCTCCTGTCTGACTTGGAGCAGATGCTCGTCTGCCTCAGGAAAGGCTCTGAAGAATCCAGGAGAACATGCTTTGCAAGGCACTTTCAAATTGCTGGGTCCCTTCAGGGGAAAAGGGGTTTTTATGACACCACTAGTCTGAAGATAATTTTTATCAGATCCTATAGCCTGAGGTCTTAAAACAGAACAACACTAAAGAGCCCCTCTCAGGCCTGGCTTCCTAGCAGCAGTTGGATGGGACCTTGAAGTGGTGGCTCCCTTCATGTTGGCCCTGCAGGGTCAGGCATCTAAGACTCGTGGAGGCCCAGGCAGTCTGGAGGGATACCAGATGACATAGCAAATGCCAAAAAAAAAAGATCGAGTGCTATGTTTGCCTGTGTGTGGGTGTGTTTGTTTCACAGGTACAGGTGCACCCACCCGGAGTCAGGGATGGAACATGTGCAGTGAAGGCTATATGCTTCCCAGATATTGGGGTGAACTTGATGAGAGTCTGGTGGTGGACTCAGGGACCTGGAATTGTCTTCCTCACTTTCTTGCCACTTCTCAGTGTGAATGTTGTCTGTAGGGGGTGCTCTCCTTGCTTGCCGTGGGTCTCAGAGCTACCAGAGCATTAGAATGTAGGAGATGCGCAGGCCTTGTGGACGTTTTGCCAGTCGAGCGATTCAGCAAAGTAATTGCAAGGTTTCTCTAATTGTTAAATATCTACAACAGGCTGAATTTGGATTGGCTGAAAAGAAAGGTGAAATGAGGTCATCAGAATTACATGATTTTTTTCAAGTTCTGGCATCTTGTGTTCTTTGCCAAGCAGAAATATTCCAGTAGAACTGTGATAATGCCTTTCATCTATCTGCTGAGCCTTCCAGATGGCAGTTTCTCAGCCAGTGAGCAAAAGAAAGGGTGTTGAGATTTATGAGTAAGTTGATTCCCTTCGTTTGTACTTCCCAGTGAACTCTCATTCGCTATTTGTGCTAAGCACCAGTGGCAAGTTATCCTCACATCTTTAGCTCTGCAGGGCCCTTAAGCCAGTAGGCCTTACTTCAAGGGGAGGAGGGCTTCAAATTCAGAGTAATAAATAGCTGTCTAAATAGAGCCCTTCACATACTTTCTCAGAGAACTTTTTGTGATCTAAGTGGACTTAAGTTTCTTGAGGACAGGGGCACTCCTTTCTCCTGGGTAGCACCAATGCACAGGAAGCTTGGCGTTGGATTCCGTGGGCCCCTCCCTTTCTAGTTATGTGCACAGTCTCCCGGGTTGAGAGAATCCCTCCCTTTGCTAAGTCATCTTCATTCAATCCAGGGATGTTTAGGGAATATGCGTGCCTCGGATGACAATACAAGATGGATTAAGGTGATTCTTGTGCTTTGAGAGCTCTCAGTCCAATGGAGGAAAAACATATAAATAAATACACACATAAACGAGAAGTGGTGTATAAGTCTAAAGATCAGGTAATGAGGGAATGTTTTAGAGGAGGTGGTGCTGCTGTATGTATTGGAGGCGGGTAGGGATTTGCTGAGCAGAACATGTGCCATGTTGTTTTCTCCATCAGGCCTCATGGCTGGAACAGCTGCAGTGCTTTTCGTTTGGTGCCTCCTCTGCTTTGCCTTTGTCCTGTTCTTGTTCACTTTGAGCACCCTTGCAGCCTACCCTGGGCATAACCCTCCAGGAACTCTGATGCTGTTTAGTAGATACTCAGAGGTTACCACTTAATCCTTGTTGGTTAGTTTTGTTCCCCAACTCGAGCGTGAATTCAGGACAGGGCCCATCTCTGACCACACCAAATGCAGTCAGTGCATATGTTAAGATTTAGGGAAAGCGTTTGGGTTGGTTAGTCGAGTATTTTCATAGATTATTATTACCTGGTTATGTAAGTATGACAAGACAGTTTAACAATGACACAAATATAAGCAGAGGATCTGATTAAAAATACTTTTTTTTGAAAGGGAAGCATAAGTTTGTGGTCAGCAGCAAATAACCCATTTGATCTTCATTCATTTATTCTTCCATTTATTCACTCACTAACAGTCTGTACCTTTGTGAATAGCAACAGTCTTTTTCTTCATTGGTGTTTTTTGAATGCTGGGTTTTTACTGCCCTGGGGATTTTCTTTAAACCTGATAGTTGTTTTGATAAATCATCTGGATACCAGCTTTGAGCTAATTCTTTTCTATTAAGTACCTCTTAGAGTGGCTGACCATAAACCATTTGAGAAATCACTACATTTTATTAATGACTTTTGAGATTTAGCAGCAACTTAAATTAATAATACTGGAGTGTGCTTTGGATAAAAGACCAGGAGACTGCTTCATTCTGCAAACCAGAGCAGAGATGAGAATGTTTGCATTAGGAGAACGTAATTTATCAGCATTTTAGGCTAGTGTGTCGATTGATACAAGGTTGGGCAATAGTGGTAGGCAGTGTTATAAGTGCTGTTTGTATGTATCAGCTCATTTAATCCTCCCAGTAACCCTTTAAGATGTCTGCACTATTATTTTTCACATTATTCTGATGAGGACATCGAGGCACAGAGGGGTTGTGTGACTTGCCTGCAATCTTGGTTGTGTGCTCAGAAATAGTCTTTTTGAGACTGAAGATATTCTGGTTATGTGTAATACACAGTACAACTCAAAGACTGTGAAATAGTTCATAGACAAATTATCCATTCTTTGCCACTTTAGAGTAATTATGCTTATTGTTTCTGTTTCAGGATAATATGTGTGTGTTTATAAGCATTTTTTCCTTTTTATTTAATTGCAGTAACATATACATAAATAACTATGATGGCTAGTTTTGAACTCATTTAAAAACAAGTAAATTTATGCTTTGATAAGCTAAGGTACATTCAAAGCATTCCCATTTCCAAAGCAAAGTGTTTTCAGTTAAAGATTATAGATGTTGCCTTTTGCCAGGGATGCTTGTGAGAATGTCATTTAGAGAAATCTTAAAGTAATTTATCCATAATATTAACTTAGCATGCCTTCTCTCTGCAATGTACAATGTATCATAGGACAATGTATGATACAGCTCAGTTTTGATATATCAGCAAGTTGAGTAGTAATTTTTGTTTGTTTGTTTTAGTTGTTTTAAAAGCTGGTGTTGCAGATTCCTATGCTTAGAAGGACCAGGCAGAAAATAAGCCATTAAGGGTGCTGGGAATGCAATAGGGAGTGATGGGGAGTGTGGTAAAGGGGTCAGCAATGCTTCTGCCATGCCTATCAGGGAGCTGGTTTCCATTAGCTGTTGGTTGACCCAGGAATCTGTACCTGTGTTGCCAGATCTAACCATTTTCCAGGAGAGGCTGGAACTTCATATTTAAAAAATGAGAATTTGTCAACTTTAATAATTTGGAAGAAAATTCAAATTAAACCAATACCAGGCAGTGTGGTGTACCCCACATTACAGAGGAAAGTAGGGGACTTGGGAGGTACATGAGTCAATCTATAGATGCTCCTGTTGTCATGTTAAACTTGTGCTTGCTTTCAGTTGCTGTTAACATTTTGGGTCCACTGTATCTAGACATGTCCTTCAAAAGTTGCATGTAAGTTAATTTTTTTTTCTGTATTTAAAAAATGGCCCCACAAACACTAGTCTAGATGTTGAAAAAAACCCTTATACCTTATTATGGAGACTTCTGATGAGTCCTTTTGTACAGTGAACAATCACTTGCTGTATTTACGTTTGTACTTTTGTGTTTAAAATGGGGAATGGTGTTAGATATTGCATACTGCTTGAGTTAAGGAGGTCGTTAACCAGGAATGCTTTGGATTACTCAGATTATTATTGCACTGGTGTTTGTTGTAATGGAATTTGACCTGTCAGGGGAGCTGTAGATGTTTGGATGAGTGTTCAGTCCTTAATACTGTTATCTAAATTCTAGGCATGTTGCCTGTAACTTCCAGTTTCAAAAAATCTATGTCAATCTGTTCTTTTATAACCTAGTGCTGTTGTTTTTTTCCCTCTTGTTTTATATTTAATCATTCTCTTTGGCTCACAACAGCAGTCCAGTCCAAAGATTTACTTTTTCTATTTTCAACCCCATCATTATTTTTGTGTAAAAAGTATGTTTTGAGTTACAGCAATTCATGGAGATCAAGCTTCTACTCTGTAGGGAGAAGAGAGATGTCATTTACTACAGAGTTTATACACACAAATGTTCTGCTGCATGCTGTGTTCCCACTGAAATCCAGGGGGTTTATTTGCATTTATACTTAAAGAAGAATGACCGTATTTGGCTGACTCTAAGCCAAGATGATACAGGCCCAAAGTTTTTCATGGAGGAATGGGGGAGTAAGGGAAATAGGAACATTTGGAAGAAATAGTTGTTGTTTTTCCCTGTTTTATTCAGTGGGCATTTTATTCACAGATCATTTGATGCATTGCATTTACTCGTGTTATTCTGGTTCCTTTTGTGTTTTTTTTTTCCTTTTGAAACAACTTCACACTTACAGGAAAATGGCAAAAATACTAAAATAAGAACTCCTATAAACCTTCACTGATAAAATCCCTTCAGTTTTCTCCAGTTATCCCAGTAACGTCCTTTATAGCAAAAGGATCCGGTTCAGGATCACTCATACCCAGCTGTCATATCTTTCCAGTCTCCTTCATTCTAGAAGCATTCTTCATTCTTCCTTCATCTTTCATGACACTGACACTTTTAATTACAGGCCAGCTGATGTGTAGAATGTCCTTCCTTTTCTTAGGAGATGTTTTCTGTCCTTCCTTGAAAACCCCACTAGTGTTACCTGCCACGAGGAGAGCTAGGCGCTCTGCCCCCTACCCCAAGCTGGTTGCTCTCTCTTACAATGCTTCATTAATCAAGTACCCTTTTTTGGAGCATTGATGATATTCATTCATCCTTTTAGCCAGTAAATATTTTTTGATGTCTATTACGTGCCAAATGGGATACATTTAAGAACAAAGCAGACCAAAAAAAAAAAAAAAAAAAAAACCTGCTCTCATGAAGCTTACATTTTAGTGGAGGGTAACAGATAACCAACAAGAAAAAATAAGTAAAACAGCAAGTACATTAGATCATTAGATAGTGATAAACGCTAAAGAGGATCGAATCAGGCAGGAAAAGGGATGGGCAGGTTCTTGATAAAGTGGCCAGGGAAGGCCTCCCACACTAGTGATTGTGGAGCAGGAACCCCAAGGAAGGGAAGGAACAGGCTGTGGGGCTAGCTGCAGGAAAGCGGTCCCGGCAGAGGGAGCCTGTAGGGGTGAAGGTTCTGCTGCACCAGGTGGGCCAGGGGTGAGGAGGAGGCGGTCTGGTGGCTGGAGCCAAGCAGGAGGGGAGAGGAGAGTGGTAGGAAATGAGTCAGAAAGGCAGAGCAGGGAGATTATTCTAGGCTTGTTGCCACTGAGGGAGATGAGAAACTCTGGGGGAATTTTGAGCAGAGAAGTTACATGATCTGACTTATGCCTTAAAAATCCTTTTGTTGTTTACGGAATAAGCAGGTATGTAGGGATGGGGTCAAGGTTAGAAGCAGAGAGATCAATTTAAGATCAATTATGGGAGGTTATGATAAGCCCTTTGTGTATCTGTTTGTCCTATTAGCACATAAAGGGGACTCAGTGGTCTTCAACCTTTAGAATACATAAGATGTACCTGGGCTGTTCGTGAGTGATGCAGATTTCTTCACTGGGAAACCAGCATGTACCTGGGCTGTTCGTGAGTGATGCAGATTTCTTCACTGGGAAACCAGCATTCATTAGATCTCACCTGTGTTGTCAACAGCCAGCCCCAGGTGATTCTCATGTGGATGGTCCTTGAACAACATGTTGATGTTGATAAATATAGTAACAAGTGAGGAATGAGTGAATAATTGGTTTATGGAAAATCCTTTAGAGATACTTAGTTATGAAGTGTTTCCACTCATTGCTTTATTTCTCATAAACATAGTACTCAACTTAAAAATATGTGGTAGTATAAATTTTCTCTTAAAACTTACCTGGCACAGAAAGATCTAATAAGCAAAGTGATTTTTTTTTTTCCAAGAGAAGATGTGTATTTGATGAAATAAACATACTACTCTGACATACTATTTTCTTGCTTTTAAACGTGGTTTTCAGAAGGAATGAATAAATGCTACTAATAGGGTTCATTCATAAAGAAGCAATTAAATGTATTCAAGAGGAAATTGGTTTCAGGGAGTAGGTCGGATGAAGCCATTTAAAGATAGTAATAGCAAGTGAGTCGTATTTTAGAGTGGACCAGATCTGGCTTGACATTTCATTGCACCAGAGGTTCACAGGAAGGAAGGGGTTTGGCCCTCTGGCCCTGGAAATATGTAAAGGGCAAAACATAACAGACTTTTGTTTTTTCTCTTTGGTGAAGTAACGTCAATCTTGCATGGGTAATCTTGAGTTGAACATGAAAATAAGTCTTACCTTGATTAACTGGGTAAAATCTTGGTCAGTTTCATGGGCTTTGGAACCAAAGTGGCTCCAAATTCTGCTCGGAACTATCAGTGTGACTGGGCAACTCACATCACCTTCATTTCCTTATAAGCGGGAAATAATACCTGCTTCACAAGCTCATTGTAAGGATTGAGAGTTAATCCATTTATGTCTGAGGTTGCAATTTTTTGAATTTTTGCAATCAGACCTTGGCAACCACCTTGAGCAGAAGGGTATAAAAAACTCCCACATGCTTAGCGTTCCAGTAATGGAACACTAGGCATAAATAACTACTGCCCATAGGGCTCTTACAGAATTGTCTGGTGTATTATAAGCACTCAACAATTATTAGCTTTTTCTCCTCCTCCCTTTCCTATTATTGTTGTTGTTATTATCATTATTATGTTTCAGTGCTTTCAAATCGTATTTTGCCTTTTGGAATCCTACAAATTTTCAATGATGGTTTTTTTGGGATTGGTTGTGTCTAAAAATACGTTCATTAATGCCTCTCTGTATAGGAGGAATCTAAAGTCTTAAGTGTGGCGTTAGTCTTGTGTATTTATGATCACTTCCTGGAAGTAGGCTGCCATCACTTATGTAACATTGACTTTCTTTCCCTCTATCAAAGAGAAGCTCAGACTTGCTTCAGGGAAGTATGTTGAGAATTAATGAATAAGTTAATGTTTGTGGCTCTACCCCATTAACTACTAATTAATGTAAGTTACTGCTCTTATAGTTCTCCAAGTACTATCGTCATACTGATTCTCTGAACTAGGGACAGGGACATTGAGAAGACTTTTTCTTATGTACTGTGGGGAAGCAGTGTTTTGTAAAATTTTTGCTCTTGCTTTTACAACAGAGTATCACTCCGTATCTAAAATTTTACACCTCCTCTACAAAACAAACAAACAAAAAACACAGAAAAACCCAACCTAGATTAAATCAAGTAACTTCTTATGGAGCTCTTAGTAATGAAATGTTACTTATGTTAATACGTATTTTTTTTTCCTCTGGGAAACCATTACTTTCATTCTTGACTTTATCTCCTCATCATTATGCTGCACTTAGTCTGTACTTGGCAATAATGTTCTAAAAGCTCTCATAACAGTTCCATGAAGGCATAGTGTGGTAGAGGCAGTCCTAGCGTTGTGGTTTGTTTTTTTTTTTAAAGGTTTGTATTTCAATTCTGTGTTTCTAAAGGTAAGATTTGGATCTTCTGCCCCTGAACTTTTGTCTGTAAAACAGGGATGGTAATAACTTCTATTTGGGTTTTTGTAAGGCTTTGGAATAACATATATGTCAAATACCAGGCCTGAATACCAGCAAATGTGGCTGATTGTGACTAATGCAATGATTTTATTACTTTTTTTCAATATGATTCAATTTGGTAATATAATTAGAACCAATTTCATAGTTTCATATAAAGCAAAAGAAGGTATTTATAGGGTCCTAACATCAATCATATTTCCACCTGACATAGGCTTACCTTAAATAACTAATATCCAAACTTACTCTGGGAGGACACCTCTTCTGTAAATGGATAAAATTGAACTTTTCAAAGTACGTGAATACAGAGGAAACATGGAATTGTATATATGTATGTGTGCATGTGTTGTTTTCAAATAAAGTAACTCACTGTAATGAATTACAGTGAATTTTAAATTTCCCAATTTTGTATTAATGTTGAAAGCCACCAAAGGAGTAAGGGATGGGTTGTATCTCAAAAAGGCCACCGGCCTGAGCTAAAACTGTTTCCTATACTCTTCTAAAGGCAATGTTTATTTAATCCCAAGAGTCCTTTGTTCTCATGATTACAAAGTTAAAATTTAATTATTTGCATTGTAGACTTGAAAGGATTAGCTACACTCGTGATTGATATGTAAAGAGAGTTTTATAATCTCTGGAACTATGGCTTTTGAGGAACAAAATAATTTAAGCTATAATTTTGAAGTGGGACAGAGGATATTATTACAGGTTTATTCATAGGATTCTCATCTTTTGATTGGACTCTAATTAAATACCTTCTTGTCAGCAGGGAGGGTGTGTGGAGGAATTATGATTCTCCTGCTTTAATCGTTGTTGATTTCTTAGTGATACTTTGAAGTGGCATCCAACTGTCTTCTCCAGCTTTCAGACCCTTTGATGAAACAATAGAAACTTGTTAAGTACATGACCAGATTCTTTTCATGCAGTTCCCTTGGGGGAGGTCTATTTTAAATTAGATAGGTTTGATGTCCAGTCTGAAAAGCATTTATTCACCAGTTCTGATAACAGGTCAAGTAGTTTAACCTCTTACACATAAGACTAAGGGAATTAAAACCTTTCCTTTCCACCACCACTACCCTCCCCTCCCCTAAAAAAGGAAAGGAATTTTAAAAAGGAAAAATGTAGAAAGAAGTAAAATGGTGTTTATCCTTTTTTGTTAAAATGTCACAATTTAGACCATTTACAAATCTGTTTCTTATTACAAAATGATGAGTCTCTTTTGTCTTTGCTCAGTCTCCTTCCTCTTAGTCCACCAATATTATAATTTTGTTAAATTCTGCTTATCACACTCCTTCCTGCAGACACGTTTTCTTCTGTCCCACCACTCATTTTCAGAGCTCCTAAAAGTTCAGAAGCCCCTCTTTTCTATACTTTGCACTTTCTCTCATGGAATCTCTTCCATGCCCATGACCTGCTGAGTCTCAAAGTTTAACTCCAGAGCTGACTGACCTCATTTTTAAGCCTCAGACTGACTGTCCTACCTGACATGTCCTCTTGAATGTTTTAAAAGTCATGTCAGACCCATCGGTTCAAAACTGAACTCATGTTCTCTCATGAATGCTGGTTTCTATGACTTTTTTTCTAAGCACAACTCAATATCTCATTTGCTTGAAGCCCTCCAGAGAACCCTCAGACATTGCTGATGGGAATGAAAATGGCGCAACCACTGTGGAAAGTGTTTTGGTGGACCCCCAAAAAAGTTAAAGAATTACCATATGACTCATCAGTTTTACCCCTAGGTATACATTTCCAAAAGAATTGAAAACAGGTGTTCAAATAAAATGTGTGCATGAGGCTGGATGCAGTGGTTTATGCCTGTAATCCCAGCACTTTGGGGATCTGAGGCGGGTGGATCACTTGAGGCCAGGAGTTCGAGACCAGTCTGGGCAACAGGCTAATTTGTCTCTATGAAAAATACAGAAATTAGCCAGGCATAGTAGTGGGCACCTGTAATCCCAGCTACTTGTGAGGCTGAGGCACGAGAATCATTTGAACCTGGGAGGCAGAGGTTGCAGTGAGCCAAGATCGTGCCACTGCATTCCAGCCTGGGCAACACAGTGAGACTCTGTCTCAAAAAAAGAAAGTGTGCATAATGTTCAATAGCAGCATTACTCATAATAGCCCCAAAGTAGAAACAGCTCAGATAATTGTCCCTGATGAATGGGTAAACAAATTGTGGTATACCCATACAATGGTATAGAAAGGAATGAAGTAATGATACATGCTACAACATGGATGAACGTGGAAAACATTATGCTAAGTGACAAGCCGTACACAAAAGGCCACATATTGTATGTTTCTATTTATATGAAACGTACAGAATAGGCAAAAATCATAGAGACAGAAAGCAGATTAATGGTTGCCAGGGGCTGCGGGGGGGGTGGGAATGAGGTCTCCTTTTGGGATATGAAAATGTTCTACAATCAGATAGTGGTGCTGGCTGCACTATATTGTGAATTTACTAAAAGCCACTGAACTGTGCACTTTAAAATGGTGACATCTGGCCGGGCGCAGTGGCTCACGCCTGTTATCCTAGCACTTTGGGAGCCTGAGGCGGGCGGATCACGAGGTCAGGAGATCGAGAGCATCCTGGTGAACATGGTGAAACCCCGTCTCTACTAAAAATACAAAAAAATTAGCCGGACGTGGTGGCGGTTGCCTGTAGTCCCAGCTACTCGGGAGGCTGAGGCAGGAGGATGGTATGAACCTGGGGGGCAGAGCTTGCAGTAAGCAGAGATCGCGCCACTGCATTCCAGCCTGGGAGACAGAGCGAGACTCTGTCTCAAAAAAAAAAAAAAAAAAAAAGTGACATATTGGTTCCCTAGGGTTGCTGTAATGAAGTTCTAGAAACTGGGTGGCATAAACTACAGAAATGTATTGCCCCACAACTCTGGAGGCTGCAGCTCTGAGATGAAGGTGTCACAGGGTTGGTTTCTACTGATGGTTGTAGGGAGAATCAGCTCCGTGGCTCTCCCCTAGCTTATAGTGGTTTGCCAGCCATCTTTGTCATTCCGTGGTGTATAAACCTGTCACCTGACCTCTGTCTTCATTTTCACATGGTGGTCTCCTTGTGTGTGTGTCTGTGGTCCAAATTTTGTCTTTTTATAAGGACACAGTCATACTGGATTAGGATCTACCCTGAACGACCTCTTAATTAAGTATACCTGCAATGATTCTATTTCCAAATAAAGTCACGTTTTGAGATGCTGGTAATGACTTCAATATGTGAATTTTGGGGATATGCAGTTCAACCCATAACAGTGACTTTTATGTTACGTGAATTTTCAATTAAAAAAATGTATATAGACAACCCCTCCAGGGACTTCTAAGTGCTGTCAAGCACCAGACCAGCAAAGCACCCAATGTGGTCTGACCCCTGCCTACCTTGTCAGCCTTTTTACTCTCCTCTCACTCTGTGCTGTTTTTTCTGTGCCAGCCACACTCCCTCTGATTGCAGTGCCTGTGCCTACAGCCTGCTTCTCCCTCTCTTTCCATTAATGGAGGTCTTTTCACCCTTCAGATCGCAGCCCTAATGCTACTTTCATGGAGAGCGCTCGCATGACTTCCTGGCACAAGGCAGCCTCTGTTATATGCAGCACCTTTGTTCTTATTGTCGACTGCTGTGTGACAAAGCACTTCTAAACACTGTGGTGTTAAACAGCAACCACTCTTAGGCTTGTGGACTCTGCAGGTCAGGAATAGAGACGGCCTAGTGAGGAAGGCTTATCTCTGCTCCATGATGGGAGAATGTGAACAGCTGGAGGCCAGAATCATAAGGGAGCTTCCTCAGGTGTGTATGCCTGCTGTCTGGACTGGGATGACTCCAAGACCAGCCTCAGCGGGGACTGTTGACCATGGCTCCTACTGTGGTTTCTTCATGTGGCTTAGACTTCCTCACGACTGGGTGGCCTCCGGGTGGTCAGACTTCTCACAGGGTAGCTCAGGGTTCCAAGAGTGAGCTAAAGAAGCTGCATGGCCTCTTATGACCTAGCTTTGTTACATAGCGTCATTTCCAACATGTTCTATTGGTTAAGCTGTCATAAGGCTGCCCATATTCATGAGTGAGGGGACATAGACCTCACCTCTCAGTGGGAGGAGTTTCAGAATTTGCAGCCATGTTTAAAAACTGCCCAAATTCTCCATGCTACGTCTAAATGTTTGTGTCTCCCAGAATTCATGTGTTGAAACCTAGTACTCAATGCAATAATATGAGGCTTTTAGGAGGTAATTAGATCCTAAGGGTGAAATTGGATTAGTGCCCTTATAACTGAGGCTGGGGAAGCTTGTTTGCCCCTTCCAACACGTGAGGACGCAGTGAGAGTGCACCATCTGAAAAGCAGAGATGAGCCTCGCCAGACGCTGAATCTGCTGGAGCCTTGATTTTGGACCTCCCCACCTCCAGAACTGTGAGAAATACATTTCTATTGTTTATAAGTTACACAGTTTATAGTGTTTTTATTATAGCAGCCTGAACAGATGGACACTCGTCAATCTGTGTTCCTTCACGGTGCTCTTTTCTAATTACTCACTCCTTTGCATCATTATTTGATTGACTTCTGCCTTTTTAAATAGGCAGTAAGCTTATTTTGCTCACTACAGTATTGCCAGCAGCTAGCACAGTAGCTGGCACATAGATGGTTTGTAAGACTTTGAAATAAAAGTTGACTGGGAAGAATTAGAAAAGGTAGAGCAAGGAAAGCCATTTGCTTATATCATAAACATCACAAGCTTGTGCAGCTGATCCAAGCATGATCAACAGCAAATATGCCCAGTGGCCTGTAGGTTTATTGTTTCATGCTCATGATCTCAGTTTAGCAGTAAATCTGAGGCTGCCTTGTGAATATTGATACTGCACGAGATGTCTGAGAGCTGCCACCCAAGAGACAGTCATATTGACGCCTGCAATAAAATAACAGCAACAGAAGTATAAGCAAAGCCAAATGTCTCCTGAATGAATTTCCCAAAAGAGATAAGCAGAATTAAAAATTTAAGGTTTAAATAGGCTAATACTGATAGAGTTTGTGTGTGTGCTCGTGGATTTTTATACTTGTTGGGTGAAGAATGAGAGGTAGTAGGAGATACAGTTTTTTATTTTTAATGACTGACTTTATCAGAGCTTTATGGGGCTGATCATGTTTATTTAATACTCTCTGTAGAATTTAGAAAAAGATTATCTTTCCCTTCTCCTTGGCTCCCCAGTTTAAAAAAAAATTTCAAGTCTGAGACAGAGGCACGTAAAGCCTTGCCTAGCACACGATTCACTTGTCCCCCGGCTTCTGCACAGCTGCTTTACAGCTATGCTATAGACTTGTTAGATGAGTGCCAATTTCCCTGTCTTTGCCTGTAAATTTTCAGGGCAGTCAGTTACACAGAACCTCTTAAAATGGAAGGTGATTGCTGCTTACTAAATTAAAATGCAGTTTTAGTTTTTGCTCCTACACACTGAAGACCCCAAGGCAGTGTGGTATAATATGAAAAACACTGGCTTTAGAGTCCCGTGGACCTAGGTTTGAACCTTGACTCTGCCCCTTTTATTGATATGACCCTAGGCAAGTTACTTATCCTTCATATGCCTCCTTTGCTTAAAAAAAGGAGGAGGTAATAACAGAGGTGTTAGAAGAATTTAGTGAATCGTACATATAAAGAGCCTAATGCAGTTTGCCACGTAGTGAAGCTCAATCAATATTAGTTATTACGACTGCTATTATACAAATGTAATTGCTTGGGGTTTACTTAGAATTTGTATATAGTAATACTTGAATGGCTTTCAAAGAATGCTTGATTTTATTCTGGTTTTGCTCTTAATTGGAAAGTAAGTT